>NC_000002.12:48675200-48978231 GCF_000001405.40 Homo sapiens
GCCACTCTGCTAACTTACTCAGCTTATTTTAAAGGCAGGTAGTATCAGTTCCTCTGGGAAACTATTACAAATGCAGAATCCTGAGTCCCACGCCAGAGTACTGGATAAGAATGTACATTTTAACAAGACTCCAAAATGATTTGTATGGCCGTTAAATTTTGAGAAGCAGTGTTTGGTTTCTTTAGTATATTTTATTTGGATTTGATTAACAGATGGAATTTATCTTTAAAATTTAGAGATTAACAATTGGGGGGAAAACTTTGAAAATATAAACATGTACAGTGCAAAAGGGCTAAATGAAGGCCACTGGTTTACATACTGGGTGAGAATTAGTTAAATGGTATAGATATTTTGTTTCAGAGGCCTAGAGAATGTCTAAAATTAATATAAGGATTTAAATAATAAAGATATTATAGCGAAAATTAATGGTGAAATGAAACCTTTTACTACAGATGGAGGTGTTCTGTGCTACAAATAGGACACTATTTATAGTGGAATGTGAAACCATTTGAATATCCTATATCTTCGTTTGACAGTTTAGCAGACTTGCTTATAGCTGACTTTATCCCTTAGATGCTATACAATGATTAATTTCTAGGTGTGTAGCATGGTTTCTTTATATATACAGAGAGAGATATGTATATATGTGTATATATAGTCTCTTTATATGTATCTATATATCTCTCTATATAATAGTCTATATATATGTACATTTCCTTTGAATAGATAGTGCATACACATGGTTAAAAAATCAAAATACTGTAAAAAGGTATACAATGAAAAGTCTGGTTCACATTCCTTCATCATTTTTGCTTTCTATTAGTAGCTCCTTTTCCTGTTTTGAATGCAAATAAGTAGTTATATTAGTTTTCATCGAATTTCTTTATTCAAATACAAATACAAAAGATAGCATAAATAACACTATATTCTGTACCTTGCTTTTTTTCTTTAAACAACGTATCTGTCAGATCTTCCCATATGAGGAGGCTTTCTTTGTGATGATATTTTAATGGCTGTATAATATCCTATTGTAGGATTACTAAAATTCATTTAACCAATCCTCTACTGATGGATATTTGTGATTTTTCAGTCTTTTGATTTGAACCACTATGTATATAAGACATTTTCATAATGTGTGCAGATATATCTATTAAATCCCCAGAAATGGGATTCTGGGTCAAAGGGCAAATGTACGTGGTTAGGTATTCCCAAAATGCTCTCTAAGAGCATTTTGCCATTGTGAAAGATGAAAAGTGATACCTTGTTGGAATTTTTAACTTTCCATATGTTAAAGGGCCTTTTGTATTTACATTTTGTGAACTGTTTGTTCATAATCTTTGTCTATTTAAAAAATTGGATTATTTGGTCTTATATTTAGTGATCTCTAAGAGCTCAATATTATTTTGGAGAAAATGAGCTTTTTGTTATACACAGAAGTACTTTTTACTCAGTTATTTTCATTGCTTTTTCTTTTCAATATGTAGATTTTGGATCTGTCAATCTTTAATTTTATGTCTTCTGCATTTTGAGCCATGAATAAAAAGTTCTTTCTTACCTCAGAGTTTTAAAGGGAAGCTCATGTTTTCTTCAAGTATTTCATATATATCTATATATCTATATCTATATCTATATCATCTATATCTATATCTATATCTATATACTCAAGTCTTGATTCATTTGGTGTTTGTCTTGGTGTATAATGTAACATATGGTTTCAACTTTTTATTTTTTTTTTTCCAGGTGGCTACTCAATCTTCCTAACATTTTTTAAGAAATCTATTTCGTCCCTAATGTTAAGACATGATTTATCATCTGCTACTGCATTTCTAAATGTATTTGGGTCTACTTATTGATTTTCTGTTTTGTTCCATTGGTTTGTCTGTCCATAGGCCTATGCTACTCTGATTTAATTATTAAGATTTTTAATGTCTGGTAAGGTTAGTAATTCTTTACTAATTTTTTTGCAGAGTTTTCCTGGATATTCTTGTTCATTTTTCATATTAACTCCAGAATCAACTTGTCTGGTTCAAAATAAAACCCTGTTGGTATTTTCATTGAGATCACATTAAATTAATAAAATTTGTTATTTTAATGATGCTGGGGAGGAATAGATTGCAATTTTAGATGGAGTGTCTAGGGGGGCCTTATTGAGAATGTAATAGGGTAAAGATCAGAAGGAAGTAAGGGAATGAACTGTGAGGATATTAGAGTGTAAGCATTTTGAACAGAAAGAACAAGAAATACAAAAGTCCTGAGGTAGGAGTATGCCCGTGTGTTCAGGGAACAGTGCAGAGGCCAGAGCAGTAAGTGAGGAAAAATAAAGGATTTTGTAGTCCATTGTAAGGACTTTAGTTTTTGGATGGGAAGTCATTGGAGAGTTTCGACAAGAGAAATGACATCTGATTTATGTTTTTAGCAGACACTCTGGGTATCCTGTTTATAGTAGACTGAAGTGGGTGTTGTCAGGGAACAAGGGTAAAAACAGGAACTAGTTATGAGGCTATTGTATTGACCTGGGCAAGAGAAGATGATGGCTGAGATAAGAGTAACAGTAGTGGAAGTGGTAGAAGTTTTTGGAATATGAATATGTTTTGTAGGTAGAACTAACACTTACTGATGGATCTGGATATGGGATGTAAGTAGCAAGCATAAAGAATACCTCTAAGATTTTTGACTTGAGCTCTTAGAAGAATAAGTGGTCATTTCCCAGTGAGATGGGGAAGATTGTGAGGTTTGGGGAAGACAGTATAAGTGTCATAGTTGTAAACTCTGAGATGGGTGTGTGTGTGTGTGTGTGTGTGTGTGTGTGTAATACACAGTCTTTAATATTTTTTCTGGAGTTTTAAAAAATCTAATATGCAATAGTTTTATTAAATACTTTTTCAACACAATTAGAGGTGATTATATGATTTGTCAGTAACTGAAGTAATATGATTTTTATATTAATAAGTTCCTAACATTGAACTATTGTTGTATATCTAGAAAAAATATAGTCACTAGATAAAGGTACCACAATTAGTTGTTGCTTCTGTTGTTCTCCTAATGCTGCTTATATTTTATTACCTGTGCTGAGTTTGGGATGTTTGTTGTCACCGTTGTATTCCCGAGAGATTTTTAAGACACGTGCAAGTGACTGTGCAAGACAATTTGGGAATAAAACTCAGAAAAAATTTATTAGGACTTTAAAACCCCCCCACAAAAATAGGGGTTTATCCTGTGTGTTTTCTTATGCTTCACAAAATGCATCTGAATACCAGTCACAGCCTTTGTTCTTGGATTTGACTATTTGTAGTCAACAACTAGGTTTAAATTTTACTCTTGATCTCAGATCATATATTCCTAGGGCTTTTAAATAGTCACTTGCAGTTTACTTAGAGGTAGCAATGATTTTATGGCTTGTTACCTCTTGAAGTATTAAAATTTCTTATTTTTTATTGTGTCTGTGTCTAGGCTGATTTATGGAATCTAGAAAACAGCCAGCAGAGTCTTACAGATTATAAGCTGTATATTCTGACCTTGTTCAGTGCTTTATTGGGACTTTCTTCCTCATGATGAAGTATCACTTTTTCATTTCTGATAATATTGGCTACATCTTCCCTGTTTATTCCTTTGCAGACATACTGGACTCTGTGCTGTTCTTGAACAATCCAGGCATGCCCCTCTTTAGGACTGTTCACTTCTATTCCTTTTATCTGGAATGCTCCTGAGTAAATATCTGCCTTGCTTTACTCCTTACCTTCTTCAAGTTTTTGCTCAAGTGTCACCTCAAATGACAGCTTAATATTCTACATAATTTACTTATGTATTAGGTTTCTGTCCTTCCCTATTAAAATGTAAACTCTTAAAAGGCAGGGATTTTTTTTGGTTTTACATATACAGGATGTGTGTTTTTATATATAATATATACAGTATAGAAATATATGTATCTTAAACTAATATATTTCCAGTGCCTAAAACAGTGTCTAACACATAGGAACTCAAATGTTTATGGAATAAACAAACTATCTTGAGGAGATTTTAATTTTAAGGCACTCACATTTCGGGTGAGAATAATCCCATTTACTGTAGCAGAGAAATGCAGGTGATCCTTTAACTTGTAAAATTAATTAATGTAAACTACTTTTCTCCCTCCAGATTCATCGAAGCAAGAACAAATGGAAATTCTATTTGAAAGATGGTGTTATGTGTTTTGGAGGGAGAGACTATGTATTTGCAAAAGCCATTGGTGATGCAGAGTGGTAAACCTTGTGAGCTCAGTACATCTATTTTGTGAACATCAGTTGGATTATATTGCATATTGTGAATTCATTTTTATTTTGAATATAGTCCAGCACAGAGCTGTTCAAATTTTTAGTTCACTGTATGGAATTTAATAAAATTATAATTCAGATGCAGATACAATTACACAATTTTATATGTATTTTGTTTTATGTCTTAACAGGGTTTTTTAAAACTCTCATTCTATACCATTACAAAGCATAGATGCATCAGGATAATGGAACATGAAGAAGTATCACATTTCTTTTTTCTTGAAGTAAAATTTAAATCACACTTCAGTTCCCCTTCATGGTAAAGTCAGTATCAGTTATTAGATTGGGATCAGCATTCCTCCCACCTCTCACCAAACCATGTTATAGAACGTCCTTGGGAGTCTTTTAAGTAGTGGGATATTCAAGAAGGCGTCTTTGGGTTTTAATTCTGTACTGATCACTGGAAGTATGTTGACTGTTTAAGCCCAGATAGTCCCCTGGAGGCAGGCGCCTATACTATTATCTGAACATGAAAATCTTTGCTGAGGCTAGGATCCCTGTAGCTAAGGATCAGCCTCTCTGGACTTATCATTTGGCTAGGCCATTCTTCTTTATATTTCTGGGGAATTGTGAGGAAGTAGGTTAGGTTCCTGTTCTACTTCTTGAAATTTCATATGTCTGTATTTTTCCTAATCATGGTGCGTTTTTTTTCTCTCTCCCTACTTTTTCTGTTTTTCGTGCGGTGGAAGACCCCTTTGCAAACCCTTTCCTCTTCAAAGGCAGTACCTCACTCTCTTTTTCTTAACAGGGATCTCCTTCATTGATTTTAGGCTTTCTGAAACAAAAGTCAAGAAGAGATGTTCTCTTCAGGAATTTCTGCTTTGGCAGTCTCATTTGAGATACGGAGGACTGGATAACTGTCTTGAAATCACAGAGAGAAAACAAAACATCAGATAAATAGCCCTCATTTTCCTGTGGCAATAAAAACCAAAGCAAATTAATATTCCGATAAGTTATTCTATAATACTCTTTTCCTTAGTAGATTCACGTCTCTCAAAGAAATATTTTCCCCATCACTCTGCTGCTCTTAACAGGTGGGGCACATATGGTCTGTAAGTCTAGGAGCTCTGTTTTTATCCCTGAATGGTGTTTTTAAGGACAGTAACTGTCATAAAAAGAGCAGTGCAGGGATGAGTAGGTTATGGCCTATTAAAGCTCCTTAAGGATTCGATGCCTGGATCTGACTGGTTACAGGGCAAATTCCCTGTATCTTTTTGGAAAGCAACCCTATTGGGGAGTTTAATTTTTTTCCAACACTTTTCTGTCCTACCCAGGAGGCTCAGCTATTGGTATATCTTCTTGAAATCTGGATGGATCTCCTCTGGGTCCTGGGCAATGTGGATGGGGTATTGTCTCCAGCCTAAAGTAGGCAGCTGCATGAGGATTCAGTTAGTACTAGTGAGTGGGCTGGTCCCCTAACTGTATTCTCCCACTAGGCCCTCTTCATCCTTAGAGTGATTGACCTTTTCCTTATTACCAGTGCTATTCTAGATCCTTCTCTGGATCTTGAGAACTCCCAGGAGCTGTGGGTTCTTTTCAAGGGTGTTGCCTTCCATGAAATGTCTGTATTCTCTACATGGAAAGCAAAAAGAGAGCCCTTTGCATCTGTCTCTGAAATGTACCCACTCCAGGGCTGAGGAGTGTACTTTCTTCTTCCTGTTTTCTTTCAGGCCCACCCAGTCATTCTGTATTTTCCCCAGGCAAATTTTATTGCAAATTAAGGGCTGAATTTATTGATAAGGTGTACACACCTGGGAACTGGGAATTAATGTGTTGGTTCAAGTGCCTGGGGGAGGCAATAATATTTGTTTCTAAAATTCTTTTCCTCTTTTTCACTGTGAACTTTAAAATCTCATTTTACTTTAGTGATTTTTTAAATGGTATATTACAAATACTGTTATGATATTGGGCCTCTTTATTTGTGTAGTATACTTTATCATTAAAGAATTAGTCATGGTTGTTCCATTTGTGTTTCTGCTTGCCCTCATGCCCCTCATCTTTTAAAAATGCAAAAAATCAATTTAAATGTACGCTTATCACAAAACAATAATAATAATTTTCCTTGCATGCTAACATAAACCAATTACATAGTTTCACTGGTGACTACAGAGAGAATTAAGAGATCACCAAATTATTTTGGATCTGTTACCTTTTTATTGGTCTCAGATAATGCTAGGAAAAATCCTAGTTCTTGAGAAGTCATCTGAACAGTGACTTTAACATTTTTTGGCCAGAATCTACCCTAAGAAATACAGTTTAGCAACTCAGTATATATTTGCATGTCTACTGACACACATAACACAAATGAAACAAAAGTTTCAGAAAATCATGCTGCCTTTAGCATATGATAGCCTTCCCGACATCATCTATTTGATTCTGTTTTGTTTCATTAAAAAAATTGATGGTGTTGACCCACTAAATTGATTTCACTACCTACATTTTTAACCTGTGTAGTAAAGATAGGGTGAGACACTAGTTAATTTTAAAAGAGAAAATTATTCTTTAAAAGCCCTGTAAGTCAGGAGAGTTTACCTGAGACTTGGCTTTGATATCATATTACTTTTACTTTCAGGAACCTCTTTATTATGTCCGAGGTAAACATTTCCTATTGCATTTTTATAACAAAATACTCTAAGTTTCTTAAGTTCTTATAAAGACAGTCTCTTGGCAAATGTCATTTCTAAGCTCTTTTATAGGTAGAGAAATTTCTATGTCAGTATGCTTTGAGAATTTCTCAAGTATTTTTGTTAGCATGCTGTAGTTCTTTCTTCCCTCCCTGTCTTCCTCCTTCTTTTCCTCCTCTCCTCTCCTCTCCTCTCCCCTCCCCTCCCCTCTGTTTCTCCTCCCTTCCCTTTCTCCTCCCTTCCCTTTCTCCTCCCCTTCTCCTCCCCTCCCTTTCTCCTCCTCTTCTCTTTTTTGAGACAAGGTCTGGCTCTATCACCCAGGCTGGAGTGCAGTGGTGCTATCTTGGCTTACTGCAACCTCCACTTCCCAGGCTCAAGAGATCCTCATGCCTCAGCCTCCCAAGTAGTTGGGATTACAGGCATGCACTACCATGCCCGGCTAATTTTTGTATTTTTTGTAGAGACAGGGTTTTGCCATGTTGCCCAGGCCTGTCTTGAACTTGGGAGCTCAAGTGATTTGCCTGCCTTGGCCTCCCAAGGTACCAGGATTACAGGTGTGAGCCACCACACCTGGCCTATGCTATAGCTCTTTCCTACATACTTTCTTCTTTTCTCTGTAGACTAAGAAGATCTTGCTGAGTTCGTACAGTTAGTCTCTTAGGGACTGACCAACTGACCTTGTCTGGTACATTTACCTATTTTATTCGATGTGCAGAACACCTCAGTCATGGCTATAATATATGTAAATAATCACCTCTGTAGCTCAGTCTCCATAGAGCAGCAAGAAATCTATTGACACACTCAGTTTCAGTCACTTAGGTTGTGTAGGAAAAAGAATAACTTTTAGAGTGAATAGCATCAGTTAATTGTCGTGGGTAAAAAGGGAGGGGATTTAGTGGGAGATTTTATTTTGACTCATATTAGTAGGTTAATATTATCCTGGTTTTCATGTAAATACACACTAAGCCAGGTGAGAATGTTGTGATTTATAACTAGAAAGCTAAATTATAAGTAGAAAGCCCTAGGTAATAACTCTTAGGGGGAAAAAGATAAAAATATTGCTCATTTTGAGGAAAACATTATTTCTAATTATAAACACATTTATTGAAATATTTGTGACAGAGATTCTTAATTTACATGTGGACCCACTACAATTTGAGGAAACCAAAATCATGCCTTTTACAGCAAATGTTATAAATGGAGGAAAAAATACCATTGCCCTTTAAAATCATTTTGTAAATTTAGATGAGTTATTCCAGATGAATTAACCCCTCTTAGCCATTTTGCAACCTACTAGTGATAATATCAAATGTTGGTTAAAAAATACAAAATAGAAATATAAATTTATCAAGTATTGCATTTTTATGATTTAGGTATGAGAGATTATACAGAATAAGGATACACGTTTTCTATGAGACCATCTCATATAGGAAATGCTTCTTAACTAGGACAATTTTATTTTCAGTTATAAAAGTGAATCAGCTAAAAAATTATTAATCATCTATGATGTGTAAGACTCTAGATATAGTTGGAAACAGAGATGAGTGTATCACTAAAAAAACTCCTATCATAGGTGAATAAGTGGTGTGCTTGTAAAGATAATTAATAATACCCAGCAGTGTAGGGTAAGAGACAAATGAGTGATGCAGAGGACAAATGCTAAAGAAGTCCAAAGAGAGAGACCACTGTGGGTTATACATTATTTATGCCCTACTTTATTTTGGATAAAGGAAGAGTCCTGACTATAGTAGATTAAGGAGAAAGTAAAGAGAGTTTAATTTTTTAAAAATAAAAAAGGCCGGGCACGGTGGCTCATGCCTGTAATCTCAGCACTTTGGGAAGACAAGGTAGGAGGATTTCTTGAAGACTGGAGTTCAAGACCAGCCTGGGCAATATGGCTAAACCCCATCTGTACAAGAAAAAAAAAAAGCCAGGCATGGTGGTGCATGCCTGTATTTCCAGCTACTTGGGAGGCCAAGGAGGGAGGATCACTTGAGCCCAGGAGGTAGAGGCTGCAGTGAGCCTTAATCACACCACTGTCCTCCAGCCTGGCTTACAGAGTGAGACTCTGGTTGTTTTGTTTTGTTTTGTTTTTCTTTAAGAAAAAAGATAAAAAAGATGAACCTATGGTTGTTTTAGGGCCTTAAAGGATGCAGGGAAGGACAGGTAAGGGGTAAGATATTCAGACAGTGAGAATGGCATGGGCTCCAGCATGGATATTCATAGGGCATGGCTAGGGAAAAGTGATTAGAACAGTTTGTTTCATGTAGAAAATCAGCAGGAAATAAAGTTAGTAGATTTAAAGTAGATCAGTAGAATTAAAGTTAGAGCTCTCTGAATGTTAGGCTAAGCTCTGAAATTTAAATTTATAGGTCTGATGAATTGCTCAGGATTTTTTTTGCAGGTATATAATAAGGTGAAATAGGATTTTATGACAATTAATCAGTGGTAGTGGGTATGAGAGTATGGACATGGGAAAGATTGGATAGGAATAAAAATTAGGGAGATACTCCAGGAGTAAGGGGAAAATGATCTGAGATGTGGGTGTGGCAATAGGAATACAATATTTTTTTCAGTTTACATTTACATGGGAAGTTTTTTTTTCTTTTTTGAGACAGGGTCTCACTTTGTTGCCCAGGCTAGAGTACAATGACATGATCATAGCTCACTGCAACCTCGAATTCCTGGGTTTATGTGATTCTCCTGCCTCAGCCTCCCAAGTAGCTGGTACTACAGGCATGTTGCCACCACACCTGGCTAATTTTTTAATTTTAATTTTTGTAGAGATGGGGTCTCGCTATGTTGTCCAGGCTGATCTTGAACTTTTGGCCTCAAGTGATCCTCCTGCCTTGTCCTCTCAAAGTGCTGGGATTACAGGCATGAGCCACCATGCCTGGCCCTGGAATATTAACTGGTGTAGAAGACAATTCAAAAGAATAACTGGTAGATCTTAGCAACTGAAGAATATGGGAATATGGGAATGAGAATGAGGGAGACAATAAACTGTAACTCCATGTGTTAAAACTTATAATGTAGAAAATAAACATCAGTTTTTGTGCAAAGGTCATGAAAGTTATTGAGAGTATGCGTACAAGTAGCTTGGTCTCAAACTGCATTTGAGTGTGTAATTTAAAGTTTCTCCACAAGAATAGATTTTATTTCCCTTTTTTCCTTTGTGCTTTTTTTGCTTACTTAGCTGTTTTGGTTCTGGGATTTATATATGAAACAGAAAGTTTGTGTTAGGTATACAGCAACATGACTAATTAGTATTCTGTTATATTGCTGAGACAAATTTTAGAACACTAGCTTATGAGAGAGGCCTGCATCTGAATAAAGACAAGTAACTTGTTATGCAGCAGAAAAATCAGAAATGTGAAAAACACAGTACAGAGAACAGATTTTATAAAATTTATAATGTTATGATCTCTTTGAATCACTTTGCACAGTGGCATAAGGATTGAAAACAGATTGGATGTGTAGAGTGTCTAGTTATGTCTATACATTTATATAATAAAATCTCAAAGCTAAAAATTGGAAATAACACAGATATTCATTAATAGAAGAATAGAAACAATATTCTATTCATACAATGTAATATTAATCAGCAATATTCAAGCAGTAACATGGATAAGTAGCAAACACATTGGGTTGAGTCAAGCCTTATACAAAAGAGTATATACTATATGATTCTGTTTATATGAAGTTCTAGAACAGACAAACTAATTGGTGGGAGAAAAATAAAAAACCATCCTTCCCTGTGGGGCTGGGGGTCAGGAATTAACTGGGAAGGGGCATGAGGGAACTTTCTGAGGGTGATGATATTATATTACTATGCCTTGATAGAAGTTTGGGTCAGAAGTTTGGGTCACATGGTGTATGCATTTCTCAAAACTCATTAAATGGTATGCTTAAGATTCGTCCATTTCATTATATATAAATTTTATCTAGAAATGTAAATATCTTGGTTAGTAATAAAAGTGCCAAAATGTTTAGGGCTAAGTACTGATGTCTACAAATTACTCTGAAATGCATCAAAAATAAGATGAATTGATAAATAATGAATAATTATATACATATGTAATGAAGCTAATGTGGTAAAATATTGTTGAACCTAAGTGGTGCTCTATGGGTGTTCACTGCACAATTCTTTCAATTTTTCTGCACATTTGAAAAGATAATAAAACGTTGGGGAAAATTTAAGGAACTTTGAATGCATATTAAACCTTTAGATGACTGTTTTACCAATATGGGAGTCAGTAAAATACAGTGATTAAGAGGCTGGGGTCCTGAATCAGAGCTTTGAGTTTAAATTCTATTAGTTGGATCTTTTATTCGTTTTGAGAACTTTGACAAATTGTAGGTTTTGCTCTCCTATAAAATGTGAATAGTATCTACATCATAGAGTTTTATGAAGATTAAATGGGTTAAATTATATAACGTTTTTCAAGATGTTTGGTATAGAATTAGCTTTCAATAAGAGTTACTTTAAAAAAGTCAAAGGAGCATATAAAAAACACTGTAGTTAAAACCATAGTTTTGTTGTCCTATAAGAGACAATTCTAGTAAGTAAAAATATCTTCCAGCAAATATTGAATGTCTTTTCCTATACTCTCCAAAGGATAGAAATGATGAAACTTAATTATTTTTAAATATTTAAACATTTTATTTCATTCAAATAAAAATATAAGCTCTAGAAAAAATTGTTTTCATTATATGTTTCATAACTTCAGAGTAATTCTAACTCAGCACATTTGTAGTGTACCATTGCCAAGATCTTGAGGTAGGAAGCAGGAAAACAAAATGCACTGAGACAGGGTTCCTACTCACGAGGAGTTTACAGTCTACAGCTTAATGTTTCACTAAGCAAATAGGCTGAAATGTGCTTTCAGATGTTTACCTTAAATTATAAATAAGTAGAATCCAGATAGGGCATAGATAAAAGTCTCTATAATAGAACAGATAGAACTTTCTGTGGTGATGAAAATATTCTGTGTCTGTGCTGTCCAGTATGGTAAGCACTAGTCACACGTAGCCATTGAGAACTTGAAACGTGGCTAGTGCAACTGAGAAACTACATTTCTCATTTTATTTAATTTTAATTTAGCCACATGTGGCTAGTGGCTACCGGATTGGACAGTGCATCTCTAGAGTGTGTTTTTCAAACTACCTGAGGAAAAAGGCCAGTTATTTTAAATTTCTGATCTGTTATGAACTAATATTTTTATAGAATGCAATACAAATTACGAAAATGAAAAAAAAGATATGCAAAATACCTCCTCAGTTTTTTAAAAGATTCATCAAACAAAATTACTGTGTCAAAATTTCTATAAAAATTTCTAAACACTCTCAACTTCAGTATTTATGCCATGTAACAATGACAAATAGTTTTTAGTGTGGCAGTGGTCATAGACTACACTTTCTACTAGGTAGAGGTCTCTTGCCTAATGTACCTAAAAATAAATAATTTCCTAAATCCAACCCTTTATGTTAAAATTACTGGTACAGGTAATTTTTTTTTACAGGTTTAAGAACAATTCAATAATGCAGTTACTGATGTAACAGTTAACACTCTGTGTAGCGAGTCTTGTCTAGGAGAGCTGTACCTTGACAGTGCAATGTGGACAACTTCAAGGTGGATTGAGAAGGCTTATTTGATCCAGTGAAGCCATTTTTGCAGTTGGAGGTGTAAGCTGAAAAATCTTTCCTTCTATAAAGTTCAGCCCGACGTTTACAGCAGCCAAATTTGCTCAGCAAAAGAAAGAAATCTCTTTGGAATGTCTTAGTGAATATTGCATACAGAAATGGATTGGCACAAGAATTGATGGGATAAAAAAGAACCAGTAAAACTTTAGAGTTGGTTACTGTGATAAGAGGTACTTTGAAGGCAGCTGAGATGGCAAAAAAAGAGATAGGTGCCATGCAGGTGAAATCGGTGAAGATGAGGATTGCCATTTTCTTAGCAATCTTTGTATCTTTATTGGTAGCCATTAATTCTGGGTTTCGAACTGCAAAATAAATTTTAATGTAGCAAGCACAAATTATGAAGAAGGCCACCACATTGAGAATCAGGATGGTTAATATATAGACTTGTGAGAGAGTGGTTTCCACATCCATGGGGAAGCAAATACTGACCTTCATGTAATTGCTGACACCGACAAGGGGCAACATAGCAATTAGAGAAGAAAAGAGCCATCCTCCAAGCATAATCAGAATGGCATGTCTTAATCGCAGCTTTTGGTCCAGGTGAATAGCATAGGTGATGGTGTGCCATCTTTCTAGAGTGATGACGGTGAGGGTGTAGACAGAAAGTTCACTTGCGAATACAGTGAAAAAGCCAGCAGTGCTGCACCCACTCCCTGTCTGCCAGTCTATGGCATGGTTATAGTACTGGCCCTTGGTTTGGGAATCAACTGAGGCTATGAGCAGCAGATAGAGCCCCATGCAAAAGTCTGCAAAGGAGAGATTGCACATGAGAAAACGAGGCACTGTAAGTTTGTAACGACTTGTCAGGAGAACAAAAAGAACAGTCATGTTTCCCATGATGGCTAGAATATTAATCAGCCAAATCAGGACCCTAAGGAAGTCATAGCCCATAATATCTTCACAGGGATTAAAAGCATCTGGTTCAGGAGCACATCGGGGTGTCTTGGGTAAGCAGAAACCATATTCATAGTCCCAGCCACTCAGTTCACTCTCAGCAAGCATGGAAGAATAACTGTAAGAAGAATTATTGGCTTGAGGTAAGGGATTTTCTCTGAGTATTAAAAAATTCAAGAATTATGTTTCTTTAAAGGCAAAGAAACAAAAGGAAACAAAGCCATAATAGCCTCAGCCTTACATTTATTTGTTAAATTATTTGAGAACTCTGATTTGATGTAGGAGTACCTTAAGAAGGGAATGAAAAGCCATTTAGACTATATATACACACACATATATACACACATATATACACACATATATATACATATATACACATATATACATATATACACATATATACATATGTACACACATATACATATATACACACATATATACATATATACACACATATATATACTATACATACATACATATATATATAACATTGATACAAAAACTTAATGAAGCTCTTTACAAAGGATGACTTTCTTTGGAAAACAAGTTTAGAAAGACAATCTATGCTTGGTAAATCTAAAATAATCCTTTCTTGGCATTTTCTTAACTATTTATCTCTCATTTAGTTGCCAACCAAACTGCTACCAAGCTGTTCGTATGTAGTAGAACACAAATGGAATTGGAAGGCTCATGTTGTTGAAAGTCATTAGCTACTGGTGGACTTGTTTGCACTTAAGTCCCTAGCTAATCAAATAGTCCAACAGAGAAATAGAAACCAAGGATAGATTATTAGAAATTTAGGAGCAGAGGAAGAATATAGTTGTGGACAATAGGAAGAGATGGTGAAAACATTGCTCTTTAGGGGTATGAGTCAAAGACAGAGGGAGGCTTAAGAGGTACTTTGTCCCTAGTGAAAGAACAGTCCTTCCTTTGCCACTCCTTTCCAACCCCACTGATACTTCCTGAGTTTAGGGTCTTTTCCTCTCTCTCTCTTTTTTTTTTGAGACGGAGTCTTGCTCTGTCACCAGGCTGGAGTGCAGTGGCACAATCTTGGCTCACTGCAACCTCTGCCTCCCAGGTTCAAACGATTCCCCTGCCTCAGCCTCCTGAGTAGCTGGGACTACAGGCGCATGCCACCGCACCCAGCTAATTTTTTGCATTTTTAGTAGAAACGGGGTTTCACCGTGTTGGCCAGGTTGGTCTCCATCTCCTGACCTCGTGATCTGCCCGCCTCGGCCTCCAAAGTGCTGGCATTACAGGCATGAGCCACCACGCCCGGCCCAGGTTTTTGTCCTCTCTTATGGAGCAATTAGTTTTCTTCCTGATATCCTTTCTCCAATTTTAGCTCTCTCCCTAGTCCATTCTGTATGTTCCTTCTAGAATGGCCTTTCCCAAATACAAAGTTACTAATTTCACTTATCGAATTCAAACCTGCCCCAGGCTCTTACTGGCTATGAGATAAAATCCAAACTCATTGTGATGACTTCCAAGGCCCTCCTTGGTCTGGGTTCTGCCTATCTCTCCAACCTCATCTCTAAGAAGCAGTAGTGCTGCAGAATTCAGAGAATGGGCTCTGGAGCAAGATTGCCAGGATCCATTCCTAGCATGGCTCGTACAGGCTGTGTAATCCCAGGAGAGTTAATTAATATCCGTGTGCCTCAAGTTCTTTATTTGCCAAGTAGGGATAATAATCATACCTTCTATGTTAGAGTTGTGCTAAGAGTTGAATGCATTCATACATGTAGAATGTTTAGAATAATTCTTGAAGCAATCAATATTAGGGATTCTTAAAATTAGCTCTTGCAGATCCCTTGGGCAACCTTCCCTTTGGTCACATAAAATGACTCGTAGTTCTCTGAATAAGTTCTACTGTTTCACTCCTCTGTCTTTGTACGTACTTCTGCCTAGAATTTTCTTCTTTTCCTCATCTCTCTGGTGAATTCCTCCTCATCTGTAAAGATAAGCTCTTCTATGAAGGCTTTCTTGATTATAGTACCCAAGTATTATTTATCCTCCTGCCAGAGCTGCACTTAATACAATTGCAATTATCAAAACCTATTGCAATTAAGTGATGATGCATGTCTATCTTCTTTAATTGTCTAATCACTTCTTGAAAACAGAGGACTAGGTTTTACTTATTTCTGAAATCCCAGTGCCTAGCACAGTTTTGGCTCAGAGTGTTCATTCAATACATGTTTGTAGAGTGAATAATTCTAAACCAGGATGATTCTAGCTCTGAAAGGAACTGAGAGGATACAGGGACAATGAGCACACAGCATGATGCATGTAGGCTCAACAAACATTTTTGTTTTTACCCATCTTCTGCTAATACAATCTTAGGAACTGGAGAAATGGGCATAATTTTTGTGTCAAGGCCATTACATATATGTATTTATAATACATTTTTGTATAATACATGAGGAGCCTTATGGTTCCTACATATTATTAAAAGCATATTTTTCTCTGCTTTCGAAAGCTAACTTCCCATGTTTTGTATTTTAAGTGCATACCTAGTTCAGTGAGTGGAGGAGATAATAAATTGGAAGAATACAATACTGAAGGGAAAGAACACAGATTTTTAAAAAGAAAATATGTTAGAGTATTGTGGAGCCCAGTTTGGAACTAGAGAAGGGCTGCTGCTATGTACAGAAGACCGCATAGGAACCTCTCGTGTTTTATTATTAAATATTGTTATAACCAGCACATTTGTTTGTCCTCTTCTCACAGACATCAATATAATTATCATTTTTTAATCTTTAAAGGGAGGAGATGGTTATAAAGAACTATTAAAGAAAATAGATCATAAATTTCTTAGCATTAGAAAGGTTTTAAGGCCGGGCGCGGTGGCTCATGCCTGTAATCCCAGCACTTTAGGAGGCTGAGGCTGGCAGATCACCTGAGGTCAGGAGTTTGAGACCAGCCTGGCCAATATGGCAAAACCCTGTCTCTACTAAAAATACAAAAATTAGCCAGGCGTGGTGGTATGCCCCTGTAATCCCAGCTACTTGGGAGGTTGAGGCAGGAGAATCGCTTGAACTCGGGAGGTGGAGGTTGCAGTGAGCTGAGATCGTGCCACTGCACTCCAACCTAAGTGACAGACTGAGATTCTGTCTCAAAAAAAAAAAAAAAAAAAGGGTTTTAAAGGCCATCTGATTGAATCCTTTCATTTTATTGGTAACGAAACCAAGATTAAAGGAGGTAAGTGACTTGTCCAAGGTCTCTTGGGGATAGTGACAGTGGCAGCATGAGGTCTTCATAATCACAGTTCAGAGACCTTTCCCCTAACTTCACTCTCTCTCATTGTTTTTCAAAGTGTGGTCCTTGGATCAGCTCCATCAGAATCACCATGGTGTTTGTTAAAATGCAGACCCCTGGCTTTACCCCAAACCCTGAATAAAAAATCTATAGAGACACCGCCCAAGAATTTGCATTTTAAGTAAGTTCTCTGGATGATTCATACAAAATAATAGCCTTTGTTAAATTAGATGAAAACAGTCCAGCTATTCCTGATTTCCTTTACTCCTTTCCCCTTATCAAAACTACTTCAGCTGTTAGAAGCACTATTGTAAAACTTCTAAAAATTCTGCCATGATTTCTGGTTAAATTTATATCAACAAGAGGTCAAACATGTTTTCTCACTTCCTCTCGCTGTCTGGTCCTTTGTCCTTTCTTTTTTTGCCCTTCTGGGCATATGTCTAGCAATTTTTCTCCCTGGTGATTTATCTTTGGACTAAATGCCCACCTGCTGTTACTGGTATTTGTGTCCTGGGATGGCTCCTGAGGGCAGCATCATGCTTATTGACAAAGCCCAGCACAGAGCTGTCTTTAGTATTAGAGGCTATGTGGGGAGTATGAATGGACTCACATGGGCTTAGTAATATTGAATCAGAGGAAGGAGAGCTGTAGCACCGCTGCTCCAGTCACAAGAAAGAAAGGAGAAAAGATGGGAATTTTAGGAGGACAATAGGGCCAACCATAGAGGTAAGGACACATTATCTTGGGGAGAATACGTAAGCCTTAGTGGCTGGCTCTAGAATTTCTAAACTCTAGGGACTGAGGAATGGCTATCTGGTGGGAAGTAGGAGGTAGGAGATTTATCATAAAATGCTTTCACAAGAAGAATGCTCTTTTTACTTAGATTTTATGTTAATTTCAGTTAGTTTTGGAGATGCTAGAGATTAGGGACTTGTCTTAAAGCAGTGATAGCATAGCAAACTTAAGGTTGTATATGCTCATTTGAGAAGGTTTATGGTGAGGACTGGTGAGGATTATATTGAGGATGGTTTAAAGTCTTCCTTCCCCTCAAACCACTCCTTGGTGCTATTATTAACTATATCCATAAATGTTTTCTTGATGATAAGAATAAAGTCATGTGGTTGCAAAAGAGTTACACAGAAGGTTGCTGATAGAATACTGAGCAAGAAGAGAGGGAAGGGTGAAGAAAAGGCCACTGGAGGATATGGGTGCCAGACCTACTGCGAGAAAAGGAAAAGAAGAGACAGTAATACTTATTTACCCTTGGTGTTGTCGCATTGCTTAGCAACTTCCTTCATTCTCATGGTTCTGAAAGCCAAATGGTATTTCTGCTGTTCCTTACAGATGAGGAGAAAGGTCTCAAAAGGGATAAATTTTGCCAGCGATACTCTGTTACAGGAAGGTTACTTCCAAAGATTCATATACTTGGAATGGAACCCCAAAGTCCAGGGTCATTCCACCGTACCAACCTGAAGCATCTGTCTAACTTGGAGATTGATAGGAAAAGAAAAGAAGAGAAAATTTCAGAAAGAGATTGGCAAAGTATCTTAGAGGGACATCTAGTTTTGTAGTCTGGAGGACTCATGGGGGCATAATAAAACTTCTAAATCTTAGTAAATGTGCCATAGGGACACTGGGATTATCTTTTGAGGCATGCTCTTTTACAGTTGAAGATAAGTGAAATGCCAAGGCAGCCAGCATTTATAGCAGAAAAGTGTTAAAAGTTAGTCAGTAAAACAGAGATGTAGCTTCCATCCAGTGTATGTGGTAGCGATAGCATTAAGACTCATTTTAAGCTCAGGAGCATAGTTGTCGAGGTAGCCTAAGTCTCCTTTAAGGGAAGTGGCTACTTTTAAGCTACGTTTGCAATTAGTTAATCTTTGTGGAATGTTGACCATGTGACTAGGGAAAATTCTTACAAATGAAGGTATCAGTTGTATCAGCCTTTGGTGACATCAACATACCTGCAAAATTTTAATTTTTGAGGAGGCTTTAATACAATTGTAGAATAAATATTAAGGAACATTTTAAAATAGTTTTTTTAAACAGTTGAAAGACATACCTGATCAACTTGATGCCAATTGCAAAGAAAAAATTCCCATTTTAAAACTATTAAAAGTTGCTTTGCAACAGCTCCGTAACCAAGACTTGTATCAAAAGAAAATAATTGATGCTGATAATAAGGTGCACACAGAACAAGATACGACTTCTGAGTTTCCTTGCATGCAAATACTTACAGTGTTTTGTTATTCACTTTCCTTACTGTGCTTTCACATTGTTTGGAAAAGTTTTCAGAAATGGAATGTGAAAAATTCTGTCTGAAAGAGAAGAGGTTAAAAAAAGCATTTGAGCTTTTGGACTTCAGGCTAAACCTGACTGTGCGTCTATTTATGCTTTGTTCATGCAAATTCTTTACCTATTACACCAGCATCTCGTTCTGCACCATTGTCCTAACTGAAATGCTTCCTGAGGAGAGAGTAAAGGCTTCTGAATTGTCATTAGAGTGCTTCCAGCTTAGATAAAATGCTTCTGAATACTAAGCATTTTGTGTGGGCACTAGAGATGAAAAAACTTAAATTTGTCATATTGAATCAAGGATTTTCCAATGATTACTAAAAGCTACTTTTATGATATATTAAGGTTTGCTCCTTACCACTCTCCTTTCCACATTGGCCTTAACAAATAGTCATTCTGTGTTCATGGTTTTGAATTGTAACTGGGCATCTTTTTTGTAAGGATTTGAAGATGCTGGACCTGACATTATGATGTGAATTTCAGGTTATTTTTTCTTATGTGCAGAAACATACGTGGGTGCTCCCTACTCCTCCATCTTTCCCTCTAAGAAGTTTAGCCTGTGGAAAGAAGAGAAATACCAATAAAATAAAATGAGGCCTGTTCTCACCTGGGGGAGCACTTACCTAGAGATGAAATTTA
The DNA here is from genome assembly GCF_000001405.40 of Homo sapiens. NCBI lineage: Eukaryota > Metazoa > Chordata > Mammalia > Primates > Hominidae > Homo > Homo sapiens. The sequence goes on from NC_000002.12 coordinate 48,694,921, forward strand.
AGGGAGATACAAATGAATAAAGAAATAGGGTATAAGCATTCCCTTTTCTTCCACAGCCTTGCCAGCATCTGTTGTTTTTCTCATTGTGGTTTTGATTTGCATTTCTCTGATGATTAGTGATGATGAGCATTTTTTCTTTAGAAGACATACAAGCAGCCAATAAGCATATGAAAAAATGCTGTTCTATTCATGCCCTTTGCCCATTTTTTAATGGGATTATTTATTTTTTTGCTTGTTGATGCATTTAATTTCATTATAGATTCTGGATATTAGACCTTTGTCAAATGCATAGTTTGTGAATATTGTTTCCCATCCTGTAGGTTGTCTGTTTACTCTGTTGATAGTTTCTTTTGCCGTGTGGAAGCTCTGTAGTCTAATTAGGTCCCACTCATCAATTTATGTTTTTGTTGCAATTGCTTTTGAGGACTTAGCTAAAAATTCTTTGCCAAGGCTGATGTCAAGAAGGGTATTTCCTAGGTTTTCATTTAGGACTTTTACAGTCTGAGAAAAGGGAATTCTCATACACTGTTGGTGGGAGTGTAAATTAGTTCATCCACTGTGGAAATCAGTTTGGAGATTTCTAAAAGAACTTAAAACAGAGCTACTATTCAACTCAGCAATCTCATTACTCGGTATATACCCAATGAAATAGATCATTACACCAAAAAGACATGTGCACTTATATGGTCATTGCTATGCTATTCACAAAAACAAAGACATAGAATCAACCTGGGTGCCTGGATTGGATAAAGAAAATGTGGTACATATATACAATGTAATTCTATGCAGCCATAAAAAATCATGTCTTTTGCAGTAACATGGATGGAGCTGGAAGCCATAATCTTAAGTAAATTTATTCAAGATTAAAAAACCAAATACTGCATCTTCTCACTTAAAAGAGGGAGCTAAACACTGGGAACATATGAACATAACTGGGAACATATGAACAGGCACTGCAGAATACTAGAGGGGTCAGGGAAGGAGGGAGGCATGGGTTGAAAACTATCTATCGAGTATTATGCTCACTTCCTGGATGCAATATACTCATGTAACAAACTGGTACATGTACCCCCTGTATCTAAAATAAAAGTTGAATCAAAAAAATAGTGGTTGTCCACAGAGGAGGTCTACAGAAAAAAAAAAACAGTGGTTTCTTCATAATTACAAATGCCCCTGATTGTCTCTTATTTCTTCTCTCCTCATATTCAGTGCCCTGATGGCATTCTCATGACAGTCCATCTTTGTTTTCATAGAGAATGAAATTTGCATCTTCTCTGATGAGACAATGCATTGTTTCTACACAGTTCATGCATATTCTATGAAAGAAGTATCATGCTGTTGACACATTATTACAAGGTTTATCAACTGCATTCATTAAGAATTTGGACATTATGGAAAAGGACAGGCTCAGAAGGGACTACTTCCAAAAGGTTGCTTGGTGAAGTCAGATCAAGTTTCCCTGAGGGCAGTAGGGTGCAAGGCCGCAACCAGAAAAGATATGTGACATTTGCCTATTTTCCTTTTCATAAGTTTCAAATAGACTTATATTGTAATAGCAATTTGTAAAACATCAGAAAATTGAATTGTAACACACAGAAAGCAGGTAAAACATGAATGTATAGCTCAATGATTTCTCACAGAATGATCACCTACGTACCCATTAGTCAGGTCAATAAATGAAAATAAGCCACACCTCCTCCCTGCCCCCGCCAAGAAAAAAGAAAAATGGGAAAAGAGAGCAGGCTGTGAGGGCCTCAACTTTTACTGATGAGGAAGGATAAATGAGGCAATTCAAATTGGACATTTCTATGTATTATTCTTCTACAATACTTATGAGACAATTCCTTGCAGGAATACTTTGTCTCTTTCACCTACTGGAATAAAAATCCCTGAACTAAAATTTTCACATGCCAGTGATTTCAGAAGGGGTGTGATTTCTTTGCCAAAAAATGTGGGTATCCAGAATCAGCTCTATCATAAACCAGTATCTCTGTCATTTTCCTAATTGTTCTCTCACCAGCTTTGCTCACCCCCAAACCATCCTCTACCTTGCTGCAAAGTGGTATTTTATAAAAGCAAATTTGAGTCATCTTGCTTAAAAGTCTTCATGGCTCCCCATCCTCTAAACAACCGGGCCTGGCACTCAGACCATCATGGCCCACATCTCCTTGGCTTCCTCTTCTGACTCATCTTCTTCCATGTGTCCATGTTTCAATTTTTCTGAGTGAGTTTCATCTACTGTCTCTTGCCTTTTTGTCTTCACATGAGCTATTCTATCTTCTTTGCTTTTTCTCACTCTGTCTAGACAACTCCTGCCTGTTCTTCAAGACTCAGCATAAATCACTTCCCTCAGGAAGCCTTCCATAATCCCTGCTGCCATTAACAAACTCTTGTTCAGTGCTCCCAGAACACTCTGCTCTGTTCTCAGATCTGTCATAACATTTGCCGTGTTGGACTTAAATATTGGCTCTCTTGTGTGTTGCTCCCATACAGCTGTCTGTGACTTATCTTTGTAACCTCAGGCTTTCACACAGTATTTGAAACATAGTAAGTGCTCAGTTAATGTTTTGGAAGATCAGTTAATGGCACATGACTCTGTGAATACAGCAAGTGTTTTGTCTTCTCAGCTACCCAAAAAGCCTCAGGTGGAGCTGAACCTCCTATATGCAAGGTACAAATAATGCATACTGGTTGATTAATTATAAATAATTCATTTTGGTTGATTCCAAACAAAGACAGCAGCATCTGGTGTCACTCTCTCAGTGCCTTATCTAAGTAATTGAATGGATCCTATCTCCTTAGGCTGCAATAATAACCCTTTAGGGCAGTGTTGTTCCAACTGTGAGTTGTGTGACCCATTGGTGGGTCATGAAAGCAATAGAGTGCATCAAGACTGGCATTAAAAATAAAAAAAGCATAAAATAAAATAGAGTAAAATAAGAAAATATCAGCATATTACATATTAAAAAGTTAAGTATCACTCAGCTTTATTTCTGTTACATATGTGACATGTACTGGGTTGCAATACCAAAGTATTTGTTACTGTGCATCTCAGTCAAAAAAGTCTGGAAAACAGTGCTCTGAGGAAAGAACGAAATTCTGCCACCGTGTCCCCCACCCTGGACTGAACGGAATCAGATACCCACTACTGGATGCAAACCATGCAGGAGCTCCTTCCCTTCCTGTTCCCATGCTAAGCTTATCTTTAGCTGTAATTCTGTTCTGAAATAGAAGATGCTCGTCTACTAGGAGAGAAATAGTTTTGAAAACTTTCTGTAATATTTTGTGTCCATTTTTAAATCAAAGATTTAAACATTAGGTAAATTTTGCCCTCCTGAGGCTTCTTCCTTCACTTAAAAAAATGATGCTCTCTGATAAGGATTAGAACAAATCCTTTGAGATGCCAGTTTTGTACTCCATTCTGCAAATGCTAAAATGGCCTCTAATTCAGTTTACCCAGAATTGGCTACAAAGGTCTTCTAGCTGCAGGGTGAATCAACTATTTGGTAGCAGTTTCCACAAGGAAACAGAACAGTTTGTTTTCTTCTTGTCTATTTGAAAGTGACCCCATGTCTACGGAGCTGGCCAAGAAGGTAGGGAGTGAAGGGGAGTGGAGCTGTCTACTCATTGACTATTTTGAAATCTGAATTTCTGCCACAGCTTGGGTAGGCTTTACCTTTTGGTTTCTACTTACTCTTTTGTTGGCAAGTTTCTAAAAGCACAGCAGTGGCTGGGGTAAGTCAACGTGGCCTCCAGGAGATTGACAAATGTTTCTCTTGATGGCAATTTTTTTAGAGAATAGGATGACGTGGCAATTAGCCTCTGAATGGACTCTAGGCCATAGCTCGGCAGGGCCTGCAATTTGGTGGAAGAAATATCCCTGAACAATAAAGGGGAGAAATGCTTTTTATTTATTTATTTTATACATTTTTTTTTTTTGAGACGGAGTCTTGCTCCGTCGCCCAGGCTGGAGTGCAGTGGCACGACCTCGGCTCACTGCAAGCTCCGCCTCCTGGGTTCACGCCATTCTCCTGCCTCAGCCTCCCGAGTCGCTGGGACTACAGGCGCCCGCTACCACGCCCGGCTAAGAGACCGGGGTTTCACCGTGTTAGCCAGGATGGTGTCGATCTTCTGACCTCGTGATCCGCCCACCTCGGCCCCTCAAAGTGCTGGGATTACAGGCATGAGCCACTGCGCCCGGCCATATTTTATACATTTTATTCAGAGAATGAAACCTCCCCTCAACAATATTATCATTATAGGCTCTGAGGAATCTTTTCTCCATCTTGCTTTCCCCTTAATTCTCCATTTCAATTACTCTCACTAAGATCTGAATTCAGAAAAGCGAGTCTGTATTTTTTCTCATGTGCGCCTCATTATTCTTTTCAAGGTTAAGTATAACTCCTTGCACCTACCATACATTTATTAGCATTTCTCTCTCTCTCCCCTCTTCCAACTCCTTTTCCCTACCCTCTCTCTTCCTCCCCACCCTCTCTCTTCCTCCACTTCTCTCTACTTAGCAGAAGTGAAATAACCACTTGCTTTATGCGACAGCCAGCACATGCAGTTACATCAGCTTTTGTGCTCTACCCCAGGGGAAATTATTCAGGGCTTCAGATGCCTCAGTCTTTGATTGATTAAGCCCTGCAGGAGAGGTTTTCATGAAGCACAGCCTGGTTACTTATTAAGAGCTTCTGTGTGGCATTAGCCATCATCTACCTAGGAAGCAGAATGCATGTTCTCTAATGCATGTTCTCTAATGCATTCTCTAATGCAGAATGCATGTTCTCTAATGATTCATCTGTTCAAAGCAAGCGAACACTCAGCCTTGCAAGCTGAACTGTGTGAAAAGCTCAGGCTTTGTCAACAAGGTCCTGAACTCTTTGGTTTTACTAGACTTGAGGCAATGCCCAAGAAAATTCCAAACACATTAAGTGTTAGGAGAAAAGAGTCAATGGGAATTAAACAATTCTGCTTATCTTCTAAGTGGCTGCTGCTGGTGCCTCACAAAACTTTTCCAAGCAGCACAGCTCCCCTCAGCAATCATTCCCAAGACTTGGTGTTCAGCACATGGGAGGGGACCAATAGGTGATAGATGGAAGATGAACTTGACAACATGGAATGATGATGGTGTAGGCCCTCAGTGGAAAAATTAAGGCAGCAAAATTTGTCTCAGGGGCTTCAGAATTTCCTGCTTTTGTGTCCCTGTTGATTTAGGTAACCAGGGTTCTCATTCTGCTTTATAGGGTTTTTATCTCAGACATGTTAGGGATTGAGCTCTTTGAAGATCTGGTGGCTTTTTTGTTTGTCTTTTGAGTGGGTACATTTAAAATTAGGTTCTTAGAAACAGTAAGGCCTCGTTACAAGGCAGTGAACCTCTGATAGTGGGTTTTCAGTCTTAGTAACAGACTAGTGGGAGAAATGCTTTTTGAGTAAGGGTGGAGTGGATGCTTTTAGATACGATTCAAGTCCTAGGGGTATAATGAGAACAACCCCTTGGGAAGGAAGAGACCTAGGTCTGGTGCTAGTGTTTTGGACATGAGAGTGTAGGGGTCTGTAGTGCCCACAGTCACTTCTAAGGAGCTAACCAAGCAGCTCTTCAAGCAAATACTGTCATGCAGGAGTCTTGGGAACACAGTGGGTTGGTTGTGTTTTGCACCTGAGCCAGAGGCAGCTCTCTTTGTTTGCCTAGTGACCAAGTAGATGGCCAGCTTGCTGTAACAGCTCTGCCTACAGGATGTGCTAAACTGGAGAGTATTCAGCCAACTTACAAGATTCGGAGTCTGGTATGCTTTGCATATGAGACATGCAGAAAAAGACCCCTAGGATAAGGTTGCCAGAAGTTGAGAGCAGAGAAAGCAGTGGGCAGGAGCCACAAGGTAGTGGAAGTCATAAGTAAACAGAAGTTATGGGGTTGAGTGGATATTAGAGGGAGTTAGGATTGACAACGACAGAAGTTAGGAAGCAGAAAGATCTAGGAATTTTAGTGGTGGGAGTTAGGAAGTAGAGTCAGAAGTCGATAGTGGCAGGACTTACGAAGTAGACAGAGTGAGAACTGGACAGTGGCAGGAGCTAGGAAATAGGTGAAGTCAGGAGTTGACAGTGGGAGCTAGGAACTAGCACAGTCAGGGCTCAACAGTGGCAGGAATGGGAAGTAGAGAGTCAAAAGTGGATAGCAGGAAGGAGTTAGGAAATAGAGAGTGAGGGGCTGAGGGGCAGGAGCTAGGAAGTAGACAGACTTTGGGTTTTATAATGGTGGAAACAGAAATTAGACAGAGCCATGAGTTGATCTTGGCGGGATCTACAGTACGAAGAATAACAAGGACAGCTCATTTCCTTCCCTTGCTCAAAACCCCAAAGCCTCCCCATCTCATTAAAAAAAGACAAAGTCTATATAAGTGACCACAGGCCCCGCCATGATCCAGCTCTCTGCCACGTCTCTGTCCTTATATTCTGTGATTCCCTTCTTTGCTCCCTCTGCCATATTGGCCTCCTTGCTGTTCTTCAAATACACAAGGCAAGATTCTGTCTCAGGCCTTTGCTTTTGCTGTTCCCCCTCCTGGAACACTTTTCCTGCAGATAATCACGTAACTTGCTCTCTTAGTTCCTTTAGGTGTTCGTTCAAACGACACTTTTTCAGGATAGTCTTCCCTCACCATCCCCTTTAAAATAGTAATTCCCCCTCTCCAGAACTCCTTTCCCCCCAACCAAATGAGTTTTCTCCTCTACAACCAATAGCATTTGGACAACTACATATTTTATTTACTTATTCAATCCTTGTCTGTCTTCCCCATCCTATGAAGGCAGAAGTGTTTGTCTCTTCTTATTCTCTGCCATTTCCCTGATGCCTAATCCAGTGACTACCACATAGTATGGGTTCATAAGAGTTAGTGAATAAACGGATGAATAAACAAACAAATGAACTGGGTTACCCTGCTCACCATTTTTCTAGAACTTTTCTCATTGTAAAATGACATGCCTGTTTATTGCTTTGCGTTTGTTGTTGTCTCCCTTATGTGACTGTCATCTCACTAAGGGCAAGGACCAGGGCTATTTTACTTACTACTGTCTGTTCACCACGGTGCCTGGTACACAGGATAGGTTCAATCAATGTTTGTTGAATAAATAACATCTGCTAGAGTAGGGTGTCGTGGACTGCCACCTCTATGATGGGATAACTGGTCGCCGTGTGTGAGAGCAGCACAGTATCTGGAACTCTGTTGCATTTCTCCCTGAAGCCTGACTGCAGCTTCAGCTCTCTGCAGGATGTTGGATGTTTCATGTTGGATGTTTCAGGCTTTGTCAGATTCAATGTTCTATTCCTCCTAACTTTCTCATGTATCTTTTTTTTTTTTTTAAATACTTTAAGTTCTAGGGTACATGTGCAAAACGTGCAGGTTTGTTACATAGGTATACATATGCCACGTTGGTTTGCTGCACCCATCAACTTGTCATTTACATTAGGTATTTCTGCTAATGCTATCCCTCCCCCAGCTGCCCACCCGCCGACAGGCCCTGGTGTGTGATGTTCCCCCTCCGTGTCGATGTGTTCTCATTGATCAACTCCCACTTATGAGTGAGAACATGCGGTGTTTAGTTTTCTGTCCTTGTGATAGTTTGTTGAGAATGATGCTTTCCAGCTTCATCCATGTCCCTGCAAAGGACATGAACTTATCCTTTTTTATGGCTGCATAGTATTTCATGGTGTATATGTGCCACATTTTCTTTATCCAGTCTATTATTGATGGACATTTGGGTTGGTTCCAAGTCTTTGCTATTGTGAATAGTGCCGCAATAAACATACGTGTGCATGTGTCTTTATAGCAGCATGATCCTTTAATAGTACAATCCTTTGGGTATATACCCAGTAATGGGATCGCTCGGTCAAATGGTATTTCTAGTTCTAGATCCTTGAGGAATCACCACACTGTCCTCCACAATGATTGAACTAATTTACAGTCCCACCAACAGTGTAAAAGTGTTCCTATTCCTCCACATCCTCTCCAGCATCTGTTGTGTCCTGACTTTTTAATGATTGCCATTCTAACTGGCATGAGATGGTATCTCATTGTGGTTTTGATTTGCATTTCTCTCATGACCAGTGATGATGAGGATTTTTTCACAGGTCTGTTGGCTGAACAAATGTCTTCTTTTGAGAAGTGTCTGTTCATATCCTTCGCCCATTTTTTGATGGGTTTGTTTGTGTTTTTCTTGTAAATTTGTTTAAGTTCTTTGTAGATTCTGGATATTAGCCCTTTGTCAAGATGGATAGATTACAAAAATTTTCTCCCATTCTCTAGGTTGCCTGTTTACTCTGCTGATAGTTTCTTTTGCTGTGCAGAAGCTCTTTAGTTTAATTAGATCTCATTTGTCAATTTTGGCTTTTGTTGCCATTGCTTTTGGTGTTTTAGTCATGTAGTCTTTGCCCATGCCTATGTCCTGAACGGTAATGCCTAGGTTTTCTTCTAGGTTTTTATGTTTTTAGGTCTTACATTTAAGTCTTTAATCCATCTTGAGTTAATTTTTGTATAAGGGTTTAAGGAAGGGATCCAGTTTCAGCTTTCTGCATATGGCTAGCGAGTTTTCCTGACACCATTTATTAAATGGGGAATGCCATTTGTTTGTGTCCTCTTTTATTTTGTTGAGCAGTGGTTTGTAGTTCTCCTTGAAGAGGTCCTTCATATCCTTTGTAAGCTGGATTCCCAGGTATTTTATTCTCTTTGTAGTAATTGTGAATGGGAGTTCACTCATGATTTGGCTCTCCGTTAATTTCTTATTGGTGAATAGGAATGCTTGCGATTTTTGCACATTGATCTTGTATCCCAAGACTTCGCTGAAGTTGCTTATCAGCTTAAGGAGATTTTGGGCGGAGACGATAGGGTTTTCTAAATATACAATGATGTCATCTGCAAACAGAGACAATTTGACTTCCTCTTTTCCTAAATGAATACCCTTTATTTCCTTCTCTCGCCTGATTGCCCTGGCCAGAACTTCCAATACTATGTTGAATAGGAGTGGTGAGAGAGGGCATCCTTGTCTTGTGCCAGTTTTCAAAGGGAATGCTTCCAGTTTTTGCCCATTTGGTATGATATTGGCTGTGGGTTTGTCATAGATAGCTCTTATTATTTTGAGATACATTCCATAAATACCTAGTTTATTGAGTGTTTTTAGCATGAAGCACTGTTGAATTTTGTCGAAGGCCTTTTCTGCATCTATTGAGATAATCATGTGTTTTTTTGTCATTGGTTCTGTTTATGTGATGGATTACATTTATTGATTTGCATATGTTGAACCAGCGTTGCATCCCAGGGATGAAGCCGACTTGATTGTGGTGGATAAGCTTTTTCATGTGCTGCTGGATTTGGTTTGCCAGTATTTTATGGAGGATTTTCGCATCGATGTTCATCAGGGATATTGGCTTAAAATTCCCTCTTTTTGTGGTGTACTCTGCCAGGTTTAGTATCAGGATGATGCTGGCCTCATAGAATGAGTTAGGGAGGATTCCCTCTCTTTCTATTGATTGGAATAGTTTCAGAAGGAATGGTACCAGCTCCTCTTTGTACCTCTGGTAGAATTCAGCTGTGAATCTGCCTGGTCCTGGACTCTTTTTGGTTGGTAGGCTATTAACTATTGCCTCAATTTCAGGACCTGTTATTGGTCTATTCAGAGATTTGACTTCTTCCTGGTTTAGTCTTGGGAGGGTGTATGTGTCCAGGAATTTATCCATTTCTTCTAGATTTTCTAGTTTATTTGCATAGAGGTGTTTATAGTATTCTCTGATGGTAGTTTGTATTTCTGTGGGATCAGTGGTAATATCCCCTTTATCATTTTTTATTGCGTCTATTTGATTCTTCTCTCTTTTCTTCTTTATTAGTCTTGCTAGCAGTGTATCTATTTTGTTAATCTATTCAAAAAACCAGCTCCTGGATTCATTGATTTTTTGAAGGGTTTTTTGTCTCTCTATCTCCTTCAGTTCTGCTCTGATCCTAGTTATTTCTTGCCTTCTGCTAGCTTTTGAATGTGTTTGCTCTTGCTTCTCTAGTTCTTTTAATTGTGATGTTAGGGTGTCAATTTTAGATCTTTCCTGCCTTTCCTTGTGGGCATTTAGTGCTATAAATTTCCCTCTACATACTGCTTTAAATGTGTCCCAGAGATTCTGGTACATTATGTCTTTGTTCTCATTGGTTTCAAAGAACATTTTTATTTTTGCCTTCATTTCGTTATGTACCCAGTAGTCATTCAGGAGCAGGTTGTTCAGTTTCTATGTAGTTGTGCGGTTTTGAGTGAGTTTCTTAATCCTGAGTTCTAATTTGATGGCACTGTGGTCTGAGAGACAGTTTGTTGTGATTTCTGTTCTTTTACATTTGGTGAGGAGTGTTTTATTTCCAATTATGTGGTCAGTTTTAGAATAAATGCGATATGGTGCTGAGAAGAATGTATATTCTGCTGATTTGGGGTGGAGAGTTCTGTAGATGTCTATTAGGTCTTCTTGGTCCATAGCTGAGTTCAAGTCCTGGATATCCTTGTTAATTTTGTGTCTCATTGATCTGCCTAGTATTGACAGTTGGATGTTAAAGTCTCCCATTATTATTGTGTGGGAGTCTAAGTCTCTTCGTAGTTCTCTAAGAACTGGCTTTATGAATCTGGATGCTCCTGTGTTGGGTGCATATATATTTAGGAGAGTTAGCTCTTCTTATTGAATTGATCCCTTTACCATTATGTAATGGCCTTCTTTGTCTCTTTTGATCTTTGTTGGTTTAAAGTCTATTTTATCAGAGACTAGGATTGCAATCCCTGCTTTTTTTTTTTGCTTTCCCTTTGCTTGGTAGATCATCCTCCAGCCCTTTAGTTTGAGCCTATGTGTGTCTTTGCATGTGAGATGGGTCTCCTGAATACAGCACACTGATGGGTCTTGACTCGTTATCCAATTTTCCAGTCTGTGTCTTTTATTTGGGGCATTTAGCCCGTTTACATTTAAGATTAATATTGTTATGTGTGAATTTGATTCTGTCATTATGATGCTAGCTGGTTATTTTGCCTGTTAGTTGATGCAGTTTCTTCATAGCATTGATGGCCTTTACAATTTGGTATGTTTTTGCAGTGGCTGGCACTGGTTGTTCCTTTCCATGTTTAGTGCTTCCTTTAGGAGGTCTTGTATGGCAGGCCTGGTGGTGACAAAATCTCTCAGCATTTGCTTGTCTGTAAAGGATTTTATTTCTCCTTCACTTAAGAAGCTTAATTTGGCTGGATATGAAATTCTGTGTTGAAAATTCTTTTCTTTAAGAATGTTGAATATTGGCCCCCACTCTCTTCTGGCTTGTAGGGTTTCTGCTGACAGATCAGCTGTTAGTCTGGTGGGCTTCCCTCTGTGGGTAACCCAACCCTTCTCTCTGGCTGCCCTTAACATTTTTTCCTTCATTTCAACCTTGGTGAATCTGACAGTTATGTGTCTTGGGATGGCTCCTCTGGAGGAGTATCTTTGTGGTGTTCTCTGTATTTCCTGAATTTGAATGTTGGCCTGCCTTGCTAGGTTGGGGAAGTTCTGGATAATATTCAGGAGTGTTTTCTAACTTGGTTCCATTCTCCCCATCACTTTCAGGTACACCAATCAAACGTAGATATGGTCTTTTAACATAGTCCCATATTTCTTGAGACCTTGTTCGTTTGTTTTCACTTTTTTTTCTCTAATCTTGTCTTCTTGCTTTATTTCATTAATTTGATCTTCAATGACTGATATCATTTCTTCCACTTGATCTAATTGGCTATTGAAGCTTGTGTATGCTTCACGAAGTTCTCATGCTGTGTTTTTCAGCTCCGTCACGTCATTTATGTTCTTTTCTACACTGATTTTTCTAGTTAGCCATTCGCCTAACCTTTTTTCATGGTTTTTTAGCTTCCTTGTGATGGGTTAGAACATGCTCCTTTGGCTTGGAGAAGTTTGTTATTACCCACCTTCTGAAGCCTACTTCTGTCAGCTCATCAAACTCATTCTCCGACCAGTTTTGTTCCCTTGCTGGTGAGGAGTGGTGATCCTTTGGAGGAGAAGCGATGTTCTGGTTTTTGGAATTTTCAGCCTTTCTGCTCTGGTTTCTCCCCATCTTTGTGGTTTTATCTACCTTTGGTCATTGGTGTTGGTGAGCTACAGATGGGGTTTTGGTATGGATGCCCTTTTTGTTGATGTTGATGCTATTCCTTTCTGTTTGTGAGTTTTCCTTCTAACAGTCAGGCCCGTCAGCTGCAGGTCTGTTGGAGTTTGCTGGAGATCCACTCCGGACTCTGTTTGCCTGGATATCACCAGCAGAGGCTGCAGGACAGCAAGTATTGCTGACTGATCCTTCCTCTTGAAGCTTTGTTCCAGAGGGGCACCTGCCAGATGCTGGCCAGAGCTCTCCTGTGTGAGGTGGTTGTCAGCCCCTACTGGGATGCGTCTCCCAGTCAAGCTACATGGGGGTCAGGGACCCCTTGAGGAGGCAGTCTGTCTGTTATCAGAGCTTGAACACTGTGCTGGGAGAACCACTGCTCTCTTCAGAGCTGTCAGGCAGGGACGTTTAAGTCTGCAGAAGTTGTGCCCACAGCTGCCCCTTCCCCTAGGTGCTCTGTCCCAGAGAGATGAGGGTTTTCTCTGTAATTCCCTGACTGTGGCTGCTGCCTTTGTTCAGATATGTCCTGCCCACAGAGGTGGAATTTAGAGAGGCAGTCAGCCTTGCTGAGCTGTATTGGGCTCCGCCCAGTTCGAACTTCCTGGCAGCTTTGTTTACACAGTGTGCATAAAACCACCTACTCAAGCCTCAGCAATGGCGGATGTCCCTTCCAGCATCTCAGGTCTATCTTAGACTGCTCTACTAGCAGCAAGAACTTCAAGCCAATGGATCTTAGCTTGCTGGGCTCTGTGAGCATGGGACCCAGCGAGCCAGGCACGGGAGGGAATCTCCTGGTCTGCTGGTTGTGAAGACCATGGGAAAAGCACAGTATTTGGTCAGGAGTGTATCGTTCCTCCAGGTACAGTCTCTCACAGCTTCCCTTGCCTAGGAAAGGGAAATCCCTGGACCCCTTGTGCTCCCTGGGTGAGGTGACGCCCTGCCCTGCTTCAGCTGGCCCTCTGTGGGCTGTACCCACTGTCCAGCCAGTCCCAATGAGATGAACCAGGTACCTCAGTTGGAAATGCAGAAATCACCCGTCTTCTGCATCGATCTCGCTGAGAGCTGCAGACTGGATCTGTTCCTATTCGGCCGTCTTGGAAACAATTTCCCATGTATCCTTTAAAACCCCTTTAACTGAGAGAGCCTGGCCCTAATCCTTGCACCCTCAGAGAGTCTGACAGCAGCTCAGCCCCGTCCAACCAAGTGCCAGGGGCATGCCAGATCTTTGGCCTTAGATTCCCATGAGTGGATTCCAGGTGGGTAGCCAGCCTCTTTGCCAGCACATGAGGCCACCCCTCATATTTGGTGTTAGGGGTTGAATTGTATCCTCCAGCTAAAATTCATATCTTGACGTTCCCAGTACCTCAGACCTTATTTAGAGATAGGGTCTTTACAGAGGTAATGAAGTTAAAATGAGTTTATTAGGGTGGGCTCTAATCCAATATGACTGCTATTCTTATTAAAAGGGGCAATTTGGAGATACCCACCCACACACACACACACACACACACATGCACACACATACACAATGTACCATGTGAAGACTGGAATTATGCTGCCACAACCAGAAAGAACTAGCACAAGCTAGGAGAGGCCTGGAATAGATGCTTTCTTCACAGCCCTCAGAGGGAGCCAACCCCTGCTGACACCTTGATTTTGGACATCTAGCTTCCAGAACCATAAGACAAAATTTCTGTTGTCTAAGCCTCTCGGTTTGGGGTACTTTATTATGGCAGCTGTGATACACTTTGTCTTTCCAACAGCAGCCTTTTCAGGTGTAGAGGCTGATGTCTCACATATCAGCTTGGGGATGATGTGGAGGGACACCCTAAGCAGTCCTGTTGGGGTACACTGGGCAGGGAGGGGAGGCAGCACCATTCTACTCACAAGGTTTTCGGCCCTGTGGCCCCACGGAAGGCTCCATTGTGCATCTTCTCCAGATGTACGTTTTCCTTTAGCTCCCTGTGGGGAAGGATATTGCCCTTAGTGGAGTTTGTACCTCATGTGTAAGCATTCGTAGCTCCATATACACATGTTTAGACCAAGCTATGTGCATGATGTATAGGGTTAAAAGGGGGAAAAAGGGTAAGTGGAGGGAAAGTGGGAAAAAGACAAGCTAGTTCTTAATGAAATTATGAAATTACTGGCATGTGTGTTGGCCACACCTTTTTTCTTCCATTCCCCCCTTCACTTGGTAGAACTCTGTCCTACAGCTTAAAGTACTCACCCCCTCCTGTCCTGGAGTTATGAAAGTTTACCACCAGACAGCTGGATAAGGATGAGATTGCTGCTCCAAGAGGCCAAGACTGAACGGCTGAAGTGCAGCCTACTCTTTGTTAGCCTCTCAGTCATTGTGACCGTGGAGGTCTCAGAGTGTGCTAATAGTAATTTATTGAAGTTTGCAAATACTTGAAAAAGTAGGGTCCATTCAAAGTTATCCCTTTTGTAGTGTAATTTGCATTCTTTTTCTTTCAGATATGCATTTCTCTGTGGGTGAGAAAGAGGAGGACTTACAGCCTCTGTAGAAAATTGCCCCATGGGGCTGTGCAGTGTAAATGATCATCGCCAGGTGTATGTGTGTGTCATGGAAAAAGTGTTGAGGGCCTCTACTCTCAAGGCTGTGGAAGAAGCCAAAAGCTGTTATGGAAGTAGCTCCCTGAGGGCTCTGCTGCCTTGAGCTCAAAGTCATTCAGGCTAAACTCCTTAGGAGCAGCACAATCTGGTCCTCCTAGGCAGCCTCCTTTCTGGGCCCTGACACTGGTATCTCTAAGCACAGGCCCTTCTTTGAGTAGTCGAGGGAGCTAGAAGAGGAATCCCTGGGCTCAAGTCTGCCAGCCTTCTTTTGAGCACTTCCTCTCTATAAGAGAATGGTTGTGATTCAGAGCATCTGGAAAACCGTGGATGGTGGGAACAGTGTGCATCTACCGTTGATGTGATGATTTCAAGCGTGGGAACATGATTCTCTTACCACATTACAGTGTACACAGCAAAACAAACATACTAACACCCATTCCCCGCCTTCATTGCTGTTTAAGAACTGCAAAAACCCCTGCATCTCACTCTGGGTGGCTGTTTTCCACATTTCTACTAAGCATTTTCTTTGGAAACCCTCAGCCCTTTCATCAGAATCCACCTGTCAATCTCACATCGTCCCATCCCCTGGGTATATTTCTACTTTCAAAGAGATGAGATTGTCAGAATCAACTGCTGTTTAAAATATAAATCAAAAGAAATTTTTCTTCCTAAACCTCCATGGCTCTTCTTCCTGATTCCGTTTGTTTTAATTATGTTCAGTTATAGTTATAAATCATTGAAACTGGGCTCTGTGAGCAAATTATTCTTGTGTCAGCCCAGTCAGATTAATTGTTCAAATTTCGTGACAGAGCATTTCACACGTTTTATTAAAACTCAGATCTTTCTGTATACTGATAACTCTGTATTATGCAACTTGGTCAAAAAATAAATCAATTTCCCACATTTTCCTGGGGGTCACTTTTGAGAATTCTCCCAATGATGTGACCTTGCGGTGTGAGAAGCACAGGCAGGATGACCTTTTGAAGCACAGGGGAAGAACCCACAAGCTCCGCCAAAGTTTTCCCAGCTTGGGTGCTCTGGGAACAGTATGGACTGACTCCTAGACCCCTCAGGTGCCTCAGGGCCACCTTCTGCGGCTGCCCCTGTCTTTCCTGTGCTGCCTTAGTAAGTCAGGTGTTTGCGAACTTTGCAGGACTTCAGTATCGTTGTGTTCTGAACAACTTTGGACAGGTCTATTTATGAGGAAGGGTTGAATGTATCGTTTGAAAATTTTGCTTGACAGTTTTGAAAACTGCTCCTCCCCTGCTACTTAAACTCTTTAATGGGTGACCTTGCCCTTAGAAGAGAATTCAGACTCCTTTCCCATGGCTGCTCAGTCCTGCTCCATCTCCTTCATCTCCAGTCTCCCCCTTGCTAAAGACCCTCCAGCCACACTGGCCTCCCCTCAATTCCTGGGACTTACCAACTTAGTTCCTTTTCCAGCTCAGGACCTTTGCATATCTGCTCCCTCTTTCTGTAACGTGCTTCCCTCACTGTTGACACAGTGGAATCCTTGTCATCCTTCAGGCTCAGCCTAAATATCACGTCCTCAGTGAGGCCATCCTGGATACCTTGCCTAAATCGTTCACCCCTCATACTCTCTCAGATCTCAGTAACAGGTTATTTCCTTCATAGTATATATTACCCTTGTAATAATTTTATCTGTTATTTGCTTTTTTTTGTCTGTCTTTTCTGATAGAACAGAAACTACATAAGGGCAGGGACTGTGACCTCTCTACCATTGCAGACTCAGTACCTAACACGGTGCTTAGTATATCAGTGGTGCTTAATAAATGTTTGTTGAATGAAATTAAGTTTGTTCTTGGCAAACTGACTCATGTTCTTGATTTCCTCTTTCTTGCAACAGTGAGATACAGGGTATACAGGACGTTGACTAATTGAACTTTTCATAGTTCACGTCCATTTTGGCATCTCTGTAACAGCTGATATGCTGCTGACCATCTGAAATCTTCCCTCCTAAATTTCTGTTTTTCCTGACCTCACACAGACATACTGTGTTGGTTTTTCTCCCGTCTGTTTTATTTTGCTCTTGCTTCTCTTGCTCATCTTGTTTCCCTTTAATTTAATATTCAGTTCTTTTATTTTTCCCCCTGTTCAGGTGACCTCAGCCACACAGGACTTCAGCTATCCCCTCTATTCAGATGATCCTGGCATTTGTGTCTCTAGCCCTGCCCTACCCCTTCCAGCCTTCCGTCCTTCCTGCTAACAGATGAACCTTCTTTAAGCACTCATCTCATACTTCCATCTCAGAACTTTCAATGGCTTCTCATTTTCTGGAGAAGAGAGTCTAAACTCTTTACTATGGCATCTAAGGCCCTTCCTGTTTTGTCCCTAACTCGTATCTAGAAAGTACTATCTGCTGGTCTATGAACACATCTTATAATTCCTCCTCTGGACCATTCTTCTGGCTGTCCTCTGCTTGGAAGGCATTTTTCCTCTCTTTTTGCCTAAGTTATGCCCAGCTCAAAGCCCACCTTTCTCAGAGGCTTTCTATACTTTCTTTTCCTGCTGCCTTTGAAATCCCAGAGGACTTTACCTCTCTCTGGGGAGGCTTCATGCTTTGCCTTCTGTTTTAGTTAGTAGTCAATGTGCAGTTTATACACTATTTGGAGATGCTTCTTCCTATGCTGTAAGCTCCTGTAGGGCGACACTAGGACTTAATCATCTTCATTCCCCCTCAAAATACAGCATGTTTCTTCAAACACAGCTGATGCTTGGTAAACATTTGTAGAGTGAATAATGGAATGAGGCATCTGAGAGAACTGTGCCAGGAGATGATATAAATGCCTCTGATTTAAGTTTGTCAGAAATCGATTTAATTGGCCAGAGTGAACACTTCATTAACTTAAGGGTTTTTGTTAATGAACCTTTCATTAAGTCATCAAGTCAAAAAGAACATGAGAGCAAATTCACCCCATGATAGGAGAACAACTTAAAAAATTCTACAATTTCTTGAACACTTAGTATGTGCAACTATGCTGTGCTAAGCACACAAAAGTATAATCTTGTTGAATTGTTTACTTATAATTAATTATATTATATATTATATAATAAATAAGCACCTACTCTATGCCAGGCACAGCGTTAAGTACTGAGGATATGACATTTTCAAAACAAGCCTATTATTGGATCCATTTTATGAATGAAGACACTGTGGCTTAGATCGGTTAAGTAACTTGCTTAAGGTCATACCAGCTGTTAAATAGTGGGACTGGAGTTTGAGTCCCACTCACTCTGAAGTCTATTCTTTTAGCCACCAAACGATATAGCACATATCAATATAATAGAGGCTTTGGTTACATATCTATAATTAAAAATAAATAGCATATTGTACAGAATTTTGCTACCCAACATTAGACTGTGCTACCCAACTTCAGACTGACAGCATCAGCATCTCCTGAAGCTTGTTAAAATTGCAAATTCTCAGGCCCTACCTAGATCCACTGAATCCAAGTTTCTGGGGGTAGGGCCCAGGAATCTGTGTTTTAACAATCTGCAGATTCTTCGTAGGTGTGTAAAAATTTGAGAAGCATTAGTATAGATCATGGTTTATACAACTTATTGATTTTAAAAGCCTTTTTTGTTTATTTTCCATAATTTTGGCTTTAATCGAACTTTTCATGTGCTCTTAGTTTTTATTATGCACAAATTGCAGGGTGACTGTGACCTCACCCTGTACTTGCTATGGTTCAAATGTCCCCAGCCCCACAAACTTTGTGAATATGCCACTCTTTTAGAAGAGGAGCCATAGAAGGAAAGAGAGGTTGAGAACAGTGAGGGAAACAGTAGCGATGCTCTTCTTGAGTTAAAGGCTGTTAACATCAAGAACTGGGTAGGGTGTGGTGAAAACACAAAGCTCCCTACCTTGTGGAAAATGAGCTTCCTCCCACACTAGCAGTACAGAGATGGGACTCTCTGAGTGGGTCTGTTGTGGCTGACAAGACTGGTAAATGGTGGTGTTATCTGATTTCTCTGCAGTGGGGCCAGGAGAAGAATTTCTTTCTGAAATTCTGCTTCCTCTAACACACCATCAACCTGAGTGAGGGGGCTAGAGAGGGAGGCATTGAGTTGCAGGAGGCATAAAGTAGGGTGTTGAATATTGCAGTAAACTGTCAACTTCAATGTATCCAGGCTGCATCTGTCTTTGAAATCAGGGTGCTCTGGGGTTTCTAGCCAGCCAGTTGCCTAGTAACATGCATGAAACACTGAGGGCTAGCCACTTGAAAGTTTATTTTTGCCCTGAGTTAGTTGCTGAAGATTGAATGTGATCTTGTAGCCAGAGTAATATTTCATTTTTATTCCTGAGCTGGGGAAATAAGCAAATACTTACAGTGAAGTCAGTGTCGTCCCATTGAATGCATGACTTTGTACTTCTTCAAATCCATTTCCATATAGTTTGCTGAAGGAGGGAGGAGAGGGTTTAGGAATGGGAAGAAACTGAAAGAAACAGTTTGGAAACACATTTTTCCTCCTGTAACATATATTACTAAGGTTATTACAGGCATTCATAATATCTAGTTCTCCATCATCACCACCACCATCAATTTATTAAGTGTCTATTAAGTGCTAGATACTTCATCAGCCACTCTATGTTTATTTTATGATTTAATCCTCATCATCATTTCCATTATACCGACAAGAAGCCTAACCCTCAGTGTGGTTATGTAGCTTGCTTAATGTCAAAGGAAAACAGTGGCATAGCTGGGATCCAAGGCCAGAGATGTTTAACACTTAAGCCTTTCCTCTGGTTTTGCAGGCCGGTGTGGGCATATGGGTTTTCTGGGTGTTGAAAGCTGAGGGCAGAGGAAGCCTCCAGCACTGAGCCCACTTTTTTTTTTTTTTTTCTTGGATGAGTATGTGGTTTTGCTGATGTCAGATTTGGCTCCACAACCAAGAAGATTTCAATGTCTGTAAACAGTCCTTTAAGACCATTAGTGCATAGTGAATCAATTTACTTGGGCATAACCAGCATTTAAAAAATCTACATAGAAAAAATAAAAAGTATTAGAGCATTTTGCAAGTGATTAGGGTATTAATGTTTATGAAACTTTATCCCACCATTTTTTATGGTATATACCTATAAATACACACACACACAAACACACACACATACATGTATACTTCTACCCAGAATAAGACATAAGAGGATCCTTAGAACACAGATATGGGGAAATGTTTGAGCCACAAAGGAGTCTAGAGGGAATCAAGCAGCACATTGTCATTTTGCAAAGAAGGAAATAGGCTCAGTGAGGGAAAGTGACTTGTCTAAAGCCTACAACTGGCATAAATGGGACTAGGATATGCTTTGTCTGGGGCTACATCCAGCACATCAATTTTGCTGATTCTTTTTACTTTTCCTCCACTGATATCCTCATGGGCTACCCATCCTCTTCCTGCAGGATTGTATTTCGTGTCGTGTTCTCAGTGGGGCCTTTACTGGCTGCCCTATTTAAAACACCAATTTCCTGTTTCCCCCTACTTTCCCTATACTCCTTCCCTGATTTGCTTTGCCTCCGTTGCTTTATCATCATCTGACCCATGATTACATTTTATGTTTTTATTGTTTACCTCCTCCGTGAGAACATATCCTCCTGTATCTAGAACAGTGCGTGGCACCTGGGAGTATTACAGTAAATATATATTAAATAAATTGGATGACCAAATGGGAATTTCTTACCATAAATCATAGCCAAACAAGTTTGAAAGCTACTGCCTTAGATGGAAATATTTGTATAAATTCTTTGTGAATGATGATGTAAAACCCACGTGAGAAAGGGCTGTGGTGTGATGTAAAGTTAAACTCCTTATATCTGCCAACACCCTAACTTCCCTTTGCAGGATTGCTGGAAGCTGGCCAGGGACAGGCTGTGGGGTGTGACTTGAGAAATGGTTCAGAAACATGCTTCACTTGTTCCTGCTCCAGGTAGCTGTTGTCTGCAAGGCCTCTCTAGTCTTTGTTAAACAAAATGAGCATGGAGCTTCACTTTGTGGGGTGTGAGTATGTGTGTAACATCAACAGCATGTATGTACTCTGTGTGTATGTATGTGTGGTCTCCTTCCACCAACCCACAACACAGCTGAGACAAACCAACATATAAATAAAGGTGTGACTCATGTTGAAGTATAATATTTAAGCTCTGAAATTCAGAAAATATAACTAGAGATTACAAAATAATTCTTAAGTCTCCTCGTTAGAGTCAGTTCAAAGAGGGCAGGGGAGAATATTTAATTCATTTCTTAAACTCCTGGGGCCTCACAGAATGCCTGGTGCCTAGCTCAGTCAATAGCCTGAGTAAAGCAGCAGCTTTGCCCTTCCCCGGGAAGGGGAGGCTTCCATGGTTTCCCAGGCTCTCATATGCTTTCTTCTGAGATTCTTCAGAGTTTACAGCTTCACATACTAGCTCTCCCATATTGGATTACTGGATGCCACTTTCAATAGTTTTCATCCCTTTCTATATTGCAGAATCTGAAGCATGTTTCTGAACCATTTCTCAAGTTACACCCCACAGCTTGTCCCTGGCCAGCTTCCAGCAACCCTGCAAAGAGAAGCTAGGGTCTTGGCAGATACAAGGAGCTTAACTTTACATCACACCACAGGCCTTTCTCAAATAACTTATATTTCCATCTAAGTCAGTAGCCTTCAAAATTGTTTGGTTATGATTTATGGTAAGAAATTCATCTTACATATTCTCATTTGGTCATCCCATTCATTTAATGTATATTTACTGTAATACTCCCAGGTGCCAGGCACTGTTCTAGATACAGGAGGATATGTTTCTCTGGAGGAGGCAAACAATAAAAACATAAAATATAATCATGGGTCAGATGATGATAAAGCAATGGAGGCAAAGCCAATCATCAGTTTCACATACTAGCTCTACCATGTTGGATTACTGGATGCCACTCTCAGTAGTTTTCTTCCCCTTCTATATTGTGGAATCTGAGAACATAGGTACAGGGTTGATGCCTGTTGTCTTGCATAATTATACACAACCTTGTTGTTTCCTTAGAAGCTCAATTTCACCAGAATTTTTTAAAATTTTGCACCTAGGATGTTAGTCTTTGGCAGTCTCCTGTCATTTTAGGGGTTGAATTCCTTTATAGCAGTCTCTTTTAGATAAAGGAATCACACTCTTTTTCTGAACTTCCTTAAGTTTGATTTCTTAGACTCTTGCCCGGTATTTGTCAAAACTTTCTCCTCCATCCACTGAATTAGAATCACCTGGAGTTGCTTGTCAAAAATGCAGACTCAGACCTATTAAATCAGAAACTAATAGTGGTATCCAAAAATATGCACTTTTATAACAAGCTCTCCTAGTGAGCCTTCAGTATGCCAGTTTGAGAACCTTTGCCCTAGGGTATGTCATAGGATGATACTGTTCTCATCATTCCCATGGGGCAAATCAGATGGTCATTGGCTTGGAATTGTGTCCAGAGTCTAGTCCCTGGATTGCTTTCTCTACCTTCTAAGTGATGATCGCACTACACATGGAGTAGATGAAGAAAAGATAGCCCTTGCTTTGTTTTCACCAAAGCTGCTAACAGTTGTCTAGATGCCCATTATTCATCACAGCTGCATGCTGCCCTGATCCTTGTTTGATACATGTTAGGATTTTATGCTTTTCTGTTAGACTCACAGTGTCACAGGTGTACCCTTGTGGTTAAGTCTGCAGGCACTGAACCCAATTGCTTGAATCCCAGCTCTGCTGCTTACAATCTGAATTACTTTGGGCAAGTTACTTACCATCTCTCTACATTAGTTTCCTAATCTGAAAGTATGATAATAGTATCAACCTCATAAAGCTATTGTAAGGACTGAAAATGTAAATATATGTTAAACATTTATAAGTAGGTTCTGGAATACAATAAATGCTTAATGTGTTGATCTTATTATTATTATTATTATATTTTTCAGTAGCCTCTAGCCTTCTGACAAGAACAGAGGTAAACGATCTCCCTTTCCATGCTCTGGACAGGATTTCTGTGAAATACAAGCATTTTGTTTAATTGCACTATCATCCTTCTCCAATGAAGTAGGGGGTCTTTCTCTTCCTGGGCAGAGCAAGTCAGGTCAGTGGCCTGGGCTGCACTAAATGTACTCACGTGCTGAAGGCTCTCAAACACCTTTGGTCTGTACTAGCGTCATGGACTTTTTTGCCTTTAGACATTTTCCATGTCTTTTTTTTTTTTTTTTTTTTTTTCTGAATAGCCTCAGTCCTGCTTGTCTCAACTTTCTAAACAACGTGGCCCACTGTTTCAGTTGCTCTTGTCTCTTTTCTTACCGGTCACACACAATAGAATGTGCTGCCTTGTTGTGATTAAAAGAGAAGCTTCCTTACTTTGGAGAAATTACAAATGTGAGTGGGAGACCTCATGCTGTCAGTCTTGCACAATGCTTTTAATGCCCTTAAAAAAACATCTGGAGAGTCACTTCAGATAACTTTTTTCCAAAACATCATGGTGTCAGAATTAAATGAGGAAGGCTTCCTTTGCTTTACTTTGAGGATTTTGTCACAGGCACAAAAATGAAGATTTTTCGCCTCCCCCAACTTCTCTATTACAATAGCTGTACCTAACTTTAAAGCATTGTCTAGGTTCTCTACTCAAATGTCAGTAATTGTGAATCACACAGAATGGCACCTTTTTGTTCAAAATAAGATTTGGGCTTTAGATATTAATCACAGATGATACTCTAATTCTGAATGCTGCTTTATAATGAACCCCAAATATTCCTGGGGCTCTAAAAGCACTTCTGGGATTCTAATATTAACAGTATTAGACATTCTTCTATAGTTTCCTTTTGGATCACCTGGTTTCTGGATGATTTTGAAGAAGAAAGCTTAATTTATGTTTACAGATACTCAGGGTCTCAAAAAAGTGGACCCATTGCTAAAAGGCAAAGCATACCGTTTTAGAAGATATCTTTTAGAAAATATGGTGGTATATTTGTAAGCAATTTTTTTTTTCAAATGACTATACAAACAGAATTCTAAAGAAAAGAAAAGGAAGTCCTAAATTCACCACTTTCTTCCCTATGTGGAACTTTGCTGAAGTCCTTTTATAGCTGAATAATTCCTTACGTATGAAGACACTTCTCTAGTGGATGTGCCGGCAGTGGTTAGATGGGTAACTGTGACCTGGTTACTACTATGTGCTGCTGTAACTCTAGTTATGAATCAGGGTCCCCCCATTTCTGGGGGTTCATAGTCTCTATAGCAATGGATCCCTCTCCCTGTATTGCTGTGCCTCCTGCCTCTCAGCAGCACTGAGTTTTCATGTTTCCTTCTACCTCAGCCATGTTCATGTCAACTTATATGTCTTTACTATATGTAATAATAAAAAGGGTGACAGGCATCAGAAAGAATGATAACAATAAAGGATTCTAGGCCGGGCATGGTGGCTCACGCCTGTAATCCCAGCACTTTGGGAGGCTGAGGCGGGCGGATCACGAGGTCAGGAGATCAAGACCATCCTGGCTAACACAGTGAAACTCCATCTCTATTAAAAATACAAAAAATTAGCCGGGCATGGTGGTGGGCGCCTGTGGTCCCAGCTACTTGGGAGGCTGAGGCAGGAGAATCGCTTGAACCCAGTGAGCTATGTCAAAGTGGGATGACCTGACTAAGGCTGCTTGGCTGGTTAGACACAGAGCCAGGACTGAAGCCCAGACTCCCTATTTCAACACAGTAGAGAGACCCAGCAGTCTCTCTACTGTGGCTTGTCATGGGTGCAGCCTGGAATCATCATGCCTTTCCAGACATCACTTCTCTGTAGGGTCTTAGAAAATTAATTGCTATGACCTTTCCATTTCTTTGTGGAGTTAAGATGTGAATCAAGATTGTCTCTTTTTTTGAGACTGGTGTGACCAATCACCTAGAATATTTTGAAGGTGGCACAGCTAAATTCTGCTTATTTGGGAAGGAGGGGCATTTCAAGGTGGCCTCTTGAGGAGATTTAATGAACAACCAAAGTGGCTATAAAGGGACATAAAAGCATAATGCATAGTTTTAGCATTAGCCCCACTGAGTTTCTCCAGCATCAAGTGAAGTGTTTTGTTTTCATTAAATGAGCTCACAGTTGGTAAAGATTTGGGTAGGGGGAGGGCAAGACAGGTTCTACAAAAAGCAAAATCTCAAATACCACTAATAATGAAAAGAGAAGGCTTGCTTTCATTATTTTCTAATTAGAGAGTTGAACTTTATAGCTGAGAAAATAAGGCTTTCCTCTTTAAGCGTAATGCCCTTTTTCCAGCAGGCTGCTCCACACGATCCTTTGCTTACAGAGGGGCCCATTCAGCAGAGAACAAGTGCCAGGCAAATAAATGACTAATCACTCCCCTTCCAGATGAAGGGCCAAGAATGAGAAGGGGGATGGAACTACAATGTCCCACAGGCTCTCTGGGAGAGACGGAGCCTCAATCTTTATTAACTTCAGAGTGGGGAAATTACACCCTACTGGCATGCACTCTTTTTCTTAAAATCATGAGCAACATAAGTTAATGTCCCTGTCATTAGAAAACCATGAAGCTCTCTGTGCACATACTGAAGTATGATGTGTGAGAAGGAATCTTTGGTTACTCTTTGAGTCTCGTGGGGTGGCCCAGTCTTGTGAGCTCATAGTTACCTATGGATTATCCCAACATTGGTTTTCTTCTTCACCCTCCTCCATGTCTTCTGCCTTTTCGTTCCTACTTCACTCCACTCCCATCATTGTACATTTACCTCGGAGGAATACCTATTGGTCTCTGATTATTTTTAGATTTAGATCAAAGTTGAAGGGAGTCATGGATATTTGTGATCTTTGAATAAAGCCTACTCTATTGAATAGATTATTTTATTACTTTTTCCAGAGTTACCTCCAAGCCTGTCTCCTTGTCCTGGCACTTAAGGGTCTCTGCAATTCAGTGTCCTCTCCATCTCAGCCAGTTATCTAAACTCACTTTCCATTCCTTAAACAGCATGTTTACTCCCAAGTAGTAGCCTCATCCTGTTCTCCTCCTGCCATGCTTTTGCTCCTGCCATCTCTTCACTTGGATTCCTTACTCTGCCTTTCTCTGTATGTTGTGGTACCGCATAACGGTTAAGAACATGACTCTGGAGCCATACTGTCTGGGACCAAATCTTGACCTGAGATAGAGATACTTAACCTCTTGATGCCTTGGTCTCCTCATCTAAAAGTAGGGTTGATAGTTCCTATCTCATAAGGTTGCTATGGGACTTAAAAAGTACTTAAAAACAGTGCAGGTATTTAATAAGGGCTACATACATATTAGCTGCTATTTTCACATTTACCCATATAAACGTTACTGATTCCATGAGGTCTAATTCAAATCTGTTAGCTCTACCATAAAGCCTCTCTGACTTCCCCAGCCCAAAAGGACTTCTCTAAGATCTTATTTCTAGGTACCACACACTCTCATAGTGAATATCTACTAGCTTGTATTATTATTTTATTATTTTATGTTTTCCCCCTCATTGAGACTATGAACTTCTCGAGGACATGAATCTAATCCTGTGTCTTTTGTGTTCTTGATATAGACATGTGGGGAGACCCCAAATCCTAAGGCATGTGATATCACCTCATTCGGAATTTGTTTGTTGAATACCTTGTTTTTGGTGGGGGACATGATGAATGAGTAGTTCCAGATCCATTATGCAATGGTGAGTTGAAAACACTTTATAAGCAGCCGGTAGAGCTGTGGTGTGTGAGGGAAGTGGCAGGAGTGGAGAGACTGTTGAGAAATATTTCTAGGATCAACAGAATCTCTTTCCTGGTGTTTGAGAGTTGCAAGTAAAGAGTATGGGTTATTTTTGAAATTATTTTTGGTTGCTGCTCTGTATTCTTTTGATTGCATTAATCTGAGATGAAGCTACATGGTCACAGCTTTGTAACATGACAATTATACATGTAAAATTACATCTACACAAAGTAAAAGTACTATACAAAGGCAGTGCACCAAGGATACCAATTTTTAGAATCCAGTGATATAAAAGAGAGTCCTCTGAGATGATCTCTTCTTTTGCTTCACATCTATCTCTTCATTTCAGAGTCATTCCAATCCATGTTTTCTCTTTTTTCTTTAAGGGTGAGCTCCTTTATTGCCTCATCACAATTTTGCCATGGGCTGTAACCAAAGCAGAAAGAGTGAGAGGGATATGGATTTTAGGAGCAGAATTAAATCAGGGTCACTGGGCTTTAGGTATAAAGAAATGAGGCCGGGGGGTGGTGACTCATGCCTGTTTTCCCAGCACTTTGGGAGGCCGAGGAGGGCAGGTCATGAGGTCAAGAGATGGAGACAATCCTGTCCAACATGGTGAAATCCTGTCTCTACTAAAAATACAAAAATTAGCTGGGTGTGGTGGCACACGCCTGTAGTCCCAGCTACTCAGGAGGCTGAGGCAGGAGAATCACTTGAACCCAGGAGGCAGAGGTTGCAGTGAGCCAAGATTGCGCCACTGCACTCCAGCCTGGTGACAGAGCGAGACTCAGTTGCAATAAAATAAAATATGCTGCCCAGGATGCTGCTTCTGAATGGTACGGCAGTGGAGGGCTCCCATGTGAAGATGTATGGCAGGGATTCCAGAGGGAAGGAAGTCTGGCAAGTGTCCTGTGAAGAACATGGGTTGAGTTATCTTAGTGGAGTGCTCCTCAAACTTTAATGTACATGTGAATCACTTGGGATCTTGTAAAAAGCATATTCTGAGTTAGTAGGTCTGCGGTGAGCTATTTCTAACTAGAGGATATGGTTTAGATCTGTGTTTCCACAAAATTGCATTACAAATTATAATCCCCAGTGTTGGAGGTGGGGCCTGGTGGGAGGTGACTGGATCATGGGGGTGGTTTCTCATGGATGGTTTAGCACCATCCCCCTAGTGCTGTTCTTGTGATAGAGTTCTCATGAGATCTGATTGTTTAAAAGTGCGTGACATCTCCCTGCTCTCTCTCTTCCTACTGCTCCTGGCCATGTGAGGTGCTGGCTCACCCTTCACCTTCCATCAGTATTGTAAGTTTCCTGAGACCTCCCCAGAAGCTGAGCAGATGCCAGAATCATGCTTCCTGCAAAGCCTGCAGAATTGTGAGCCAATTAAAACCTCTTTTCTTTATAAATTACCCAGTCTCAGGTAGTTCTTTATAGCAATGTGAGAATGGACTTATACACCAGCTCTCAGAAGATGCTGAAGATCATGGCTCATAGTTTGAATAGTGAGGCCTTAGGAAACACCATGAAAGGGATAGCCTGGTAACCTGACGAGTAACTGTCAAATAAAAACACATTATTTTTAAGCATTAAGGAATAGAGAGAATGAGTATAGATAGTGTTGCTTCAGAAGCAAAGTGAGAGGGACCCAAGAGGAAGGCGAAAATGAGAGAGACAGAGCAAGGTCCATTGATCAACTACTTTTCCTACTTGGAGAATATCCTTCCAAACTCTTCTCTGTTGAAATCTTGAAATTTCTATGCTCTTTTTAAGCCAGGAAAGCCACTCCTCTCTAGACTGTGTCTTCCCAGCCTTAGAGCATTCTCCATTAATGCAGTGAACAATTTCATAAGTTTGAGACTCAGTCACTAAAAATCCTCAGGGCCTGTTTGGTTAAACTGAATTGGTTGGTTGGTTGTCATGTGAACATATGACCCAGCTGTGATCTTACACAACTCCCTTCACCCTTAGCATTTTAGGTTAAGAAGAATGTCACCAGTGAGTGAGGAATGTGGTAAAACATGAGAAAAAGCTCACCCCAACCTAGTAGTGAGACTAGCAGGAGGCTGTATGGCAGAACACAAATCTGGGAGTTTACTCACAGTGTTACAGATTCATTATTCATCCCTTGAAAAGCATTTCCTGGTATGGTGGTTATGTGTAAGTTATCACAAATTTCCCTTGAGGAAAGAAATGAGAAATATTTACTTTCTAAATTTTAGCTGCAAATAGGAAACTGTTATGCATAGCAATCAGCCTGGTACTTACAGAATGAAATTTGATTCAGAGGAGAAGACCTTCGTAACATCTGGAAACTTTCTGATGCCTGTGTTACAGATGCTCCTGTGATTAGGGACAGGATAGTGGTGTGGGCAGAGAGTGGGTAAAAGTGATTGTCATTAAGACATAAAGATAAAAAGAGAGTACAAAGGCATTTTGCAAATACAACTTTCACATTAAATTTAAAAATATTGAGTTTGGTGTTATCAGGACTACTTTTAGCTGAGAAAGATTGTTGCAATTTAGAAGTCCCTCATGCTGTGGGAGAAGATGCTTTAATGACTGCTATTTAGAGACCTGGGGACTGGGGCCAAATTTAAAGGTCTTTTTCATTTATATTTGTAGCCTGTCTTTTCTTATTAAATCAATCACATTTTCCCGTATTGCATTCCACTTTCTTTTGGTAATTAGTTTATTACAAGCTCTTGATAGTTCGAGAAAGCATCCTTAAATTTTGGAGCAGGTTTTGATTCAAATACTTCAAGAAAATTAATCTTTTATGATAAATCCATATTGCTCATTATTAAAAATCTTCCCTTATTTAGCTATCTTGCAATTCAGGAAGTTCTTCTTTGCATCTCATTGAAATCACTAAACATTGTTTTGGTGTTTGGGACTATTCAAGGCTCTTCTTTTCTTCCCACCTTTTATTTAGCCTCTGAAGAGGAGAGAGGCTTAAGTGATAGGTGAAATTGAAGAGTATTTTATTACAAGAATGGGGCTCCCTCAGAGTCTAGGCATCTGGATTTCCCCACTGGAGTTTTAGATTCACCAGTCATGGGATCTGGACAACTAATATGAACTGTCTGTCACCCTCGTGACAATGAAACAAAGCCAGGTTTCTCTTCTGGCTCTCTCTGGTTCTCCTTCTTATCCAAAAGCCCAGGTCACACTGGATCTCTGCTCTGTCTACAGCTGGGGATAGCAGTGTGGGATTAGACTGCAACGTGTACTTGGGTTGGGTGAATATCACAGTTTTGGATGAAAATACTATTTAATAAAGACAATGATTCTTAGATAATAAGAGGCTGCAGTGGTCAAATTTGGTTCTGGGAGTTTCTTATGTTTTTTCAAAGTAGTTGATGCTACCGTATGCTTATGTGCCCTATAGACACCCTGGAGGTTTGGAAAAACAGAACACCTGAGTTTGGAATTGTTCAGTGTTAGAGTTAACAAAGGAGCTATGCCAGTTCCAGTAGCAGCTCTTATAGAAGGCCCCAGAGCAAGACTGATGACGTGAAGTACCAGAGAGATGTCCCTTCTCTCTGTTTTCCTTTTTTTGGGCAGTGATGGGAGGTGGGCTTTACATTCTCTGAGGAGTTTATGAAATTTAAAGAAAAAAGAGGGATGTCTGTTTTAGGGAGACGCAAATTTTTCTTTGTGAATAGGGATGACTTGATATGTGAAAAGATCCATAGTGATAAATTCATAGTTTTCAGGAATTTTGGTATTGCTGACAAGGCAATGATTGTGGCAGGCTACAGTGGTACTCAATTTCTAATGCTAACTGACAGACTTAGTTAGAATTAATGGGAAGTGGAAAATAATGATTTAGTTTATATGGCACAGTGTCTACCTTAAGGCAATACTTAAAAAGTTTTCATTTAATGAACAAATGAAAAAAATGAGATAAAGGAGATCAGAAACTCTTAACCCGTGATGAGAGTCAGACCAGAATTGCCACTCTCACTTTCACCTACTCTCTATTCACTTCAGAGATTCTGATTTACCCTTTTTAAAGTGTTATGACCTCCATCTCCCATACCCATTGTCAACCTTGAAAATCACTACAGAGGGGTGACGTTCTTCCCAGGTGTTTAGGACTGATAAAATGTTGGGAACCACTTACATGTATGTAAAAGCACCCAGCTCGGTGGCTGACAAGAAATGACAATTAAATTTAAATCAGAAGGCTGAAGAGGAACATGCAAATAGTGCCATGTATATGGTTAAACAAAATCTTTCCAACCTTTTCCTTGTTTTGATTTTCATCAGATGCCCATCTTCCCCTCCCCAATTGCTTAAAAAGGAAAATTTCTCACAAGTATTTTAATCGGGGAAGATTTATAAATGCTCCGGGCTCAATGTATCTCAGATTTTTGGTGTTCTGGATCAGTCTGTAAAGAGAGAGGGAAAAAAAAAGCTGCTGTTTAATAGATGTGTATTGTTTGAAATGTGTGAGATCATGGTCACCAGAAGTTGCTGGCTGAAAATGGCATCAGCAAAAGCAGGCGACCTTCATATGCTTGGGAGGACCCCTAGCGACTCTGGGGATGGAAATGGCTTGGTGAGAGCCAGTTCCCTATTTCCAGGAAGCACTGCTCTCAAGCTTCTAAAGAGGTGGGTATAAGGATCAGAGCAGGGAGTCTGTCTCTGCACCCTCCCACCCCTCTCCCCCACCACAGACAGCACCGACATCCAGGGCTCCTGGCCAAGCAGATTCTGCCCCACTGTGGACCCTGTACACTGAGGGTGATGAGAGACTCCTCTCAGGAGAGATGAGCAAATTACCTACTCTCCCTTGTAAGCAAACTCGTCCTCTTCATATTGGCCGGCAATCACATGAGCAGTTATACCGAGGGGCACCAGTCTGTGGAATGGCACAGGGCAAAAGCCAGAGGCTTGAATTTGGGGGATTTTATACTCATGCTGAAGATAATTTGCTGTGTCATGATGTCCAGCCTCCTAACTTCCCTGAGCTAGTGTCTCTTCTGTAAAATTTGTATAATAATATTACATAGTCTTCCTGCCTCACAGGTTAGTAGGTTTTAAGTAATAGAACAGGTAGAGATAATATGAGGCAGGGTTTGGCAAAGTATAAAAGTACAGCCATACACCACTGTGATGTTATTGCCCTCCCCGCCCAACTCCCTCATTCCCCTAATTACTGTGACTCTACAAAAAGTAGTCACCATTGCTAAGTCCTGTCTACTTTGTATTAAATAAAAGGCCAGTAAATGCCTTTGGGTTTCTTAATCCAGGTGACAGCCACCTGAGGAAATAATAATTACCTTGTTCTATAGAGAGAATGTAGTATATTGGTTAGGAGCATGGGCTCTGGAGTCAACTTGGTTTTTCATTCTGATTTTACTAATCGTATGACCTTAGATATATCACTTTAAGTTCTCTGTGTCTTGGTTTCCTTATAGTGTTGTTTTTGAGGAATAAATATATGTGTCTGGTTCACAGTAAGGCCTCAACCAGTGTTAACAATAGTTATAATAGTTGCTGAAATTAGGAAGTTGAATGATTTGTCTTCGGTCACACAGCTGAGAAGTAGCAGAACTTGGATGTGACCCAGTTTTTCTGACCCTCAGTTTAGTGCTTGTTCCACCACACTACAGTTACCCACCACTTGTGCCTGTTTCCATCTTCTCAGCCCTTTTGATTCTTCAGATGTGAGTGATATTTTGTTGTAATTATTTCTACAACAACTGAGTCAAACAATCATAGGCCATATAGAGCCTTATGTGGGTGGGATGGAAGGGACTTTTATCTCTAAAGGTCTTTTGGGCTGGGTGTGGTGGCGTGCATCTGTAGTCCCATCTACTTGGCAAGGAGGTGGGAGGATCACTTGAGCCCAGGAATTTGAGGTCGGTCTGGGCAACACAGTGAGACCCTGTATAAAAAAAAAAAGATTAAAAGAAATTTAATAAAAGAATTTTGGGGCCTGACCTTAGCCCAGTCATTCATTCATTTAACAAACATTTATTGGGCACCTACATGTGGCAAGCATCGTTCTATGTGCTGGGAATACAGCTGTGAACAAAGCAAAAAAAGCCTTCATGGAGCTAGCATGCTAGTCTTAGGACCTTCTTTGGGAATCCATAAACTTTCCCTGAGAGTGCTTTATGTTTCTTTCTGTTGATGAATGTTGCTTTGCATCACGGGAAGCTTTATTTATCATTAGCTGCCCTGGTGGTTCTCAATATAAGCTGTGTTTTAGCATTACCTGGGAAGTCTGTTAAAACTGCAGCTTTCCAGGTCTGGGATAGGACTGTCGTCTGTAATTGTAATGAGCCCAATGTGTGATTCTGCTTCTCAGCTAAGTCCAGACTATGTCTTTTGCACTTACTCATTATTTTGGATTTCTCTGTAATTGGTGAGTAGTCTCACTTCCCTGGCTACACTGTCATCTCATGGTGGACATTTATATTTTATCTCTTCTGTATTCCAACAGCATTTGGCCCTGTATTGGACACATGGTAGTTGCTCACGTACTTACCAATTAATTATTCTCTTCAGGTAATTATTCATTGGGTCATTTATAGGGGGACCCTGTGGTATAGTGGAAAATCTGGAGCTTTGAAGAAAGACAGTCTGGGATTGAACCCCAGTCCTGCCATGGTCTAAAGCAAGCTTGTCCAACCCACAGTCTGCATGCCACATGTGGCCCAGGATGGCTTTGAATGCGACCCAATAGAAGTTTGTAAACTTTCTTAAAACATTATGAGTTTTTTTTTTTTTTTAAACTCATCAGCTATTGTTAGTGTAAGTGTATTTTATGTGTGACCCAAGACAATTCTTTTTCCAGTGTGGCCTAGGGAAGCCAAAAGATTGGATACCCCTGGTCTGAAGTGTCACATCGGTCAAGTTTCTGTGCCTTTCCAAGCCTCCATTCCTTCCCCTGGACGAAAGGGATAATTACCCCCACTCTGCATGGTAGCTGTGAGGATTAAATGACACAACATAGAAGAAATGCCAAGCACAGAGCTCAAAAAATGTTTGATGCTAATACTTTTCCCCTTCCCTAACTTTTGAAACTCCAAAGTAGGTAAAGTTTGAGTGCTCTTCTGGAAACTCAGGTTTGCGCCTGAGTAAAAGCAGCAGTAGGGGGCCTGGTGTAGAAGTCACATGCATTGATTTCTAATTTCAGCTCTGGCACTAACTTGCGGTGTGATGTCAGGCAAATAGGTTAACCTCTTCAGGCCACAGATTCATCACTTGAAAACTGAATTGAACCAGTCTTTTCCTATCCTTTTTGTGATTTTTTGGGGAAATGATACTTTGGCAAGGGTTGTTTCTAAGAGTTAATTCCAAAACATCACAATAACAACAACAAAACCCAACAAACCCAACACACACATGCCTATCACACAGCTTTTACACTGTAGGTATTCAAGAAACATTCACTGAATGAGTGAATGTGCCAAAACAGCCCCCAATGAACCAATTTATGATCTCTAAGCTCTTTTCCAAATTTTCCCACTATCCCAAGTACTCCATACCCTCCATAGGCAAGAGCTACTTGGCAGGAGTTCATAATGTCAATTTTAATTTCTATCTTTGTGTTGTGATGTTTCAGAGTTTATACAGCTCCCAGGGAGAAGCAGTTGTCACCATAGCAACCTACAGGCCACTGCAGTGAGAAAAATTAGTGCCTGCCCAGACCTAGTAATTGCTGTAGTCTTTTCCTTTTGGATTCCTAGCAGTGGATGCTTGAATACAAATACCAAGTGGGCTCCAGCCAGTGAGGGTAATAGTGTACAGCAGTAAACTGTCTGTTAGCTGATGCTTACATTTCAGACAAATTGAGGAGGTTGTCAAAGGCATTAGCTTCTATCCTTTCCAGGGAATCAATCTGAGAGATTTCACTAGGGAAGAGAGGAGGGGGAAAAAGAGAAAGAAACATGAAAGAAATGACCGTGTCTGCATGATTATGAGCTATGTGTGTGACCCAACAACTGGGGACACCACTGTGTCCCCCTGAAAAGAACAAAGATGTGCAAGTTGTCCCCAAATCATACAGTGCTAACATCTCCCTTTAGGAGCACTGATGGGCACCTACAACCCAAGTGCAGTTGAAATGCAAGTTTTAGTAGCCCCTGTTTATGTGACAAGTTTTTCTCTTATTTATCTCTGACTCAGAGCCACAGATTGTTAGAATTGCATAGGCCCTTTGAGAAAATCTAGTCAGATTCCCTTGTTTTACAGCTCTGGAAATTAAGGCCCTGAGAGGAGAGGCAAATAGTATTTGTATTAAGGTTCAAGACTAGGATATGGATCTCTGGGTCCCAATTCT
Source organism: Homo sapiens (assembly GCF_000001405.40). Classification (NCBI taxonomy): domain Eukaryota; kingdom Metazoa; phylum Chordata; class Mammalia; order Primates; family Hominidae; genus Homo; species Homo sapiens. The sequence continues at coordinate 48,729,656 of NC_000002.12, forward strand.
GTCACTCTAGTGAGGCTTTAATATGGATTGAATTGTTTCATAACTCTTAACCCTTAGTTTCCCAAAATCTCGTGCTGAGGCCGTTGCAAGGTGGTCAACTCCTGCACATGGTATCCATCCTGAATTACAATTACCTACTTCCTTGACTGTTTTTCTCACTTGTGAGCAAACTGAGGACAAAGAGTATATTCTATTCACTTCTGAATCCTTGGTGGCTTCATGTTGCTTGGCACAGCGTTAAGAGTACAAAATGAATGAATAAGTGAATGCAGTAGTGAATAATTGAATTTTTTGAAAACAATACAAAAATAAAGAAACCAGTTTTGTCATATATGATTCGCAAGCATGTAAGTCATGCCAATGTTACCCTAAAATCCCAACATACGCTACCATTTCCTGCCAGTTGAAAAAAAAGTCTCAAATTCACAAACTGTACATTTGCTTATTTCTAAGGTTAAGGCTCACTGAAGGCTTCAGACTGATGAGAGCATTAGCCCACAGAAAGGCAGAGCCTAAGGTAGCTAATGTCTTTTCTTAACAACACAGGAATGGATTATTCTTGGCTGATTCATCTTATTCCTACCTATTGGTTTGCTTATTTAACTGTAGCTCCTTTTCTCAGTAGGAGGTCTTAATGCATTAAAGGTTATCAAAACTCAACATTCCAACTTGAGAGCAGAAGAGTGTGGGTTAAGCTCAAGTAAACCGACAAGTCCGTAACCTGCAGGGAATTTCCTATAATATGCAGTAATTCTTGAGGAATTATTTTAAATATTCTAATTGCTTACTAATACCCTAAAGGGCAATAGAGGTTCCCAAAGGAGCTAAGATCAATGCTGTAGCATCTTCTTTAGAGATGCAAATCTGCTTCCAAAGTCCAGTGGATTGTTAAGATTGGAGATGCACTGTGAGAACTCAATGGCCATGAGGTCCTTTGACTCAGGCTAATATTAAGAAAGATGCTGGAATACTGGGCCCTTGAGAACATTCTCTCTCCAAGTATGGGAACTTTGGTCCTAGAAGCTGAAACCCAGAAACAAATGATCGAAGTTATGTCTGACAAACATGAGATCATACTGCATTATCCAGGTGCTTTACACTTTTGATAAATGCCTTTCATCAATATAGTTATAAATACTGTGTTTTTGTCATATACTTATATTTTAGATATAAAGATTATCTTCTGATGCACAATAAATTTCCAACACATTTTTTTTCCTATGTGGGTGTTATCTAAAAATGTGACACAAGGGAATAGCTGCTCTAGCAGAAGGAGAATTTTTATGATTGGAATCTATCTTTTTTTCTCCTTAAAAGGTATATCATCACTTATAAAATGCATTCAGTCATTTGAAGCAAGGTTAATTATCTGTATTTTAATGACTCTTAAAAATCATACCTTTTCTTCAAAGGTCTCTAGTTATTATTTGTATTACAAAGATAAAAATATGTGAGTATCCTAAACACAATTTCTTTCCTAGAAAAATTATCCCCTTTCAAATGTGTTTTCTCTTAGAAAAAATTCATTATTCCAATTACGAATGTCTTTTGATATGCAGTAACTTACTTACATTTTTATGACCTCATTAAGTCCTCTGAAAGCTTGAGATGGGATCACTTTGACAGGGAGGTAGGCAAGTGATCTAGAAAAGAAAAAAGGAAATCCAAGAGTTTAAGATTTATGATAGGGTGCCTTTTAAGTTCATGAATAAAATGGGTATGTGTATGTGTGTGAGAGACAGAGACTTCAGAGTTCCCAAGAACTGGATTCAGGCTGAGGATTCTAACTTAAATCAATGAAGAGATGTGCCATGACTTATTCTTGGTCTTTATCAAAGAGTGTATAATTTTGCGGTTAAGACTGTGAACGTTGAGATTAGGCATACCTGGACGCAAATCTTCGCTGTCCCACTACTTGGCTATGTGATTCTAAGCATGTTATTTAAGCCCTCCAGCTCAGTTTCTTTGTCTGTAAAATTGCAATAATAATTCCTACTTCACAGGGTCATTGTGATAATTAATCAGGATAATCCATGTAAAGAACAGGGCTTGGCACCAAGTATATAGTTAAATAGTTGTAGAGTGATCCTATAGACTTGATTGGGAAGATGGACAAAAACTATGTTGAGTAGAGTGGAGACATTAATGATGAAAATACAACTGGAAATCATGCAGGCAGGAAAACAGAAGATTCATTAAGAACATGCTCCCATCTTGATCTCTACTGTCTTTCCCAGGTAGCCTATTTCAATATTATTCCAAAGAGACAACTTTGATCCTATGGTTAACTCACATGGGCATCTCATGTCATTTGCGGGGAATGTCTATGAGATCATTTCCTTCAGGCATTCACTTATACCCACAGGAAAAATCTAAATATTCTTGAAATTGAAATAAAATCTATGCTGTACTTAAGATTTGAGAAAAGAGTGACACTCAGAAATGCAAAACCAGTATAGGATGATGTGTGAATGCTAAAGGAACTGGAGGTTAAGATAACTCAGGAGAAAGCAACTGCAAGGCAGGGACGAACATGCAGCCAACATTTATTGAGTATCTACAATGGTTTAATGTTTTGGCCCAAGGACTGGCAGAGAGGAAGGGAGTGGGCAAGGATATTTCAGGTGGGAAGTGAGTATGTGAGTATCAGGAATATGAGAACAAAGGTGAAAGATGCTGTCTTGTTTTTAACATGTCTATGCAGCAGAGACTGCTTTAAGCTTCTAGGAAAGAACACCTCCATGATGGGCAGATGAAAGTAAGATTTCTTACAGTCCCAGAAGGGACTTGCTACAGTTGTAAGCTACTATGTGAGTTATACACACCCATTTGTGACCTTCTTTTACTCACTCAACAATGGTGTGAGGTGGGAATTTCTCTTACATAGCAGAAGAAATTGGGTCACAAAGAGACTAAGTAACCTGAACAAGGTTACAACGAGGCAGAATGACTCCAGACATCCTTTCCCTGTGCAATACTGGCCAAAGCATGTCACTCTTAATCCCATGTCTTGGTGAGCAAGGTGGAGGGACAGACATTGCAACCTTGCTTCTCCTGAGAGGAAGCATGTCACATTCGCTCTATTTCTTCTGCAAAGCGGTTTACCAGCCGTTCCTCCCTAGGTGCTAATAGGGAGGAAATTTCATTTCAGAAAAATATTTTCACTCAATAATCTCTTAGAAATGATATAACCTAGAGAAAGTAATCCAACTTTGGTCTCTGATTCTATTCCCGAAGGCATTCCCAAGAAGGACATCGTTTAACACCTAAACTCATTTAACAAAGGATCCGAGAAGAACAGGGACAGTGTGGGAAGAAATCTTCTTGTGATGGCATATTTGCTTCCTATATTTCTTCTGGAATCATGTTCGCTTGGCTTCCTGATTAAAAACACAGTTTTATTGCTCTCTGCACTGCCAAACCAATAAATTTACAGAAGAGAAAGCTGTATTCCACTGTACCCCTTGCAGCATCAATAAAACTGACAGCCAAATTCTGATTCCAGAATCTTTATTGCTGGGGATAATGCAGTGCAGAACATATTTTGGAGAGTGTTTACATAAAAGCTTCAGCAGAACACTTCAGAGCTGTTTATTCATGCAAATGGAGCCCAGAAGCTGAAGTCTCTCAGCAGGCAGCCTCCTCCTCCAAATGGGAGCATGGTGTGACTCCCAGAGGAGCAGTTTGGTTCAGATTTGATCAGGGAGGTTGCCTGAGCTTTTGATTGATGTAGGGAGGAGGGATGAGGAGCAAAGGTCGGACAGAAGTGCAAGAAGCTGTAGATCATGCAATGGCAGTCTCCAGTGGCTACAGAAGCAGCCCTGGTGCAAGCTGAAATTTTGCAGCGTTGATGTTGATGCTGCAGAGCAGGAAAGGCAGCAGTGGGGAGAGTGAAACTAGAGCCTCCCCTATAAAAGAGACACCAAGTGAACAGCAGGTGACTTTGTGGATATGGCTGGGTCAAGAAAGAGTCCTGGGGGCCAGGGAATGGGGAGAGAGGTGGGGTTAGGCAGGTGCACTGTGCTTTTCACAACAGATGTGTTCCCATGAGGCAACACAGAGAATGTGGTCCTGTGAATCGAAAACCATTTTCCCTACAGACTTATATGTTTTTTTTTTCAGAAATGTCACATCTTCATTTCTGATTCGTCTTTGATGGGTAGCAGTTCCTAAGCATTCAAGTATCTGTCTCCAGAATTTATTAATAAAGTTTATGATTTGTTGATAACTGTTTGAATGTACTCCCTTTGAAGGTGTCCCACTCTCTATTGGATGCATCTATGATTCTTTCCATGATGCCAGAAACTTTTAGCAATGTGAACAATGATCTTAATAACCCTGCAATTCCACTCCTGTATACATTGAGAAAAATTCTCAAATTGATACTTAAAGGAATCTTGTACAAACGTTTTCTTCACAGCATTGTGGCATCAGGGGCTTGGAGGCAACCTGGGTGTCCATTACTAGGTGAGGGAGTATGTAAAATTTGGACCGTACACACCTAACTGAATAGGAGAGCCTGTAGAAGTGAGAGTCTAAAGGCACACAGAGTAGCATGGGTGGATCTTCAAATCATGGAACTGAGAGAAACAAGAAATTACGGAGATATAATATACTGTTTGCAGAATTAAAATATATGTAAACGAAACACTAGACATTAACCTCCTCCTGCACATGAACATACACTAGGATTGTTATCTAAGGTGAGTTGAGAGGAACAGAAGTGGGAGAAGGAGATAAAATAAATAACTAAAAACAGAGAGGGACTTTGAATGGACTAGTGATAATGTTACTTGAATGAAGAAATATGACCAACTTAACCCTCTGTACTAGAGAGACAAATGGAAAATAAAAAAGGTTTATTTTGATGTATTGGCAGCCTGCTTGCTTACCTTTCTTCCTCCTCCTTCCTCCTCTCTCCCTTCTTCCCTCCTTCCTTTCCTTTCCTTCATATTTTTTTGGAGTTAGGCATACTTGTATTCCAATAGTTTTGTGAACTATTGTGGAAAGGTCTAGTCGGTATCATTTGATATAGAGCAGAAGCCAAGGAGAACTGAGGGCAAAAATGCCTAAGGCAAGGACAGTTCAGCAGCTCTGCTGTCCAGGGTCAAAAAAGGAATGAAAGCTATGCATAAAGCAAAGAAAATAAAGGAAGGACAGAGCCCTTTCTGTCTCAGCAAAAGAGGGTGATACACCACAACTATGCACCTCAGATGGGTGGTAAAGAATTAGGGTTACTGGGAAAATATGAGGTTGAACTTGCAGGGTGGAGATTCTCTCTTGAAAGGTGAGACGGCTGTGGAAAAATATGGCTGTAGAACTATGCAGCTACTTAAATTTATTATATTTTCACAGTCTTTTTTGCAGTTTTGAACTTTTGTTTTTAAATAAATTGATGAGGCAACGCAGGTGGCACCTTGCCCAAGTGCCTTTGCCACAGATGTTGAAACAAATGCTTCAATTGGATTACAAAGTCTGCGTTAGCTTCATCAGCTTGGAACTTCCATCTACTCATTAATCTCATCTGCAGGTCCCCAACCCTTCTAGTTGTGTGTTAAAGTTGAAATCGAAACAGTCTGTCCTCCTTAGGGCTGGAATTAAGTCATTCATCCTAGTACTGGGATCTTGTGATTGGTCATGACTCTGGCGAGGCTTGTGCATCGTCTAAACTGGACCCAATAATATTAATATTTGGGGGCAGGAGTGCACCTGCAGTGCCTTCCCACATGCTATGCTGGTGTTTGTTTTTGTCTCGATTTCTTATTCTGTAGCTTGCTTGGTCTCCCCAGAATCCATCTAGGAGTAGGGCTTCTCTTAGTTCCTGCCTTCTCTTTTTCTCAATCACCAGATCCTGATCCCTGTATCTCTACCCCTTAGGGAACACTGCTGCCCTAGAACAGTTCCTGGTTGCTGTCTGGTTAGGGTCAAGCTAGTATCTCTTACTGCTTAGTTCTGACTTTCAAACTGGGCCCCTTGGCACAGACGGTGACCCTGTGTTAGGACTACCCAGTGGAGTTGGGTTACTTTCTGTAGTGGATACTGTGGTGGGCTACCCAAGTCACTCTTTAGTACTGACGCACCAATTTCGCCAACTGCTAGGAAAGAGTGGGTGGCTGAAGCTCTCAGCTGAGTTGCTCTCCTAGAATTATGCTTATAGACTGATGTGGTTTGGGTCTGTGTCCACCCAAATCTCGTGTCAAATTGTAATTCCCAGTGTTGGAGGTGGGGCTTGGTTGGAGGTGATTGGATCAAGGGGGCAGATTTCCCCTTTGCTGCTGCTCTTATGAGAGTGAGTGAGTTATCATGAGATCTGGTTGTTTAAAAGTGTGTAGCACCTCTCCTCTCTCTCTTCCTCCTGCTCTGGCTACATGAAAATGTGCTTGCTTCCCTTTTGCCTTCTGCCATGATTGTAAGTTTCCTGAGGCCTCCCTAGCCATGCTTCCTGTACAGCCTGCAGAACTGTGAGCCAACTAAACCTCTTTTCTTTGTAAATTACCCAGTCTTGGGTATTTCTTTATAGCAGTGTGAGAATGGACCAATACACAGACCAAGATTGCTACCTCACCCAGGATTATGTCTTCTCTTTTGGGCAGCCCTCATCCAGTGACTGGACAATGTATAGAATAAAGGCCCAGCCCCCTTGCCTCCGGGTGGGACTACTCAGAAGGACCATCCTATCTTTAGACCTTCTTCCTATCAATTCTTACCTGGGCCCTGACTTGATCCCCTTCCCAGCCAAATCCAATTGCCAAGCACTCAGTGCAGCTGTGTCAGAGTCCAGTGACAGGAAAATTTACAGCATCCAGATAAATCTAATTACCTTAAAGAAGATAACGCCACCTTATCATGTCCTCCCTGGTGGTTTCTAATGTCTCCTGGGTACCCAGGATTGGGGCTTGGGCCCCTCTTCTTTTTTCTTTTGAGTTTAATGACACAGATGGCCTTGGAAGGAGCCAATTTGTCCAGTTTAATTTTTGTTAACTAATCCTCAAAGTAATGTTACCTGGAGAGCTTCAGTCAGGTGGGCTCTAGTGTCCCCCTTTAAGAAAATAGAAGATTTGTTTTGTATGTTATATATATTAAAAATTTTAAAAAAATCTGGAAATCCTTGCTTATAAAAACCTATCAATTGGGAGACATATGCACTATCAAATATTTCTTTGTTCTATAGATGGATTTACTGCAGGGTTGCTTTAAATAGCAAACTCCCTGGGTGAATGGAAAATAGAGTTCAATTGACACACTCTCTCTTTTTAAGGACAGGTATTGCATAAAGCAAATTATAACTGTAGGTTTCTCACCTCCCCTTGGTTTTTCAGAGCTTGAATACAAGATGTTTCCCAGGGCAGGGAAGCCTTCTGATGCCCTCAGGCTGAGGAGGTGCAGAGGGAGAGAAGAGCCAGGGAAGAAATGCAGCACCAATCTGGAGTCTCCAAAGACTGTATAGGCTCTTTGGTCACTTGCCAGAGCTTTTACTTTTCCTTCTGCCCAACACATGGCAGAAGTGAAGTGTTTTTATTCACTACCTTCTAATTGTTGTTAAAAATGCCAACTATATTATTGATTTAAGAAAGCTACAAACATCCATTCATTTTCCACAGATAATGAGTTTATTGCTAGAGCTATATCCTGAATTCTAAAACACTACAAAATCAGATGAAGGGAAAAAAGAGAGAAATCAGAGAGTTAAAGCTTTTTTGCCTAATGAACTTGTTGAAATGGGAAGAGGTTTATTTAATTATTTAAATTCAAAAGAATTTGGTGTTTTTGTATTTATTAAGATCTTGTTCTACACTTAACAGTGTCTTAAGAAGTTCTGTGTTCTTTTCAAAGCTGCTCACAATGATAATAAACTTGCTTTCATCTTAGAATAAAATAAAAATAGCTTTCCTCTTTTGAAATGATTTTAAATCTTTGAGCTGTCAAAGGCATCGGACTATTTGGTGGCTTCATTACAGGGAATGTCTTCACTTATTGGCCTATTGTCTTCAGCATTTACCTAGAGGGAGCTGAGGCTTCAGTGTTAACTGAAATATGAAGTCAGTATAGATGAACATCCAATATGTTACGCTTTACACCAGAAAACTTTGGAACAGTCTTTAAAAATACATCCAGGTGGTTTTGATTATTGTTGATTGCTCCCTGCAGTTACTGTACTAGGCTCAAGGAGTCAGAGTGAAAGGGTTGCTTACAAGTCATTTGGTCCAACCCCTCACTTTACAGAGAAAGAATCTTAGGAAAAGAGAAATGACTTTTTTGAAACCACATGGCAATTCAGAGGCAGATCTGGACTAAAGCATTGGTTTCTTCCTTCCTGGCTTGGTGCTGTTGTCCTCCAACAATCAAGTCACATCAGTACTGTTCATTTGGATGTTTGTCGATACACTCTACTACATGATCCTCTGCTTTTTGTGTGTGAAAACTTAGCCTCCTGAAAAGAGCCATCAGCTTCTTGAGGACATAGCTCAGTTTCAAAATGCAGCTCAAATCCCTGCTTCTCCATGAAGCTTTGGAGCCTACCAGAATGTTTTTTCTCTTCCTCTATCCTCCTCTACACTTAATTACTACACTATTTTTTTTCCCTTCAGTATTATTTGAGAATTTACCAGATGCCATGCGTGAACATTTCCTCTGTTCTCCCATCGAACACCCAGTCTCTGGTAGATTCTGCTTTCCACATTGTCTCTTGCTTCCAGCCCCTTTACTCCTTACACACTGCTACTCTTGGCCATTCTTTTCTCCACCTGGACTATTCTAGAGTCCCCTAATTGGTTTCCTGTCACTCCATCGTTGCTTTCCCCTGACCAATCTAGATTACTCTTCCTGACAACTCCTGCTATGTCATTCTCATGTCAAGCAGCTTCTTTGCCACCCCCTCAGCCAACCTATCTACAAATGTCTCAGCCTGGCATTCAAGGCTCAATCTTTATTCACCAGTTGTATCACCCACTCTTGCCCTCATGTAACCAATACACTAGACTTGCACCGTCTCATATGGCAGCCATTAGCCATATGTGGCCACTGGGCAGTTGAAATATAGGCCAGTCTGAATTGAGATGAGCTGTAAGTATAAAATGCATACCAGGTTTTGAAGACTTGGTAAGAAAAAAGAATGTAAAATATCTCAGTAATTTTTGTATTGATAACATATTGAAATGAGAATATTTTATACATACTAGACTAAATTAAATGTTTTATTCAAGTTAATTTCACATTTTGAAAACTTTTTAAATGTGGGCACTAGAAAATTGAAAATTACTCGTGTGACTCACATTATGTTTCTACTGAACAGCACCTCCCTAGGCAAATCAAACTATTTGTACTTCCTGAACTTGACTCACACTTTCCTGATGTCATTCATGGTTCCTACTGTTTGGCACATCTCCCTTCTCTGCTGGTCAAATTCTACCCTGGATTAAAGGTCCATCTCAGAATGCAAATCAAAACCACAATGAGATACCATCTCATACCAGTTAGAATGGCGATCATTAAAAAGTCAGGAAACAACAGATGCTGGAGAGGATGTGGAGAAATAGGAACACTTTTACACTGTTGGTGGGACTGTGAACTAGTTCAACCATTGTGGAAGTCAGTGTGGCGATTCCTCAGGGATCTAGAACTAGAAATACCATTTGAGCCAGCCATCCCATTACTGGGTATATACCCAAAGGATTATAAAACATGCTGCTATAAAGACACATGCACACGTGTATTTATTGCGGCACTATTCACAATAGCAAAGACTTGGAACCAAGCCAAATGTCCAACAATGATAGACTGGATTAAGAAAATGTGGCACATATACACCATGGAATACTATGCAGCCATAAAAAATGATGAGTTCATGTCCTTTGTAGGGACATGGATAAAGCTGGAAAGCATCATTCTCAGCAAACTATCACAAGGACAAAAAACCAAACACTGCATGTTCTCGCTCATAGGTGGGAATTGAACAATGAGAACACATGGACACAGGAAGGGGAACATCACACACTGGGGCCTGTTGTGGGGTGGGGGGAGTGGGGAGGGATAGCATTAGGAGATATACCTAATGTTAAATGACGAGTTAATGGGCACAGCACACCAACATGGCACATGTATACATATGTAACAAACCTGCATGTTGTGTACATGTACCCTAAAACTTAAAGTATAATTAAAAAAAAAGGTCCGACAATTTGAGAAAGATGGCCGAATAGGAACAGCTCCAGTCTACAGCTCCCAGCGTGAGCAACGCAGAAGATGGGTGATTTCTGCATTTCCATCTGAGGTACCAGGTTCATCTCACTAGGGAGTGCCAGACAGTGGGCGCAGGTCAGTGGGTGCGTGCACCATGCGCGAGCTGAAGCAGGGCGAGGCATCACCTCACTCGGGAAGCGCGAGGGGTCAGGGAGTTCCCTTTCCTAGTCAAAGAAAGGGGTGACAGATGGCACCTGGAAAATCGGGTCACTCCCACCCGAATACTGCTCTTTTCCAATGGGCTTAAAAAACGGTGCACGAGGAGATTATATCCCGCACCTGGCTCGGAGGGTCTTACGCCCATGGAGTCTCACTTGTTGCTAGCACAGCAGTCTGAGATCAAACTGCAAGGTGGCAGCGAGGCTGGGGGAGGGGCGCCTGCCATTGCCCAGGCTTGCTTAGGTAAACAAAGCAGCCAGGAAGCTCGAACTGGGTGGAGCCCACCACAGCTCAAGAAGGCCTGCCTGCCTCTGTAGGCTCCACCTCTGGGGGCAGGGCACAGACAAACAAAAAGACAGCAGTAACCTCTGCAGACTTAAATGTCCCTGTCTGACAGCTTTGAAGAGAGCAGTGGTTCTCACAGCACGCAGCTGGAGATCTGAGAACAGGCAGACTGCCTCCTCAAGTGGGTCCCTGACCCCTGACCCCTGAGCAGCCTAACTGGGAGGCACCCCCCAGTAGGGGCAGACTGACACCTCACATGGCCGGGTACTCCAACAGACCTGCAGCTGAGGGTCCTGTCTGTTAGAAGGAAAACTAACAAACAGAAAGGACATCCACACCAAAAACCCATCTGTACATCACCATCATCAAAGACCAAAAGTAGATAAAACCACAAAGATGGGGAAAAAACAGAGCAGAAAAACTGGAAACTCAAAAAAGCAGAGTGCCTCTCCTCCTCCAAAGGAACGCAGTTTCTCACCAGCAACGGAACAAAGCTGACAGAGAATGACTTTGACGAGCTGAGAGAAGAAGGCTTCAGACAATCAAATTACTCCGAGCTACGGGAGGACATTCAAACCAAAGGCAAAGAAGTTGAAAACTTTGAAAAAAATTTAGAAGAATGTATAACTAGAATAACCGATACAGAGAAGTGCTTAAAAGAGCTGATGGAGCTGAAAACCAAGGCTCGAGAACTACATGAAGAATGCAGAAGCCTCAGGAGCTGATGCGATCAACTGGAAGAAAGGGTATCAGCGATGGAAGATGAAATGAATGAAATGAAGTGAGAAGGGAAGTTTAGAGAAAAAAGAATAAAAAGAAACGAGCAAAGCCTCCAAGAAATATGGGACTATGTGAAAAGACCAAATCTACGTCTGATTGGTGTACCTGAAAGTGACGGGGAGAATGGAACCAAGTTGGAAAACACTCTGCAGGTTATTATCCAGGAGAACTTCCCCAGTCGAGCAAGGCAGGCCAACATTCAGATTCAGGAAATACAGAGAATGCCACAAAGATACTCCTCGAGAAGAGCAACTCCAAGACACATAATTGTCAGATTCACCAAAGTTGAAATGAAAGAAAAAATGTTAAGGACAGCCAGAGAGAAAGGTCAGGTTACCCTCAAAGGGAAGCCCATCAGACTAACAGCAGATCTCTCGGCAGAAACTCTACAAGCCAGAAGAGAGTGGGGGCCAATATTCCACATTCTTAAAGAAAAGAATTTTCAACCCAGAATTTCATATCCAGCCAAACTAAGCTTCTTAAGTGAAGGAGAAATAAAATACTTTACAGACAAGCAAATGCTGAGAGATTTTGTCACCACCAGGCCTGCCCTAAAAGAGCTCCTGAAGGAAGCGCTAAACATGGAAAGGAACAACCGGTACCAGCCGCTGCAAAATCATGCCAAAATGTAAAGACCATCGAGACTAGGAAGAAACTGCATCAACTGAGGAGCAAAATAACCAGCTAACATCATAATGACAGGATCAAATTCACACATAACAATATTAACTTTAAATGTAAATGGACTAAATGCTCCAATTAAAAGACACAGACTGGCAAATTGGATAAAGAGTCAAGACCCATCAGTGTGCTGTATTCAGGAAACCCATGTCACGTGCAGAGACACACATAGGTTCAAAATAAATGGATGGAGGAAGATCTACCAAGCCAATGGAAAACAAAAAAAGGCAGGGGTTGCCATCCTAGTCTCTGATAAAACAGACTTTAAACCAACAAAGATCAAAAGAGACAAAAAAGGCCATTACATAATGGTAAAGGGATCAATTCAACAAGAAGAGCTAACTATCCTAAATATATATGGACCCAATACAGGAGCACCCAGATTCATAAAGCAAGTCCTGAGTGACCTACAAAGAGACTTAGACTCCCACACATTAATAATGGGAGACTTTAACACCCCACTGTCAACATTAGACAGATCAATGAGACAGAAAGTCAGCAAGGATGCCCAGGAATTGAACTCAGCTCTGCACCAAGCGGACCTAATAGACATCTACAGAACTCTCCACCCCAAATCAACAGAATATACATTTTTTTCAGCACCACACCACACCTATTCCAAAATTGACCACATACTTGGAAGTAAAGCTCTCCTCAGCAAATGTAAAAGAACAGAAATTATAACAAACTATCTCTCAGACCGCAGTGCAATCAAACTAGAACTCAGGATTAAGAATCTCACTCAAAACCGCTCAACTACATGGAAACTGAACAACCTGCTCCTGAATGACTACTGGGTACATAACAAAATGAAGGCAGAAATAAAGATGTTCTTTGAAACCAACGAGAACAAAGACACAACATACCAGAATCTCTGGGACGCATTCAAAGCAGTGTGTAGAGGGAAATTTTTAGCACTAAATGCCCACAAGAGACAGCAGGAAAGATCCAAAATTGACACCCTAACATCACAATTAAAAGAACTAGAAAAGCAAGAGCAAACACATTCAAAAGCTAGCAGAAGGCAAGAAATAACTAAAATCAGAGCAGAACTGAAGGACATAGAGACACAAAAAACCCTTCAAAAAATTAATGAATCCAGGAGCTGGTTTTTTGAAAGGATCAACAAAATTGATAAACTGCTAGCAAGACTAATAAAGAAAAAAAGAGAGAAGAATCCAATAGATGCAATAAAAAATGATAAAGGGGATATCACCACCGATCCCACAGAAATACAAACTACCATCAGAGAATACTACAAACACCTCTATGCAAATAAACTAGAAAATCTAGAAGAAATGGATAAATTCCTTGACACATACACTTTTCCAAGACTAAACCAGGAAGAAGCTGAATCTCTGAATAGACCAATAACAGGATCTGAAATTGTGGCAATAATCAATAGCTTACCAACCAAAAAGAGTCCAGGACCAGATGGATTCACAGCCGAATTCTACCAGAGGTACAAGGAGGAACTGGTACCATTCCTTCTGAAACTATTCCAATCAATAGAAAAAGAGGGAATCCTCCCTAACTCATTTTATGAGGCCAGCATCATCCTGATACCAAAGCTGGGCAGAGACACAACCAAAAGAGAGAATTTTAGACCAATATCCTTGATGAACATTGATACAAAAATCCTCAATAAAATGCTGGCAAACCGAATCCAGCAGCACATCAAAAAGCTTATCCACCATGATCAAGTGGGCTTCATCCCTGGGATGCAAGGCTGGTTCAACACATGCAAATCAATAAATGTAATCCAGCATATAAACAGAACCAAAGACAAAAACCACATGATTATCTCAATAGATGCAGAAAAGGACTTTGACAAAATTCAACAACCCTTCATGCTAAAAACTCTCAATAAATTAGGTATTGATGGGACGTATCTCAAAATAATAAGAGCTATCTATGACAAACCCACAGCCAATATCATACTGAATGGGCAAAAACTGGAAGCATTCCCTTTGAATACTGGCACAAGACAGGGATGCCCTCTCTCACCACTCCTATTCAACATAGTGGTGGAAGTTCTGGCCAGGGCAATTAGGCAGGAGAAGGAAATAAAGGGTATTCAATTAGGAAAAGAGGAAGTCAAATTGTCCCTGTTTGCAGACGACGTGATTGTATATCTAGAAAACCCCATTGTCTCAGGCCAAAATCTCCTTAAGCTGATAAGCAACTTCAGCAAAGTCTCAGGATACAAAATCAACGTACAAAAATCACAAGCATTCTTATACACCAACAACAGACAAACAGAGAGCCAAATCATGAGTGAACTCCCATTCACAATTGCTTCAAAGAGAATAAAATACCTAGGAATCCAACTTACAAGGGATGTGAAGGACCTCTTCAAGGAGAACTACAAACCACTGCTCAAGGAAATAAAAGAGGATACAAACAAATGGAAGAACATTCCATGCTCATGGGTAGGAAGAATCAATATCGTGAAAATGGCCATACTGCCCAAGGTAATTTACAGATTCAATGCCATCCCCATCAAGCTACCAATGACTTTCTTCACAGAATTGGAAAAAACTACTTTAAAGTTCATATGGAACCAAAAAAGAGCCTGCATCGCCAAGTCAATCCTAAGCCAAAAGAACAAAGCTGGAGGCATCACACTACCTGACTTCAAACTATACTACAAGGCTACAGTAACCAAAACAGCATGGTACTGGTACCAAAACAGAGATATAGATCAATGGAACAGAACTGAGCCCTCAGAAATAACACCGCATATCTACAACTATCTGATCTTTGACAAACCTGACAAAAACAAGAAATGGGGAAAGGATTCCCTATTTAATAAATGGTGCTGGGAAAACTGGCTAGCCATATGTAGAAAGCTGAAACTGGATCCCTTCCTTACACCTTATACAAAAATCAATTCAAGATGGATTAAAGACTTAAACGTTAGACCTAAAACCATAAAAACCCTAGAAGAAAACCCAGGCATTACCATTCAGGACATAGGCATGGGCAAGGACTTCATGTCTAAAACACCAAAAGCAATGGCAACAAAAGCCAAAATTGACAAATGGGATCCAATTAAACTAAAGAGCTTCTGCACAGCAAAAGAAACTACCATCAGAGGGAACAGGCAACCTACAAAATGGGAGAAAATTTTCACAACCTACTCATCTGACAAAGGGCTAATATCCACAATCTACAATGAACTCAAACAAATTTACAAGAAAAAAACAAACAACCCCATCAAAAAGTGGGCGAAGGACATGAACAGACACTTCTCAAAAGAAGACATTTATGCAGCCAAAAAACACATGAAAAAGTGCTCACCATCACTGGCCATCAGAGAAATGCAAATCAAAACCACAATGAGATACCATCTCACACCAGTTAGAATGGCGATCATTAAAAAGTCAGGAAACGACAGATGCTGGAGAGGATGTGGAGAAATAGGAACACTTTTACACTGTTGGTGGGACTGTAAACTAGTTCAACCATTGTGGAAGTCAGTGTGGCGATTCCTCAGGGATCTAGAATTAGAAATACCATTTGACCTAGCCATCCCATTACTGGGTATATACCCAAAGGACTATAAATCATGCCGCTATAAAGACACATGCACACATATGTTTATTGTGGCATTATTCACAATAGCAAAGACTTGGAACCAAGCCAAATGTCCAACAATGATAGACTGGATTAAGAAAATGTGGCATATATACAACATGGAATACCATACAGCCATAAAAAATAATGAGTTCACGTCCTTTGTAGGGACATGGATGAAATTGGAAATCATCATTCTCAGTAAACTATCGCAAGAACAAAAAACCAAACACCGCATATTCTCACTCATAGGTGGGAATTGAACAGTGAGAACACATGGACACAGGAAGGGGAACATCACACTCTGGGGACTGTTGTGGGGTGGGGGGAGGGGGGAGGGATAGCGTTGGGAGATATACCTAATGCTAGATGACGAGTTAGTGGGTGCAGCGCACCAGCATGGCACATGTATACATATGTAACTAACCTGCATGTTGTGCACATGTACCCTAAAACTTAAAGTATAATAATAATAAATAAATAAAAAATTAAAAATTAAAAGAAAAAAAAAAGGTCCGTCTCAGGTACTACATACTCTATGGAAAGGGTTTTCATCACCAGTGGCACTTGCTTTCTCTCTTGAAGTCCCATAGTGTGGTAGTTAAGAGCGCACACTCTGGAGCCAGCCTGGGTTCAAATCAAAATTTCATTTCACATCTATAAAGTGTGTATAATCTAAAAAATCTATGTTTACATAATACTAATATAGCATGCAGTACAATATGAAGACTCAATAAGTATTTTTATTAATAATTCACAGCTGCTTACTGTGAAAGATTTAGGCCACCTAGGCTACATTTTATGACATCTCTATTTCCTTGGCAGGGGGTAGGGGTGGATAGGTTCCATACTTAGGAATTGATTCTTCTGTTTGTCATGGGTCAGTCACTTTTAAGTCTATAGCATGCCTATGGCTTATTCCTAAATCTTGACTTTCCTCTGATTAGGACAACTGAGAGGGAGAATAAATACTCTCAATTGGTATCTTTCTTTTGGGCTCAGATATCTCTTTTAGGACTCTTCTGATAGCCTTTTTAAGAAGTGATAAAGAACAACCTTCAATTAAATATTTCAACTCTAGAGAGCCACTCTGCAGATTTTGCATTTGAGCATTGATTGTTTTAATGATCAGTCAGTTGAAACTTTCCCATTGGAAAATGCAATTTGAGTGACTCTCCTCTAAGACAGCCATTCCGCAGCACCCAAGATGGTGTGAGGAGTTTATGTCTTATCATGTGAACCAAGATGTTAAGAAGATTCCTGGATAATGGATTTTTCATGTCATTTGTGCAACAAGTAAATTAAAAATATAAAGCCTCAGAGGAAAATGGTAAGTATATCTAAGCCCTTACTCAAAACCCATTTAACATTTTCTAAAGAAACAAAGCAAAATAACCCAATCTCTATCTCCTTAAACTAGAATTTGTCTAGCAATAATATAACATGACAAGAATAACTCTGGTAAATAAAACTACATGTTGGGTTCTCCCTGGGGAATGTCTGCCTCACCTGTAATGATTTCTTGAAAATATTTTTCAGAAGCTGAGAATATTATGTTGCCAAGGCAGTGACATTGCAGATATGCTTCAGGAAGCTCTTTCATTAAAAGCGCCTCTTTCCCAACACTTAAAAACTTTTTTTAAAGTAACTGTGTAAAAGTTGGTTGCAACTGATATACTACATACTTTTATTTATTATTATTTTTTCTTTTACTTTTTTTTTTCTTTTTATGAGGCAGTCTCGCTCTGTTGCAGAGGCTGGAGGGCAGTGGTGCGATCTCGGTTCACTGCAACCTCTGTCTCCTGGTTCAAGGGATTCTCCTGCCTCAGCCTCCCAAGTAGCTGGGACTACAGGCAAGCACCACCATGCCTGGCTAATTTTTTGGTATTTTTTAGTAGAGACAAGGTTTCACCATGTTGGCCAGGCTGGTCTCAAACTCCTGACCTCAAGTGATCCACCTACCTCAGCCTCCAGAAGTGCTGGGATTACAGGCGTGAGCCACTGTGCCTGAGAATGGGTTTGAAGTGCCTGAAATTACTGGCCTGTGTGCCTTCACTTTTTACTAACTTATCCCCTCTGGTAGCAACCATTATGAGGTTGCCTGTATCAAAAATGCGCCCTTCTCTGGAAGTACCTCAGAACTCGCCACATTATGGTGGAAGAATCTTGCTGACTGAGCAGATCGATTCTATGCTGGGTGTGCTTGGGTCAGTCAGATTCTCTTTTTGGGAATTGGAAATTTATAAAAGAGGGACAGAGAGGAGTCGTTTTTGGAACCGACTCCTTGTAAATCTAGGGGAAAGCTCCCTGAGCAGCTTTTGCTAAGATGCCAGATATTCTCCTTACATCTTCACAGCATACTTCTACCTTCTTATCCTTCTATTAAGTTAATCTCTTATGATTAAAATGGTCAGAATTGATTTCTGGTGCTTGCAAATGAAAAAAGACTTACCCAGAGCCCCACCCAAGGTTTCCAGGTTGAAGTAATCCACTATTCTATGGACAGTCCATAACACAGGGCATATGTTGTTGCTCAGTGAGAGGACCGAAGGCTTTGAATAGCGATTCCTCAGTGGTCTCTCTAAGCTGGCCAGAACTGAGCTTAGGGGATAACCATGCTAGTCCAGCTGCCTCTATAGAGAATGAGCCTTAAAACACTCAGAGGAAGTTCAAATGACACTTCCTCTGAGGCCTCTTTGTTACTCTGGCTAGAAGAGATGATTCCCTGCTCTGAACTCCTATCTTGTTTATAACCTTTATCTAGCATTTATCACATTCTCCATTTCCCTGTAGTCATTTGAGAAGAGGATACCTCTTCTACATCTGGAAGACTATAAGCTCCTGGAGGGCAGAGATGGTATCTTTGGATCCTGCATGCTATCTTGTACATTTCAGTACGTATTTCCTGAGTGGCCAACAAGTCTCACCTGAAGGCTTTCTGTGTGTCCAGTCTGAGGCTTAGGGATGGGGAAAGGGGGGAGGAAAAGATCCAGAATGGGCTTGGATGCTTTAGCTGGGCAGACAGGACCAAAAACAGCCAATAATCAGGTATTAGGAGGTATGTGTCAGGGGCAGCTAAGTTTGGGCTGAAAAGGCCAGAAATTAGACTCAAGGCAATAATGAGCTCTGCTGTTTTGGGATTCTAACTTATTCACTTTCCAGGTTGAGAAGGCCTAGTGGGTCATTTTCTCTAATTAACACCTCCCAGGAACAAAACTGTTCCATCAGGCTTGCCCCTTGGATGATAGATATTTACTGTTCAACCTCACATATGGGCTGTGGGTTTTTTAGTCTTCTCTGCATCATCAGATTATTACAATAATACCTTGTAGCTATGTGAAAACTTTATTTCCATACTTTTGGCTTTTTTTGGTCTCATTTATCTTCACTATATCTGGTCCCACTCAGGGACAGGAATCATCATGTCCCTTTTACAGACAGCAAAGAGATTTCATCATTGAGCCAATACCTACAGTGCAAATTAGAAAAAGGGGACCTGGTGCTAGAACCCAGTTCTGCCCAGTCTGTCCTGTTGATCAGTTTGAATAATTTGGGGACTGCATTGGACCCTACCCTGTCACACCACAGCATCCTCACCTCTGTGGGCTCAGAAATGCTGTCTGCTGCTACTCATGAGGTGCAATTAGGAACCCAGGAGTAGCGTAACCTCATTACATCAGAGTCAAGGACAAGTGTAACAGCAGCAAGGAATTAAATCTTCATTCTGAAAGTTGAGTTTTGTTTATAAATTGTACTTTTCTGAATTTGGCTGAGGTGGCATTAAGGAACTGAGGTTCAGGGCCACATAGAGAGCAGCTGTGAGTGGTTTGCCAGGAGGTGGTGTCATCTTCCAGTGAGGCAGAAGCTGGGAGTACATGAGGACCCTGTGGAGAAGCAGCTAGAAGCTGCCCACCAAGTCAGAAAGCCCACCTGCCTGGTGGGAGGGATTATTTTAATTCCTTTCATAAGAAAAAAAGCTGGGTGGGAATTTGCTAAAATCTGCATTAAATATGATTTTTCTGCAGCCAAGGGGAGCTGCTGGAACAAAGCACATATGCTCCCATGGAGCCAGCCCTCTCAGCTGTGGAAGTGAGCAGCAGGGCTTCTCTTCACCACTGTGACTCAACTGGCTTTAAAACCTCAAGTATAAGATCAGAATTACACATGGCCAAGACAACATTTGGTGTAGCCACTCTGGGAGATTATATTTTGGAAAGAGACCTTTGTTGCCTCATTTCAAGACATGAAAAGAAGCCAACTGAGGGGCTTAGGAAGAAGATAGAGGTGGGCAAAAGAGCAGAACTGGAGCCCTGAATTAATCTGATTTACTGCTTTTGAAATTAAAAAAAAAAAAAAAAAAGAAGAAAAACCCAAGGAATTACTACTCTCCAAGGAGGGAGCTGGGTCCAATGCCAAAGAGATCTGTGTGTGAACCTTTTGGCTCTACACTTGCGTTGAGATTTTGGGAACTCTGTTGCTTGTTTTTTAGTGTCTTGCTAGGGGCTATCATTCACTTTCCCCAGCAGAGTGATTTTTAAACAAATAAAATCTAGTCCTTCCTGAGCTTCTCCCGAGGAGTCTGTGTATCAGCAAGGTCAGGTTTAAGAGTTGCCTTGAGGCATGGCTGGGAGAGCTGAGTCAGAACTAAGGTTCCAGATTAACCTCAACCTTGGGCCTTTGTTTCTTTAGGGGTGGTTGTGGTGGTGGTGAGGGTAGGCTAGGGAGGTGGGACATAAACTTTCTTAATTCTGAGATTTTTTGGCTGGCCCAGATTTAGGAAAGCTGAGGGTAGGGCCAAGCTGTCTTGCTTGCAAGAGTGTGGTAGTCTTCTTTCTGTCTGTGGATTCTTTCCTGGGGGCTGTTACCTTGTGTGCTACACCAGGAGGCCATCTGTCTCAATTCAGGCTGCCTTGGTGGTTTTTGTTTGCTTTCAGTTTGTTTTTATTAAGGAATCTTGGGCTGGGGATTGATTCTTCCCTACTGAGTCTAAAAAAATAAAATGAAAACAATCTAGATGGAATATACTGATATAGGTAAGCTTCAGGTCTTGCTTCCCTGAAGTTGATATGTCTGCTATTTCCCATTCAAATGATAGACTGGAAGCCTACAAATTCTGTTATAGGACCTGGATGCTGACATAACACAAATAACTCCCTTCAGAACCTATAGCATTTTCTCACTTCCCCATTTTCTAAAACAGAGATTTAAAAAATGACATTTAGCTGTAATACATGCTAGCTGATGTAGACATGCTTCTTTTCTGCATGAGTTAATTGTTCCTATTCAGCTATCTCAGTTTAATCATGAAACTCAGTAACACTTTAATTATACTACATGTGAAATTCTGGGAACCCTGAGTTGAATGACATTTCTTCAGGTGGTTCTTACTCTAGCACAATGATTCAAAACCAAGGGGTGGGGAGGAATTTCCCCCTGCCCCCTCCGGGGGTCATTTGCCAAATGTCTAGAGATACTTTTGGTTGTCACAATTTGGGAAGGCAGCGCTCCTGGCCAGGGATGCTGGAAAACATTCTACAAGGTTCAAAACAGCTCCCATAACAAAGAATTATCTGGCCCCAATTGTCAATTGTCAATATTGCTAAGATTTAGAAACCTGCTCTGGCAGAAGAGGCACATGTTGAACAAATGGCTGCATTATGGTGAGATATGTACAAAAATATATGTAAGCCCAGGATATTGAAGTGAGTATGTGGATGGGGAAGATGGAGGTGGAGTGGGGGTGGGGCAGTGGGCATCAGGGAAGGCTTCATGGGGAAGTGACTCCTAATCATGGTTTTTACTTAATGCCTTTGCAACCAATCATCAAATAATGGCTTTAATTGAAAGCTTATTAGTCAATAACTACATATTGGGATTTTTTTTTCTTTTTGCACAACGTCTGAGTAATCAAAGCTCTCTAATAACTTTATGTCTTCTCTTAAGAAATATTTCCCCCCCAGCCTGGGAAGAATTTATTCAACCTTCTTCCTTGCTTCTCAGCAACGAATCTCTAGTTGATTTTAACCTGTGGTTCTTCCACCAGGACCCCTCTTTCCTTCTTCACAGTTCAGCTTCTTAACACTTGGCCCATGAAGCCTTCCCTTGGAGACTTCAGTTCATAGTGATTAATTCATTCTGTGAATTCCTTAGAGCCTTGTTGTCTTTCTCTCTACACCTATACCAGTCTCTTGGGGGTGTGTTTCCACTTACATTGTGGGCTTCTCAAAGACACTACGGCACTGAACACTGTTTTGGACCCTGATTTACACTGCAAGTGAGAGGAAGAGGAAGACACTCAAGAAAGGTGTCAGGAAAGAGTAATGCTGGATCGATATGAACATTGCATTAGGTTGGTGCAAAAGTAATCATGGTTTTTGCCATTGAAAGTAATGGCAATTACTTTTGTACCAAGCCAATATCTTGCCAAGGCCTCTGGATTATGTCTTCAACAAAATCTAAAAGTTTAATTTCTGTTCAGTAGGTACAACATGCAAAAAATAAATTGCCATAATTATTATTAGCATTTTCTTACTAACAGATTTTTCAAAAGCTGTTTCCATATCAAGCAGATCAACCTTTCTGTTGTCATAGAGACAAAGATCTTTATATAGCCATGGGCAAGGTGAGATTTTTTTCTCCTCTTTCCAGTTGCCTAGAACTAATAAGAAAGGAAAGGAAATTTTTTAAATCAGTTTTTTCTTTCATTTTTTCCCCAATTAAAGTGAGTGAAATGTGGGAGGTTATATTTTGTATCACATTTTAGATTTTAAATACCTATGTTTTTCATAAAATATGAAAGGGGAGGAAAAATTTGAACGATGCCATTTTCAAAATTTGTAAGCAGCAGGCTTGTCAGTGATAAGCAGCTATAATCCATGTACCTTGTTTTTTTTCTTCTTCTTAAACCAAATAGTGAACTTTGGATGGAGGTCTTAGAAGGTAAGGTTACTAGGACCCCAAATGACTAAAGCATAAATTAACATCTATTGAGGGACTAATGCTGAATCCTAAGGTGCTCTGCAGTACTTGCCTCCTCCAACCCTGAGAACTTGGAGTGCTCCCCTTCTCTCTGCAGAGGCAAAGTCTATGATAATGTAGTGCAAGACCACATCCTCTCCTCCTGGAAGACTTACCTCATAATTTAAGCTTTCTTTTTTTTTTTTTTTATGAACTGATAACTTGCCATCATAGCAGTTTTCTGTCTCATAATTACTGTTTATCATTTCATGCATTCATCATCAAGAAAAGAGGATTTCAGTATGAACCTGTCCACTTTTCCTGTCCTTTGTCTTAATATTGAGTTATTCCTTTACCCATAGGTCTTCTTACCTCAGGACTCAAAACTTCTTATTCTTTCTAAGGTTAATCTTTCCCCCATGTTGTTAGACTGATGCTCTCCTCCTACCCCCATTGAGATCTGACAATTAACATTCCTCCCTCATTCCCTGTATCTTCAGTCTGTCCTCCATGGATTCCTTCCTGCAGTCCTCTTTGAGGAAAAAAAAAACTTCCCTCAATTCTGCTTATTTTCCGTCTGCCTCTGGGTTTAGGATTTTGATTTTATGCCTTTTTGCAATAAATAGGTGTTATGCCGGATTTTGGCGGGGGGGGGGGGGGGTGGGGAAGGGAAGTGTATGGCACAAGGACTTTTAAAATATACTTTTTCCTCTCTAAGATGATACCTCCCTGGAGAGCTGTGCCTTGGTTCTCAAACTTTAGTATGCATCAGAATCACCTGAGGAGCTTGTTAATCTGTAGCCTGCTGGACCCCACCCCTGGAGTTTCTGATTCAGTAGGTTGGGGCTGAGGCCTGAGAATATGCAGTCTAACATTTCCCAGGTGATGTTCATACTGCTGAGCTAAGACCATACTTTGAGAAATATTGCCTTGAAGTAACAACCCTCCCTTTGCTTAACATGCACCTCTCTTGTCATATGGATGTTGGTGTCACTATGTTGTGCCAAAAGTTACCCTGTTTTGGCCTGCATAGGCTCAACCTCCACAGAGTGACAAGGGCATCTCTTGAAAGATGAGGGCATCTCTCAACCATCTGGTGCTCAGGAAATGAAACCTTGTGAGGGTCACCACGCTTGGCTAAGGAGGCTAAATGACTGGCAGAGGATGTTCCTGGTGGTGGATGCTCAGGGTCTCTACCCCCAAACCTAGTCAGCCCTATCAGATATTTTTGAGGGGTTCTAGGATTCTTGAAACCCTGCTGAAAGGCAGCAGGAGAAAGTGGGATTTTTAAAAAAAATTTACTTCAGCCTTTTCCAGGGAAGGGGGTCCCCTCCTGAGAACAGCACGTGGCAGCAGGAGCCCTTGAGAGATCTTACTGAAAAGCTGAATTGAAAAGGAACTGGGACTTGGCCCACCCATTCATGCCCCCAGTGGGAGTTCTTTGCTCAGTACTAATTTTGGAGAAACTGAGTGTGTGTGTGTGTGTGTGTGTGTTTTATTAAGAAAGCAGTAGTTTTTCTTACAAAGATGAGCAAATTTAAAAAGATAATTAATAGATAAAATCCTGAATTGCTATTCAATAGCTGTGAGACCTTGAGCAAGTTATTCCTTCTCCTTGGATCTCAGTTTCTTCTAATCTGTATGATAAGTAGCAGGCAAGTGAGAAAGTCTGTTAGTAGTACAGTCATTCTTAAGAGCAACATGGCATGCTTGTCAGGGACGGACCAGGGCTGGAACTTGGAAGGCCTGTTGCATGGATTTGTGGATTGATTGAAACAAATTCTATCAGCATGGTCCATTCCTTCAGGGAATGGACCTGACAAGATAATTAATGGAAACTAATTAATATAAACCCCTCAACCCTTTAACTGTATCTCTCAACCACAATTATTCCCAGAAGGCCTTTAACTTTTCCACATGAAGAAGCCTGGCCTGGCAGGGAGGGTGAGTCTCCTCTATGAAACAGCCCGTGACAGACTGTTGGGGGCTCAAAGGAAATGGCAGAGGGGGTGGTCTCCTTCCTTCCCCAGCACAGAATTCCATCATCTCTAATTGTTAGGACATGATCAAGACCTCTACCAGCCTTTTAGATACTCTTGTCTTTTGTCTTTTTTTCCCTTTCTTTTCTTTCCTTTTCTCTTTTCACAGCTGTATTGAGATGTAAATCCTACACTATAGAATTTAAAGTGGACAATGCAATTGTTTTTAATATGTTCACACGCAACTGTCTCTACAATCTAATTTTACAAAAATTTCACCACCCCCCCGCCCCAAGCCCATACCCACTGATTAGTAGTCACCTACTGTCCCTCCCATCCGCTTCCCCAGCCCTGGTAACTACTAATCTACTTTCAGTTTATCTGGACATTTCATGTAAATAGTATTATAAAATATGTGGTACTTTTTTTTCTAAATAGGAGAAAGGAGACCTGATGACACCCTGATAGTCTAGTACTAAAGGCTCCCCTTCTCCTCTTTACCCCATTACTCCAGAAACAACGCCCTCCCCCAGGTTGCTGATGTATACAATCCCTCAATCAGGCCTGTGAGTGTGGAGGTGGTGCGCGGGTGCCAGCGGCAGGGCACAGGGCCTTTGGTCCATTAGACCATGAGACTGAAGTTCAAGCACATCTGGGCACGGTGGAGCAGCGGCTTGTGTGCTCACTAAGATGCCCGTGTGACTGCCAGCAGTCAGTTGACAGATTAGGTCACCCTTGGCCATAGGGCCTGAGCACTCCATTCCTAGAGGACCACAGGGTGCCAGAGCTCACATTCACCTTCCCTGACGTGGCTGGCCCAAGGCTCAAAGGCCTGTAAGACTTCTCTGGCAGAGACCCCTGCCAGAGGAGTTGAGGAGCGTCACACCCATATTCCCTTCAAGCAGCGGCAGAGAGCAGGCCTTCCCCTGAGGTTCCTGAATAGTTCTACTCCCCCGGCCACAGCCCCAACCAGGGGTAAAGAATGGGGCTGGGGCTCTCAGAGGCATGGGGTGGTAAAAACAACCACCAAGTTTTGGGTTCTCATCACCCTAAAACGTGGGGGAAATTTGATAGGGCAAAGCGTTTTTCTCCAAGCTTCCAGGGAAAGGGGGCCAAAGGAGTAGGGAGGGAAGGTGGCATAGAGCGATGGAGGGTCCTGCATCAAGGGCGCCGCGACGGGAGCGCTGTGTACTCACAGTCGAGTGAGACCGGCCGTGGGGCCGGGGCAGCGCAGGGCGCCGTCGGGCACGCAGTTGCAGGGCTCAGGGCAGAGCGCCTCGCGCAGCGCTCGTGGCAGCGGCGGCTGCAGCAGCAGCAGCAGCTTCAGCAGCTGCAGCGCCGAGAACCGCTGCTTCATGGCCGGCGAACTGGGCTTCTGCGGCTTGCCAGTGTCTTGGACGGCCTCTGAGTGCGGCCCGCACCCCTCTCCCCGCCCCTTGGCTGCCCTTCCACACACCCTTCCCTGCCGGCCCGCCCCTGCCCTCCCCCTCTTACCGCGCACCCCGCTGAGTCTGCTCTGCCTTGACCTGCGACAGTGCCCAGTGACCCAATAACCTCCTTCCTGCTACTTTCCCCTGTCTTGTCCCCTACCATCTGCAAATGGCCCTAGCTATAGGAGGTAAAGAGATTTAATGGCAAATGTTTTGGATTAGAGGTGGGGAGTTCTGAATTGAGTGAGTTGTGACGCTTCCCGGAACCCCTTTTATTTCATTTGTGAAAGGGTCCGATGGATACTCGCTATACCCACATCAGAAGGCGTAAGAGTGCCTGGCTCAGACATTTTTCCTCTCTTTTATCCTCAACCCCTAATCCTTTCCCCTTCTCTTTCACCAAATCCCTCCACTCTACAAGTAATCTTTGCCCATCCTCCCAACTACCCCAGTAATTTCTCTTGGTGGTAAATGCTTTCTTATTTATGGTATAGCTATTTGGCTTGGTCCTGTATCTCTTCTATAGATTGGGAGGTCCTTGAGAGCAAAATCCAATTCAGATTTATTTTTGTATTCCTTCTGGCTTCTACATGGTAAGTCCTCAGTAAAGATTTGTTGAATGAATGAATGAAACTGCCTAATACTGGTAGCAGCTGCCCCATAGAAGGCCCAGGATAGGCTAGACCTTGTAACAGGTGCTCTGCCTCACATCATGTTTAAGCTCCACATTGAACTAGCAGGGTGTTTGCGATGAGAAAAATGTCCCAAGAGGTATGTGGCTTCCCTGAAGTCACACGGTTTTAAAGTAGTGAAACCTGGAACTCATGTCTATCACCTACCACCTCTCACCAATGCAAAAAGCTGCTATGATCTACATACCAAAGAACTTAGGAGACAAAATTTTACGGTAATCATGGGGATCCATAATATCCCCTCTTTGATTTGATCATTTCTTCCTTCCAAGGATTCTGTTTGGATTCTGGAAATCCTAGCAGTTTTGCTGGAAGAGGTGGACTTTGAAAGCTGGGAAGGCATTTAAGGCTTTGAAGAGAGGAAATATAAGAATAGATTTCTTTCACTCTGAAGCCAGTTCTCAAGGATGGGCTCCTTCATTCACCATTCTACAGTCTGTTGCTCAAGGAGGGTAGATTATTATTATTTTAAAAACTTGTTTGGCTTTGGCCACATTGTGCTAGATGGCACAAAAACAATGCTCATGTCTATAATATTGTCTTCTCTGGATCCTCTCTTCAACTGCTTATAGATGACTCCTCACCCTTTAATACCTCTGCATGGGCTGTCCCCACTATTTTCTCTTCTTTTTCCATTATTCCATTAGATAAACTCCCAGTTGTCCTTCAAGACTCAGCCCAATGTCATTTCCACTTTGATTCTTCTCTGAGTCATCCTAGTTGAGTAGTTGTGGCCATAACACCTGGTTCTACAGCAGGTAATCTAACACACTGTAATTGTGGGTTTAATTTTGCTTTCCCCTCTCTATTCATCTCAATATCAACAGAGCATGTCATAGCTTCTAGCTCCTAGTAGGTGTTCCATATGTGTCTGTTGAATAATAGAGTGAATAAGTGAGGCCCAGATTTGTAGTAGATGCTCAGTAAACTATCTGAGAAGAGCTTGATACCCTCACTTGCTTTATTCTCAACCACGCTGGATCTATCTGGATATGTAAAAAGTAATTATACATGACGACTTTGGGTGTCATGTTCTCTGTTCTCTTTTAGTTTTGTCAGATTTTGGTAGGGAAGTTGGGGTAGGCACTGGGATTTTTAAAAGTTTTCACCATGTATCTTGAATGGAAGGAGAGAAAGAATGAATAACTCAAGGTGCCTGAATGGCTTTTCTTTCAAGTCTCATGTTTTATGTGACTTTTTTCTTTTTTTAACCCTGTAGTGTACCTGTTATATATAAAAAAAGTTTGCTCCCACCCACCCCTGAATCTTTGAAAACAATGGATATTCCAGAAGAATCATTTAATTCTGTACTCCAGTAGGAGGACTAGGCAATCAGAACACTAGGATTTTCCTTCTGTTTCTGCTGTCAATCATGAGATTTGCCCTTCAGTCTCTTCATCTGTAAGAAGAAGGGTTGAAGTTCACTATCCCTAAGGCTCTTCTGGCTCTAAAGATGCAAGGACTTTCTAAGCAGCTCCTACAGAATTGCTAGTGGGAGGAATTGGATTGTATATATTGACTTCTTATAACTTGTCTTGGATTGGAAATAAAATCCTGTTTATGAGGAGTTGAGGTTGTTCGTTTGGAAGAAAGCTAACAACTGTAATGAGTTTTCATAAAATTTTACTATCTAGATTAATTTCAGTTGGATCTTAATTATCACATCAGTTCTTGCAATGTAACTATTATAATAAAATCATATTGATTCATTTGTTATAATCACAAAAGTTTGTTACAATGGAATTTACCTATCTTATTCATTAATACTCATTATGAGTGAGTATTTTTAAATCCAAAGGACTTTGTTTCATTAACTATGCTTATAGCTACTTTGTCAGAGAACTTCAAACCAACATGACCCACAAAGATTGCTGATTACATTTTAATGACAAAATAAAGTTCACAGAATTCACAAATATTTTATCCTACTTTAGAGATAGAAAAACATACTGACACCGTAACTCAGAAATTGCAATTAAAACTCTCCAAAGTTTTAGAATGGAGCTTCTCATATTTTAGGGTGCAGAAATACCATTTGCAAAGCTTTAAATACGAAGATTCCTAGAACTTTCCCTATGAGATTCTGATTCCATAGATATAGAGTGGGGTCCAATAATCTGCATTTTAACAAGCTTTCTCGTGTAATTTTGATGCATGTAGTCCTAGAGCACAATTTGAGGAATACAAAAATGGTAATCCTAGAATTAAATTTGCCTGAAGAAAACAAAGCTCAAGAATCTTTATTAAGGACTTTGAGTGAAGCCTAATAATTTTGATGCATCTTAAAAGAAACCTTGATATGTATAAGCATAGAAATAGTATATTCTGTATACCTGTGTTTAAATGTCTAAAATTATTTAATTGGTTATATTGCTGAAATTTATTTATTTATTTATGGAATGAGCCATGTTGCAAAATCATGGAATCTATTTTCTTTATGCCACCCTAGGTCAAAACTCAATAGCATCTGAAGTTACATTAACACATTGGAGTTGAAAGACATTAGCAAAGTAATTTTTAAAAAAATTTTTACTTTAAGTTCTGGGATACATGTGCAGAACGTGCAGGTTTGTTACATGGACATACCTGGGCCATGGTGGTTTGCTGCACCTATCAACCCGCCATCTAGGTTTTAAACCCCGCATGCATTAGGTATTTGTCCTAATGCTCTCCCTCCCCTTGCCCCCCATCCCCCAACAGGCCCCAGTGTGTGATGTTCCCCTCCCTGTGTCCATGTGTTTTCATTGTTCAACTCCCACTTATGAGTGAGAACATGTGGTGTTTGGTTTTCTGTTCCTGTGTTAGCTTGCTGAGAATGATGGCTTCCAGCTTCATCCATGTCCCTGCAAAGGACATAAACTCTTTTTTATGGCTGCATAGTATTCCATGGTGTATATGAGCCACATTTTCTTTATCCAGTCTATCATTGATGGGCATTTGGGTTGGTTCCAAGTCTTTGCTCTTGTAAATAGTGCTGCAATAAACATACATGTGCATGTGTCTTTATAGTAGAACGATTCATAATCCTTTGGGTATTCCCAGTAATGGGATTAGCAAAGTAATTTTTAAAACCTTAAGTAGAATAGGCAAGGTTTTTTGATTATTGAACACATACCCTGTTAGTATAATAACTGGTATTTCTTCTCACTTAAAAGCAGTGGTTTTACCTTTCCCTTGGAAGAAAAGGTGAATGTAGGCAGAGGAAGAAAAAATTGCTTAAGAAGAGAAAAATACAGTTACATCTCTGAGCTGTTCACCTTTTTACCTGGGGTAAAAAAACTAAACAAAACAAAATAAGGAGAATAAAAAAGACAGTCCATGAAAGTTACACTCCAAAATTTCATGCAAATTCTTTATTGCTTGTTTAGAATTTTCATCTCCATTTCACTGTCTACATAATGTAAAATCAGAGCTGCGATCATCTGTGCCACCTCCCACACAGCCCTGGGGTTCTTGTGGGCCTCAGCAGGAGTTTGAAGCTGCAGGATGATAGGAAGCTGGGCTGGTAATTGGAATGTGATGATTGGTCTGGGGCATGAGAATCCTACTCTAAGGCTGATGGAGAGAGAGAGTTGGAGAAGGGGCCTTGCCTTTTTGGTCATGTTGCTGGAAGGATGTGAATGAATTAGGGGCTGCTGTCCTTCTTGTCTCATGGAAAAAGCCTGTTTGTGCTGGCAACAACTAGAGGAAAGTAGAGATGAGAAATAGATGGGGGCAAGCAGTCTTGTTAATGTCCTTTGACTTCATGGAACTGGTCATGCCTGAGGCCAGCTCTACCCTTGGACTTCCTAAGTAATGAGCTAACACACTCCCCTCCTGCTTAGTCTAGTTGGAGTTGAGTCTCTCTCACTTGCAACCAAAATTCTTCATCTCTACTATCAGCCTTGCTGTGAACTTTATTTAACCTGCCAACTTCCCTCATCCCTTCCCAGTTAGGAGAGAAATAGGGCTTTTCTATTCTTATCTCTGTCACAGGACTCATTATAGTCATAGTGAATTTTTCTCCTTTGCATTGACAGCCTTTATCATCGTACTTCTAGGAATAAACAAGTCAAATGAGTGAATGAACAAATGAATGAGTGCACAAAGAAGTAGTGTAGTAGAATCACGTTATTCCTCTTTGTAGAGAAACTGCATTTTGTTACATAATTTACCTAACATCATTTTTCTTTTAGGGAAGGCCTCTTACTGAAAACTTGGTTTAGCAATTAAACTTCAAGCTAAAATATTAGACAGAGGCAACACAAGGAAAGTGAGAAAGTTTTCTGAAATGATGATATAAATCAACAAAGAAACAAGATTTGATTGTTTAAAATCAGTGTCGAATTAATTAAAGTGTGTGCTACAGCAGCTTTCCCCAACCTTTTTGGCACCAGGGACTGGTTTTGTGGAAGACAGTTTTTCCACGGATGGTGTGGGTGGCTGGTTTCATGTTGAAATTCTTTCATCTCAGATCATCAGGCATTATGTTCTCATAAGGAGCATGCAACTTAGATCCCTTGCATGTGCAGTTCATGATGGGTTCATGCTCCTATGAGAATCTAATGCCGCCGCTGATCTGACAGGAGGTAGAGCTCAGGCAGTAATGCTTGTTTGGCCATTGCTCACCTCCTGCTGTGCAGCCTGATTCCTAACAGGCCAGGCCCTGGGGGTTAGGGAATCCTTGTACCACAGGATACTGTTTTTCTGCCAGGCTAATTAGCAGTATTTAGGGGAAAGGGACCAAAACTCAAGAAATTTGAGGAAAATTGGGTTAAAAAAGTTAAACAAGGTTCTTTACTAAAGAGTTTTCCAGAACATTTTTTATTTTCATTTTTACTTTAGAGTTGGGGTCTCACTCTGTCACCCAGGCTAGAGTGCAGTGGCATGATCATACCTCATTGAAGCCTCAGCCTCCTTAGTAGCTGGGACCACACCTGACTAACTTTCTTAGTTTTTTTATTTTTTTGTAGAGATGAGGGTTTTGCTTGTTGCCCTTGTGGGTCTTGAACTCCTGATCTCAAGCGACCCTCTTGCCTTGACCTCTGAAAGTGTTGGTATTGCAGGTGTGAGCCACTGTGACTGGCCTCTGAGAACTTTTAACATGCATTCTGGATCTCCAAGAGGGCCACAGTATATGCAGGAGACTGGTGTTTCTTTTCTCTTTCTTTTTTTTTTTTATACTTTAAGTTCTGGGGTACATGTGCAGAACGTGCAGGTTTGTTACGCAGGTATACACGTGCCATGGTGGTTTGCTGCACCCATCAACCCATCATCTACATTAGGTATTTCTCCTAATACTATCTCTCCCCATGCCCTCCACCCCCACAAAAGGTCTGGGTGTGTGATGTTCCCCTCCCTATGTCCATGTGTTCTCATTGTTCAACTCCCACTAATGAGTGAGAACATGCAGTGTTTGGTTTTCTGTTCTTGTGATAGTTTGCTGAGAATGATGGTTTCCAGCTTCGTTGATGTCCCTGCAAAGGACATGAACTCATCCTTTTTTATGGCTGCCTAGTATTCCATGGTGTATATGTGTCACATTTTCTTTATCCAGTCTATCATTGATGGGCATTTGGGTTGGTTCTGAGTCTTTGCTATTGTGAACAGTGCCACAATAAACATATGTGTGCATGTGTCTTTATAGTAGCATGATTTATAATCCTTTGGGTATATACCCAGTAATGGTATTGCTGGGTCAAATGATATTTCTAGTTCTAGAACTTTGAGGAATCTCCACAGTCCTCCACAATGGGTGAACTAATTTACACTCCCACCAACAAAGTAAAAGTGTTCCTATTTCTCCACAACTTCTCCAGCATCTGTTGTTTCTTGACTTTTTAATGATTGCCATTCTAACTGGCATAAGATAGTATCTCATTGTGGTTTTGATTTGCATTTCTCTGATGACCAGCATTTTTTCATGTTTGTTGGCTGCATACATGTCTTCTTTTGAGAAGTGTCTGTTCATATCTTTTGCCCACTTTTTGATGGGGTTGTTTTTTTCTTGTAAATTTGTTTACGTTCTTTGTAGATTCTGGATATTAGCCCTTTTTCAGATGGTTAGATTGCAAAAATTTTCTCCCATTCTGTAGGTTGCCTGTTCACTGTGATGATAGTTTCTTTTGCTGTGCAAAAGCTCTTTAGTTTAATTAGATTCCATTTGTCAATTTTGGCTTTTGTTGCCGTTGCTTTTAGTGTTTTAGTCATGAAGTCTTTGCCCATGCCTATGTCCTGGATGGTATTGCCTAGGTTTTCTTCTAGGGTTTTTATGTTTTTAGGTCTTACCTTTAAGCCTTTAATCCATCTTGAGTTAATTTTTGTATAAGGAAGGGATCCAGTTTTGTAAGGAAGGGATCCAGTTTCAGCTTTCCAGATAGGGCTAGCCAGTTTTCCCAGCACCGTTTATTAAATAGGGAATCCTTTCCCCATTGCTTGTTTTCCTCAGGTTTGTCAAAGATCAGATGGTTGTAGATGTGTGGTGTTATTTCTGAGGCCTCTGTTCTGTTCCATTGGTCTATATCTCTGTTTTGGTACCAGTACCATGCTGTTTTGGTTACTGTAGCCTTGTAATATAGTTTGAAGTCAGGTAGCATGATGCCTCCAGCTTTGCTCTTTTTACTTAGGATTGTCTTGGCTATGCAGGCTCTTTTTTGGTTCCATATAAAATATAAAGTAGTTTTTCCAATTCTGTGAAGAAAGTCAATGGTAGTTTGATAGAAATAACATTGAATGTACAAATTATTTTGGGCAGTATGGCCATTTTCACGATATTGATTCTTCCTATCCATAAGCATGGAATGTTTTTCCATTTGTTTGTGTCCTCTTTTATTTCCTTGAGCAGTGGTTTGTAGTTCTCCTTGAAGAGGTCCTTCACATCCCTTGTAAGTTGGATTCCTAGGTATTTAATTCTCTTTGAAGAAATTGTGAGTGGGAGTTCACTCATGATTTGGCTCTTTGGTTGTTATTGGTGTATAGGAATGCTTGTGATTTTTGCACAGTGATTTTGTATCCTGAGACTTTGCTGAAGTTGCTTATTAGCTTAAAGGGATTTTGGGCTGAGATGATGGGGTTTTCTAAATATGCAATGATGTCATCTGCAAACAGAGACAATTTGACTTCCTCTTTTCCTAATTGAATACTCTTTATTTCTTTCTCTTGCCTGATTGCCCTGGCCTGAATTTCCAATACTGTGTTGAATAGGAGTGGTGAGAGAGGGCATCCTTTTCTTGTGCCGGTTTTCAAAGGGAATGCTTCCAGTTTTTGCCCATTCAGTATGATATTGGCTGTGGGTTTGTCATAAATAGCTCTTATTATTTTGAGATACATTCCATAAATACCTACTTATTGAGAGTTTTTAGCATGAAAGGCAATTTTGTTGAAGGCCTTTTCTGCATCTATTGAGATAATCATGTGGTTTTTGTCATTGGTTCTGTTTATGTGATGGATTACATTTATTGATTTGTATATGTTGAACCAGGCTTACATCCCAGGGATGAAGGTGACTTGATCATGATGCACAAGCTTTTTGATGTGCCGCTGGATTTGGCTTACCAGTATTTTATTGAGGATTTTTGCATTGATGTTCTTCAGGGATATTGGCCTAAAATTTTATTTTTTTGTTGTGTCTCTGCCAGATTTTGGTGTCAGGATGATGCTAGCCCCATAAAATGAGTTAGGGAGGATTCCCTCTTTTTCTTTTGTTTGGAATAGTTTCAGAAGGAATAGTACCATCTCGTCTTAAAATTTGGCTGTGAATCCGTCTGGTCCTGAGGTTTTTTTGGTTGATAGGCTATTAATTACTGCCTCAATTTCAGAACTTGTTATTGGTCTCTTCAGGGATTTGGCTTCTTCCTGGTCTAGTCTTGGGAGGGTGTATGTGTCCAGGAATTTATCCATTTTTTCTAGATTTTCTAGTTTATTTGCATAGAGGTGTTTATAGTATTCTCTGATGGTAGTTTGTATTTCTGTGGGATCGGTGGTGACATCCCTTTTATCATTTTTTATTACATCTATTTGATTCTTCTCTCTTTTCTTCTTTATTAGTCTTGCTAGTGGTGTATCTATTTTGTTGATCTTTTCAAAAAACAAGCTGCTGGATTCATTGATTTTTTGAAGTGTTTTTGTGTCTCTATCTCCTTCAGTTCTGCTGTGATCTTAATTTTTTTTCTTGTCTTCTGCTAGCTTTTGAATTTGTTTGCTCTTGCTTCTCTAGTTCTTTCCATTGTGATGGTAGGGTGTCGATTTTAGATCCTTTCTGCTTTCTCTTGTGGGCATTTAGTGCTATAAATTTCCCTCTACACACTGCTTTAAATGTGTCCCAGAGATTCTGGTACATTGTATCTTTGTTCTCATTGGTTTCAAAGAACATCTTTATTTCTGCCTTCATTTTGTTATTTGCCCAGTAGTCATTCAGGAGCAGGCTGTTCAGTTTCCATGCAGTTGTGTGGTTTTGAGTGAGTTTCTTAATCCTGAGTTCTAATTTGATTACACTGTGGTCTGAGAGACAGTTTGTTGTGATTTCTGTTCTTTTACATTTGCTGAGGAGTGTTTTACTTCCAATTATGTGGTCAATTTTAGAATAAATGTGATGTGGTGCTGAGAAGAATGTATATTCTGTTGATTTGGGGTGGAGAGTTCTGTAGATGTCTATTAGGTCTGCTTGGTCCATAGCTGAGTTCAAGTCCTGGATATCCTTGGTCATTTTCTGTCTCGTTGTTGTGTCTAATATTGACAGTGAGGTGTTAAAGTCTCCCACTGTTACTGTGTGGGAGTCTAAGTCTCTTTGTAGGTCTCTAAGAACTTGCTTTATGAATCTGGGTGCTCCTGTATTGGGTGCATATATGTTTAGGATAGTTAGCTGTTCTTGTTGCATTGATCCCTTTACCATTATGTGATGCCCTTCTTTGTCTCTTTTGATCTTTGTTAGTTTAAAGTCTGTTTTATCAGAGACTAGGATTGCAACCCCTGCTTTTTTTTTTGCTTTCCACTTGCTTGGTAAATCTTCCTCCATCCCTTTATTTTGAGCCTATGTGTCTCTTTGCACGTGAGATGAGTCTCATGAATACAGCACACCAATGGGTCTTGATTCTTTATCCAGTTTGCCAGTCTGTGTCTTTTAATTGGGGCATTTAGCCCATTTACATTTAAGGTTAATATTGTTACGTGTGAATTTGATTCTGGTATTATGATGCTAGCTGGTTATTATGCCCAGCTAGCTAGTTGATGCAGTTTCTTCATAGCATCGATGGTCTTTAAAATTTGGTATGTTTTTGCAGTGGCTGGTACTGGTTTTTCCTTTCCATGTTTAGTGCTTCCTTCAGGAGCTCTTGTAAGGCAGGCCTGGTGGTGACAAAATCTCTCAGCATTTGCTTGTCTGTAAAGGATTTTATTTCTCCACTTATGAAGCATAGTTTGGCTGGACATGAAATGCTGGGTTGAAAAATCATTTCTGGCTGGGCACAGTGGCTCATGCCTATAATCCCAGCACTTTGGGAGGCCAAGACAGGCAGATCACAAGGTCAGGAGATCGAGACCATCCCAGGCAACATGGTGAAACCATGTCTCTACTAAAAATACACACAGACACACACAAAATTAGCCGGGCATTGTGGCACACACCTGTAGTCCCAGGTACTAGGGAGGCTGAGGCAGGAGAATTGCTTGGACCTGGGAG
Source organism: Homo sapiens (assembly GCF_000001405.40). Classification (NCBI taxonomy): domain Eukaryota; kingdom Metazoa; phylum Chordata; class Mammalia; order Primates; family Hominidae; genus Homo; species Homo sapiens. Next base: position 48,766,092 of record NC_000002.12, read on the forward strand.
GCAGAGGTTGCAGTGAGCAAAGATCACACCACTGCACTCCAGTCTGGGCTACAGAGCGAGACTCTGTCTCGAACAAAACAAAACAAAAACTTATTTTCTTTAAGAATGTTGAATATTGGCCCCCACTGTCTTCTGGCTTGTATGGTTTCTGCTGAGAGATCCACTGTCAGTCTGATGGGCTTCTCTTTGTGGGTAACCTGACCTTTCTCTCTGGCTGCCCTTAACATTTCTTCCTTCGTTTCAACCTTGGTGAATCTGACAATTATGTGTCTTGGGGTTGCTGTTTTCGAGGAACATCTTTGTGGTGTTCTCTGTATTTCCTGAATTTGAATGTTGGCCTGCCTTGCTAGGTTAGGGAAGTTCTTCCGGATAATATCCTGAAGAGCGATTTCCAACTTGGTTCCATTCTCCCCGTCCGTTTCATGTACACCAATCAAAACTAGATTTGGTCTTTTCACATAGTCCCATATTTCTTGGAGACTTTGTTCATTTCTTTTCAGTCTTTTTCTCTAATATTGTCTTCTCGCTTTATTTCCTTGAGTTGATCTTCAATCTGTGATATCCTTTCTTCCGCTTGATCAACTCAGCTGTTGATACTTGTGTGTGTTTCACAAAGTTCTTGTGCTGTTTTTCAACTCTATCAGTTCATTTATTTTCTTCTCTAAGCTGGTTATTCTAGTTAGCAATTTGTCTAACCTTTTTTCCAGGTTCTTAGCTTCCTTGCTTTGGGTTAGAACATGCTCCTTTAGCTTGGAGGAGTTTGTTATTACCCACCTTCTGAAGCCTACTTCTGTCAATTCATCAAACTCATTCTCCGTCCAGTTTTGTTCCCTTGCTGGTGAGGAGTTGTGGTCCTTTGGAGTAGAAGAGGCATTCTGGTTTTTGGAACTTTCAGCTTTTTTGTGCTGGTTTCTCCCCATCTTCATGGATTTATCTATCTTTGGTCTTTGTTGGTGATATTGATCCTGTTCCTTTCTGTTTGTTAGCTTTCCTTCTAACAGTCAGGCCCCTCTGCTGCAGGTCTGCTGGAGTTTGCTGGAGGTCCACTCCAGACCCTGTTTGCCTGAGTATGACCAGTGGAGGCTGCTGCCCAACAAAGATTGCTGCCTGTTCCTACCTCTGGAAGCTTCGTCCCAGAGGGGCACCCGCCAGATGCCAGCCAGAGCTCTCCTATAGGAGGTATCTGTCGGCCCCTACTGGGAGGTGTCTCCCAGTCTGGATACACTGGGAGTCAGGGGATCAGGGACCCACTTGAGGAGGCAGTCTGTCCTTTATCAGAACTCGAATGCTGTGCTGGGAGAACTCTGCTCTCTTTAGATCTGTCAGGCAGGGACATTTAAGACTGCTGAGGCTGCACGCACAGCCACCCCTCCCCCAGTTGCTCTGTCCCAGGGAGCTGCAGTGGGCTCCGCCCGGTTTGAACTTCCCTGTGGCTTTGTTTACACTGTGATGGTAAAACCACCTACTCAAGCCTCAGCAATGGTGGTTGCCCCTCCCCCCACCAAGTTTGAGCATCCCAGGTCAACCTCAGACTGCTATGCTAGCAGCGAGAATTTCAAGCCAGTGGATCTTAGCTTGTTGGGCTCCGTAGGGGTGGGACCCACCGAGCCGGACACTGGAGAGAATCTCCTGGTCTGCCAGTTGCGAAGACCATGGGAAAAGCACAGAATCTGGGCCAGAATGCACCGTTCCTCCCTGTACAGACTTTCACGACTTCCCTTGGCTAGGAAAGGGAAATCTCCTCACCCCTTGTGCTTCCCAGGTGAGGCAACGCCCCACCCTGCTTCTGCCTGCCCTCTGTGGGCTGTACCCACTGTCCAACCAGTCCCAGTGAGATGAACCATGTACCTCAGTTGGAAATGCAGGAATCACCTGCCTTCTGCATTGATCTTGTTGCGAATGGCAGACCAGAGTTTTTCCTATTCAGCCATCTTGCCAGCTACCAACCTGGTGTTTCTTTAAGAAACTTCAAGAATACTGACTTGGGAATACACTTTGAGAAAATGAACTTATTCACAAATTTTCAGGCACATGGATTTTATGGCAAAGAACCCCTTCACTGATCTGGAAGCCAGAGCTCACCTTAGTATCCATTTAGCAGACTAATGTGTGGGCCTGGTGAGGACAGGAAAGATCATCCGGACTCCTATTCTTCTCCCCTCCATACCTCAATCCAGATATTCAAGGTCTAGAAATTCCAGGGTTATCAATATATTCCTTGAGGGCATTGCCCTTTCCAGGCTCCTTTTTGAAATGAAAATACAACACAGGGTGGGAGCACTTTGAATCAATTGTATCTTCATCTGAATTATTTGTTTTTAGAATAAGTTTGGAAGACCTCAGGGTGGTGTGAGGATACTGGATATGTAGAGCATAGGAGGTGGGCCCTCTAAAGGGAGGGGAGGAATCCCCATAGGAAGCTTCCCCCCATCAAGGCTGTGCCAGGAAGTAGACCCTACATACGGCTTTCTCTCAGATGCATTCAGAACCCAGAGATTAGGGGGAGTGAAGGAAACCCATGTTTAACTCTTGGCTTGCTTTGAGTGGATGCAATGGCCCTCTTTTCTCATCCTCTTCCTCAGCCTGTATAGGGTCTTCTTTCAGGCATGCTGAGACACTGCTTGCTTGGATGCCAGCTCTATTAGAGATGCACTATCCGAAGGCCTGCTGCTGATAATATCTGTCACATTGAATTATGCCTTCTGGGCATGATGTGGCATGCAGACAGAGAGGCCAGTCATTACCCTAGGGCTAATAAGGCCCTTATCAAAAGGGGAATCTCCTTCAAAGAATAGTTTAGAAATAGCAGGCGGTACTGAATTTTGCATGTGGGGCTGACAGTCTGTAAGAATACTGCTCTTGTTTTCAGGAAATGAGAATTCTTTCGGCAAAAGGAGAAGCTGATTTGCAGAAGTGCTGAGCATGCCTGAGAGAGATGGGAGTGATCAAGACCAAGAGTGCCATTTGGATGTGCAGAGTTGAGGTGACATCTGCCTGGAGAGATTCAGGAGGCAGCTGAAATACACTCACGTAAAGCAAGAGAAACACTAAAATGGGAGAGACAAATTTGGGAATCCTACATTTGTCGTTGTCAAAGTTTAAGAATCACTTTTGAGAAGTTCCTTAAGAGATGGATTGGGAGGGCGCATTGGGAGATTCTGCTTCTGTATACTTGATGTCAGGACAGGAAATGTGAATTTAAAAAGTGTCCGAGGAGACTTTTATGCAGGGAGGAGGGGCCCCAAAGGCCTTCTGGAAAACACTTCTTCAGATTGATAGAGAAACCCATGGTGAAGAAAAACGGGCTAAGGACAGCACCATGGGAATGCCTGTGCCCACAATGGGGAAAAGGAGGAATCGGAGGAGCCAGGGAAGAAGATGGAGTAGGGGCCATCAGAGAGATATGAGGAGAGTGGAACATGCAGTGAAATCGACCATCCACCTAAGAAACCATACAAAGGACAGGCGAAAACAAAGTAGTTTATTCCTCCTTGAAATTAAGACATGAAAATTAAAACCCTGTGTATGACTTTACTCCTAAATTAGCCAAGAGAAAAGTCACTTAAAGGAAGCACCAAATGGCAGAGAAATAATTATAAAACATACACTCATGCATTTAAAATGATTTAAGCCTTTTGGAAAGCAATATGGTAATTCCCATCTAGAGCCAGGCATATGTGTATATCCCACAATCCAGTGATTCTAGCACTGAGAACTTTCCAAAGAAAATAACTGAACACAGTAAATAAGCCATAAGAATGAAAACGATCATTATAGCAGTATCTATATGATAAATTTGAGATACCCTGAATACTCAGCAACATTACAGTGATATAAAGACATTATGATTCACTTAATGAAGTATGCAATAATTTAAAATGACAATTTGGCTAATTTAGAGATATAGAAAAAGTTGTATATTGAAAAACTTAGAATACAAAGTAAAACTTATATTGTAAATACAAAAATGTAAGTATGTTTTTTGAGAAAAAAAGGAAAGTAATTTTGTGTCCCAATTTTGTACCTTTAAGTCAGTTAAGTATGTGTACCATTTACCTGGTAGCCTATAAAGCAAGCCATGGATACCAACTGGTATTCTTGGCAGTTATAAGGTGCTCAGATAGCCAAAATAGCTGTGTAAATATCCTAAATCCCATCCTTTCCTTATTGAGTTGGTTTCCAACTCTTCTTTCCAACTCTTCTCTCTTTGTCTGGTTTAGGATGCTGCCTATGACTCTGTACTTTATACTAGCATCTGTTCTTTCACACTTCTTTTACATGCTTCTCAGATTGCTTGGACCAGCTCTCCCAGTTTCAGATAATCTCAGCTATTGAAGCCCACTCTAACAGCCCTGTAATAAAAGTACTTGTGTTTAAGTTTTTACTTACGAAAAATTACATTAAAGCAATGTTCATGGTAAAACTAGCCAAATGGCTTTTAAAAGCTAATATTGTCAGGTGTGGTGGCTCACACCTGTAATCCCAGCACTTTGAGAGGCTGAGGCAGGAGGATTGCTTGAGCCCAGGAGTTTGAGACTAGCCTGGGCAACACAGGGACACCACATCTCTATAAAACATTAAAAAATTAGCTTGGCCTGGTGGCATAAGCCTGTGTTCCCAACTACTTGGGAGGCTGAGGTGGGAGGGTCATCTGAGCTGGGGAGATCAAGTCTGTAGTGAACCATGATCATGCCACTGCACTCCAGCCTGGGTGACAGAGTGAGACCCTGTCTTAAAAAAAAAAAAAGCTAATAGTGAAAAATATAATACTTGCCTGCACAGTTTCTGTAGATCAGAAGTTTGGTGAAGCTTAGCTGGTGGAGGATGGGCAAGGATCTGGTGGTTTAACCTCTCTGTATACAGACTTTCAATTAATAGATCTGTTTTTAGCTCCACACTATACCCCTACCTTACTGCAATAACTTGAGTCTCCAAGACCTGAGACTTTCTGCTAATCCAGTTCAATGCTTATCAGATCCTACAGATTCTTTCTGTAGGGCTTTCAGGGTATCCTGCTACGTTGACTACTGCTCATCCATCTGCGTGCCTTCCAAATATTTGTTAAGATCTTTCACCTACAGTTGTGCATTAGTTCAGGTCCTTCAAGAGGCAGATACCAAGACGATATTAAATGTACAAGGATTTTGTTAGGGAACTGCCTCTGTGCGAGAAAATGGTGGTGTGGGGGGAGCCAGAAAAGACTTGGAAAGTGTCAGACTGAAATGAGAATGAAGGAGAGAAGAAAGGAATGCTGAGTGGTAATGTCCTAGACCACAGTGCAGTCTGAGGAAAGTTCAACAAGGCTGACAAGAGTATTTGAGTCAAAGCTGGCTGTTGGACCCTGGGAATGGACCTGCCTGAATTTCCCTAGCATACTCATTGAGTAATGATTAGCTGGGAGCTGCCCTGGGGAAGCATGGCTTGGGTCAAGATCAGCTGTGGATGTAGCAGGATTTCAGAGCCCAGCAGTGGGGATCCTTGGTCAATTCCACTCCCATGGATAGGGGCATGAGTAGTCTCATGGCAACCAAAGATTGTTTTTTTCTCCCTTTATCTTTTGGGTGTGTTCCTTTTATTTGGGGGAGGCTATATTCTTTAAAGAAAAATATTTTAGTGGTGTTTAGGAAAGGAAGGGAAATAAATGGTTACATTTCAACGTTCGTTTTCAAAATAAATTAAAATAATAAATATTTAAATTAATTAATTCATTTACTAGATAAATTAAATGTTTAATAACTACTTAAATAATTATTTATTTAAAATAATTTTCCTCCAACATTTCTGTAATATGTTTATACTTTTTGAAAAAGTTTAAAAGAAGAGAAGGTAATCAGAAGTGTCAGGCAGAAAGTCGGGGGAAGATGGAGGCTGAGAAAGCTTGTGTGACTAGCTAATTAGGAGGTTGGTTATTGGTGAACTTATTGCTGATTCCACTGTTATGGGGTGAAAGCCAGCTTGAAAGAGACTGAGTAGATATAAAAGAGTAAGTAGGTATAGAGCAGTCTGCCAAGAAGTCTGGTAGTAAAGGGAGAACAAGGAAGACAGCATTAACTTAGGGGTGTGCTTAGTACTTTGAAACATATTTCAAAGGAAAGGGTCTTTTTTTTTAGGCTAAGAAGTTCCTAACAGTTTTATTAGTGGACATAAAAAAGAGCCAGAATGGAGGAAAAGATTGAATATGCAAACAAGAAAGGACATGATTGTAAGAACGCGGCCTAAGAGGAGGCAGAAGAGGAAACGGGGTCACGAATGCATGCGGAGAGCTAGTTCAAAAAGCAGGAGGGCCATCTCTCCTTCAAACGTAGGAGAAATGAGATGCAGACCTAAAGATGCCTCAGTGGTGTATCAGGATATCTCTTAGCTGCATGAAGCAGGAAATTGACTATTGTGGCTTAAATAAGTAGAGGTCTAGGAGGTAGGCAGTCTAGCATTGATATAATGGCAATAAGATACTGCCAAGGATTCAAGATGCTTCCATCTTTTCATTCTATCATGTTCCATGAAGGAATGAATGAATGAGCAAAATAATGGAAGGGAACTATCATACTTCCATTGAGACTTTTTTCCTTTCAGTGAAAAACAATGTGAATGATCAAACTGTAGCAAGTTGGTTAAATAATCTAGCATGTTAACAATTTGAAGATCACATTGCTTTTTTAAAATATGTGTATGAAGTAGGGATGTGAAAAAATATAGATTATGTGATATTGAGTGAAATAGAACCTTAAAATAATATGGGCATGTTTATTGCAATTATAAAAAATTTGTATCTTACAATATTAAGGCAAGGAGGACCATTGTATCTTGATTCTCATTTAGCTTTTGTGTTAAGGAGGGTTGGATTTTTTTCTTTTTTCATTTATTCTGTTTATAGTTCACTATAAAGTTGTTAAAATATATAATTACAAAATTTAAAAGCCCATATGGAACTTTCTTTGAGCTCATCTAGAAGAAAGACACTCCTAAATGCAAGCATGGCCATCAAAATATCATTGCATTGTACACACACACACACACACACACACACACACACACATACACGGATAGTCACTACATTCTGATAACTAACTAACTTCCAACTGTAATATTGGTGTGGTTCATGAAGGCCCCTTTGCCAAATATCTCTCTACCTCCTTCACAGGCCTGAGATTCTTTTTCTGGGGAGCAATGTTTTCTTTGTTTGAGGAGAGGCATCATGATCTTCTCACTACATGTAAATGATTATGTCTTTCTAAATGGAGAGTGTTAATATCTCTGAAGGACAAAGGGTGCAGGAAGGAGTGGCTGGGTACACTTGAAATGTAGCCCCTTCTTACTCATGCCAAAGTTGAATCTAGATTCTCAATTCAAATGATCTTCCATCCCTCACTTCTGAATGATCTCCCTTCCTTTTATTGGTGCAAGGAATTACGGGGCTGGGCATGGTCTTCTGTTTACCCTCCTACCCTCCATCAGTGACTTTAAATCATTCCAATGAAGTAAGTATCTCCTATTTTTAAGCACTAGAAGAGGATGTTCTTCAATATCCCTCAATCATACATTCTTTTTTCTGACAAAACTCACCCTAGAAATACTTCTTTAAGCCAAACTTCCTAAATTCCTTACTTGCAGTGTTACAGCTTGTTTCTTGTTGGATTGCCGTCCGAGATTAAGAATTCTTAATCACATCCCTTCAGAACTTTTATCTGGAAGATCTAACATGGTGAGGGATTATCTGACCCTCCTTTACTGGTGAGGCTCAGAAGTCTAACAGTGTGCTCAGACACCTAGTAACTCAGAGGCTGATGGATACTCCTTGTAGGTTTTAGTTTCCACATCTGAAAAATGAGGAGAGCAATATCTACCCCCTCCTCCTCACATGGACTTTGTAAAAACCCTGTAAGATAATGTGACTAAAAGTACTCTGGGAAATATAAACAAATTCAAGTTATTATTTAAATACTTCTCTCTTTTCCTTTGAGTTTTGCTTTGCTGCAGTTTCATCCTCCTTTTCTACAGCACTGGCTTTGCTGTAGAAGAGGAATGGCATGGCATGCTGTCAGAAGCCACACAGCCCTCCAGCACCCTCCCTCTGCATCTAGCTTGCAGCTCTGTTCCATCCTCAGCATTAATTTTTAGGTTTGAATGGATATCCTGGCTTACATGAACTCAGGTTACTCTCTTCCTTAACCTCCTGGTAACCTGCTAAATCCCTGCAGACACATTGTTCTCAATTGGGGGCATTTCTCTCTCCTTTTCTACTGACAAGGGGATATTTGGCAGTATCTGGAGTCATCTTTGGTCATCACTGCTGGTGGGTAGTGCTACTGGCATGTGGTGGGTAGAGTCAGGGATGCTGCCAAACATCCTAAGATGCATAGGACAGCTCGCTTCCCACAACAAAGAATTATCTGGTCTAAAATGTCAGTAGTGCTGTGGTTGAGAAGTTCTGCTATAGATAAAATTCAATGAAATACATATTCTTCTCCCTTCCCCTTCCTTCCTTCCTTCCTTCCTTCCTTCCTTCCTTCCTTCCTTCCTTCCTTCCTTCCTTCCCTCCTTCCTTCCTTCCTTCTTTCCCTCTTCCTTCTTTCTTCTTCCTTTCCTTTCTTTTCCTTTCCATTCCTTTTTACTTTCTTTCAACAGCTATATCAGATATAAAGGTATAATTGGTATACAATGACCTGTACATACTTAAAGTGTACAGTTTGATGATTTTTGACATCTCTACATGTAAAACCATCACCATAATCAAGAAAATGAATCTATCCATCACTCCCAAAAGATTCCTCCTGCCCTTTTGTAATTCTGCCCTCCTTGGGCCACCCATCTCAGCTTCCCAGCCCCAATCAACCACTGATTTGCTTTCTCTCACTTGAGATTAGTTTGCATAGTCTAGAATTTTATATAATTTGAATCATACATTATGCACTTTTTTTCTGGCTTCTTTCACTCAGCATAATTATTTTAAGATTTATCTATGTCATTGCTGAACTACTTATTCTTGAGGAAAGATAAGCTGATGGTTAAGAACAAAGGGTTATGACTCCTGGGTTTTTGGGTCATTAATAGACACTCTTTTGATGATTTTACTTCTTGGATGGATGCCTCACTTAGCTGTTCCTTCCCCTGCCCCCACAATCAATTTTCCTTATCACAGTCTTTAATACCTGGCCAGTGAACTACCTCAGTGGTCTTCTAATAGGAGACTTCTGTCTCTAATTTCTACTCCCCTTAACTTATAAAACTTCATTCCCTTTTTTTTCTCTCAAACAGAATATTAAAGAGCTAATCTGTGGGATACCAGTTTGGGAAATGGTGCCCTGACATAGCTATTTTGTTTTTAAAACTCTGCATTTCAGACTTAATCCATGTGCAGTATACACACACACACAGAGAAATGAATCTTGAGACATCATCTCTAATCAGCACAGCTTACCTGGTTTTTGCCTACTTTGGTGCTAAGAATCTTTCCTGGAATTATATCTAGTTAAGGTATCCATATTTAATAATAGGAAGAATTCTTTAACCAGGCACTTTGAAGACCATAAAAAATAGTTAACGATAATTAAACCCACACATTATTATGAGAAGTATGTAGATTTTACTACATTGTTAGCCTAGACATACTTCTATACAGCAATGACATATGGTTTTGAAGTGGAATTCTTGAATAAATCTCAAGTTGCTCCTTTCAAGATAACTGAGAAAATCTTGATTCCTAAGAAAACAGTCCTCTTTATCATCTGTTCCACAGTTTTCTTTCCCATTTATCTTCGTTATATAGGATATGGCTCATTCTTTTCTCTTCCCACACAGTCTTCTGTGGGGTTGGTCATTTCTTTATTTTAATGCTTATATCACTTTTCTTCAGTCAGTTATTGGTATTTGTATCTGCAAATGCTCCAAGTTCATTTTAAGCATCAAATATAATTAATATTGCTGAGGATGTTTTGCTCTTCTCCTGGCAACTTGTTACCTGGAATGCTCTCTTCTGTTTGTGATAGGCATTGGTTGTCTTGCCTACCCAGTATCCTCTTCATTTGGTAATAGTACTGTGTTCTTTTTTGGTGTGGGAGGACGCTATGTCCCCTCTTTAATGTGTTTAGTTAACGTAGCAAGATTTCTGAGAGGGGGCGAATGGTGAACCTAGGGAGGCCTAACCTTAGGTCCCTGTGTTCTCAATGGTATATATATCTTTTTTATCAGCAGGGAGATACCAGGGTTCGTCATGGGCAGCAATGACTACGATGGACAAGAAGATAGAGGCCCTAATCCTAATTTTCTGAGCACCATGGAAGCCCCCTGGATTCTAGGGAGACCTTGAGGAGAAAGAAGACTCCTGTAAATGCCTGACATTGAAATTCCTGCAAGTCTAGGAGCATGTGAACTCAAAATGGAAATTAATTTGATTTAATAAAAATAAAGAAGAAGAATTGTTTTGGCATATCCCAGTTTGTAGACTGAGATTCATAATGGTTGTAGGCACTTAAAAATTATCATCCGTAGATTAATGAGTTTATTGAGTGCCATCTCTACTCCGAACATTATTAGCAAGACTTTTTGTGGGTAAAGCAAAGACATATGGCCCTGCCTCAGTCTTCTGAGAACACGTAGCCTGCTTGGAGACAGAATATTCAAATAGGTAGGAGGAGGTTAATTTCTTACAAGGGGTAATCCATCAGGGTCTGATAGCAACTTAAGAGCTACCACCTGCGGGCGCCTATAATCCCAGCTACTCGGGAGGCTGAGGCAGGAGAATGGCATGAACTCGGAAGGCGGAGGTTGCAGTGAGCCAAGATCGTGCCACTGCACTTCAGCCTGAGGGACAAAGCGAGACTCCATCTCCAAAAAAAAAAAAAAAAAAAAAAAAAGGAAAGAAAAAAAGAAAAACAAACAAACGACAAAAGCGAGCTACTACCTGTACCTAATTGGTAAATGAATGGCCTGGTCAATGAGCAGTGAGTTCAGCTGCTATCATATTAAAGGGAATTGAGAGAAAAAAGAAAAACAGTAAGAATTTAATGTCTTTTGTTTTACTAAGAGTGAGTTTGCAGGGCTGAATTTTTTTAAATTTTTTTATTTTTTATTTTTGAGATGGAGTCTCGTTCTGTCGCCCAGGCTGGAGTGCAGTGGCACGATCTCGGCTCACTGCAAGCTCCGCCTCCCGGGTTCACGCCATTCTCCTGCCTCAGCCTCCCGAGTAGTTGGGACTACAGGCGCCCGCCACCACGCCCGGATAATTTTTTTTGTATTTTTAGTAGAGACGGGGTTTCACCGTGTTAGCCAGGATGGTCTCAATCTCCTGACCTCGTGATCCGCCTGCCTCGGCCTCCCAAAGTGCTGGGATTACAGGCTGAGTCACCGGCTGATTGTTTTAAGGAAAGGAGCAGTTTATTTCTGCAGCTCACCACTTCCCAGGGAGCCCATGCTTTGTGAGCCTGTGGTCTCAAGAGTTCCCCATCCAGAGTGGGGAGTCAGGCCACTGGAACAGCCTGCAGAAATCAAGCAGGTGGGTAACGTGCTCAAAGATGTTTTGTGCTTGCCTTTTCCTCGTCTTCCCAAATATGCAGCACTTGTCCAGGTCAATGTCAGAGGAGCTTATGTTCCTGTTAAGCAATAAGACCCAGTAGGCAGAGAATTGCTGTGGAATTAGGGGAATTCAGAGTGACTTTGTATGTCAGGGACATGAGCCTCTGCTTCCATGCCAGTTTCCAGCACAAGGTTGTTTGAAAGCCTTGCTTAAAAAAAAATCTCGAGGTATGCCCAACTTGGAGCTCTCGGATCTGATGTGGGCAAACTGAAGAGATCAGATCAAGTCCCTTAGTTCCTTAGAGATCTAGGCTGTGAAACTGGGTGACTAGGGAAGGGATTTGAGTCATGATAGTGTGGAGTTAGTCTTAGGGCGTTCTTGGACAAGACATGAGGTCTTTTTGGAGCTTGGTTTTACTGTCTTAGTTTTATGGTAAAATGGCTACAAGAATATGGGCAGAGCTTTAATCAAAACCAAACACAAACATCTAAATATCCTACATTAATACATTAAGGAGTGGTCATTTGCTTTACAATGATAGGATTGCCCCCTTTATAAAAATTCACAGTAATATCCATTTATAGGGCAGTTGAACTTTCATTTGAAAATGGAATTTGGTTTGCAGAATGTGATTGTGTTTTCAGCTTTTAAGGAAAATATCAGTTGTAAAAAGGGAGTTCTGCATGTCTTCTTGCTCTGTTCCCCTTTCATCCCTCCATGCACTCCTCCTTCTCATGAAAACTGTGAAGATAATGTCTACATGGTACTTAACAGATGTTTAAGATCTGAGCTAAAAATCCAAATTGGTGATAAGCTCATCATCAAAGATGTACTGGGGCTCATTCTCCAGTGGCTTCTGGATTGGGAGGGGAGAGACCGGGGATCTGGTCCAAACTTTGCCTCAAAATAGCTGGGTCCCTTTGGGTAAATCTTAGAATTGTAGAACCTTTGATTGGAATAAAATTAGGGATCATCTTATCCAACCTTCTTTTGATGAAAGTATTTCATCTACAGCATCCCCAGCTGAAGAGTATCTAGTCTCTTCACTTTCTGGGCCTAAGTGTGTTCATCCAATGAGAGGAACAGGTCTCCATTTGAATCAGGTCTGAAAATGAGGCTAGGAGAGTCAAGAAACTGGAGGCCAGGACTCTGAAGACTAAATGTAATGATATCAGAGTTTGTCAAGGGGCCAAGCCCTAGGTATAGGGTCTGAGGAAGACTCTCTGGGGAATAAAACACTACACGTACCTTCCCTCTTCACAGGTCCATCCTCCTCTGGTCAATAGATGGGGAAGAGTTCTGAGACTTTTAGACACTTAACAGTTTGACCTGAAGCTGCTTACAGATCTACCTCAGCATTTCTAAAGAAAGACAAAGTCAGGATGTCAAGTGAGCTCTCTTCATATTTGAGCTAAACATTATTCCAAGGTTGTGCAGCCTCAGCTGGCCTCTTGCCCTTTGCTTCACATCCTACCTCCTCCTTCCACCCTCCCACCCCCACTTCCAGCTTTTTTACAGCATGCAAACTGCAAACCTCAAGGGCATGCAGTTGAGTCTGGCTGAAATCTGCTGAGTATTTGCAGGGTTTATCTGAGGAAGAACCTTTGGGTCATTGTCATGGCAATTTTGATAATCCTGACGACATACAGATGTGACTGTTCAGGGCAATCTGAGAATGCCTCCCACTTTCTAGCCTCAGCATTGCCTGGGGCAAATGGAGCTTGCTTACTTGCTTACTCTTTTTTTTTTTTTGTATTCTTGTGCAAATAAAATAAAAAAAGAGTTCACAAAATTTCAGTTATAAAAATCCTGTGCCAAAAAAGTTTTATCAAAAACTTCATCTGGAGTTAGAAAAAGATTCTAAGAGGGTTGGATGAGTCACCAACAGGACTGGACCAATAGTCCATTTCTGCATATTGCTTATTTGTTCTCCGTTAACATGTCTACTCACCCTTTCCAATACCACCAACCCTCCCTACTCCATTCGGATCCAGAAAATGAACTCAAGGCTAGGGATCTTTTTCAGTCATCTCTTGATGCCTCCAGTACCCAGCACCGTGCCTAGGAATTCAGTAATGTTTGATGGATAAATGATGAGGTGGGCATAAGATAGCAGAGAGATTTGCAAGGTGACTCCTGATAAACAGAGATTGAATGAAGGTAGGGATTGGTGGTGTGAAGAGACAGGGGCTTCTAGGCTTTGAGTGTTAGCCAAAGCTCTTGAGCATGGAATTGATGCCATAAAGATCAATTCCAATAAAAATATACCTGATGTCAAAATGTGTGGAGAACTAGACTTGGAGAGAGCTTAGAGGCAGGGAGACCAGCAAAGAGTATCAACCTGTTTTCTTGAAAAAGTACAGAATGGAGAAGAAAGTGCTAGGGGAGCCTAAAAGAGACGTGTTATTGCAGGTCCATTTATCTGCCCAGGAGCACAGCCAGGAAAGATTCAAATGCCTAAAGAGTTGGGCACCAACTTGTACATGAATGTTCACGGGAGCATTATTTATAATAGCTAAAAGTAGAAACAACCCAAATGTCTATCAGATGACAAATGGATGAACAGTATGTAGTATATTCATGTAATGGAACATCATTTTTCAATAAAAAGGAATGAAGTACTGATACATGCTCCAGAATAGATGAACCTTTAAAACATTATGCTAAACGAGAGAAGCTAGTTGCAAAAGGACATATGTTGAATTTTTATATTTTTGTGAAATGTTCAGAATAGGCAAATCCATAGAGACAAAAAGTAGGTTAGTAGTTGTCAGGGGCTGGGGGAGGGAGAAATGGGTAGTGATTGCCTATGTGTGTGGGGTTTCTTTTTAGGGTGATGAAAATGTTCTAAAATTACATATTGGTAATGGTCGTAGAACTCTGTGAATATACTAAAACCCACCAAATTATACATTTTAAAAGGGTGAATTGTATGATGTGTGAATTAGGTCTCAATAAAGCTGTTATTAAAAAAGAGTAGGGCTGGGCTGGGGCCATGACCACCGTCTTCACGGACATCAAGGAGTCCAGCACCATGCTGTTGAAGATATCCTGAAATGGCTGCCTGATTAGCAACGGCTGTACAAGGGTGACCAGCTCCTGGTGATGGCAAGACGATGCATGAGTTTGGCTTCCCCAGCCACAGGCCACAGCTGCAGTGGGGCTGGATTTCTGGGTCGGGTCAGAGACACCTATGAGGCCCTGCACATCGAGCCCTTCTTCAGCCCACCCATGCTGCCTGATGTGATGAATCCCCAGGACTCAGGAAGCAGCACCAATAAATAAGCCTTCCAGTGAGGAAGGCTTATTTGACCTACCCCAGAGAGGCCTCAATAAAAGATAATTGGGTATCTAAAAAAATAAGTAAATAAATAAAAGAGCCATCCATCTGACCTAAGAGTTTAAGTTTCTTGGGCTTTGGAGAAGAGTCAGCAGGGATCACAAAGAATAAGAATGAGCCATCAGACCCTTGAAGCAGGTTGTTCATGTTAGTAAGCAGTGTGTGTGTGTGTGTGTGTGTGTGTGCAAACTAATTCACAAGTCCACAAGTGGCTGTCTCGTTTTCCTTTCCATTTATTCCAAATGTGAGCTAGTCCAAACCCAGCTTGGGCAGGGTCCACTTGATTCTGCAGAGTGCTCCACAACTTGCCCTAGCTTCTGCTAGCTGCCTGCCAGTAAAGAAACCTGAGGGATACCCTGGGCTCTTGTTCCATATGGTGCAGGAATCTTTAAGAAGCATCTGCTCCTCATTATAGCCCCTTGTTATCTAGGACTCACTCTCTGCTGGAGGACAATTTTGAGTGACAGACACTGTTTTGTCTTCAAAATGGCCTTTCTATTAGGTCCTAACCCATGGTCTTTAAGTCAAGCTGTGAGCCATGATGCCATTAAAATGAGAGGCTTCCTTGGAAGCTGCCAGTGCTGTGCTGGTAAACCAGCTCTCTGGAAAAGAGGTTAAGTAATTAGGAAATGGCAGAGCCAGACAGGACTGGAGCCTCTGTCTCTCAGACTCCAAAGCAGATGCTTTTAATCACTGGACTGCTCATAAGACACATTAGTTCATAAGTTCCCTTACTGAAAGGTCTTCAGAAAGGAAATTGCTCAAGCCGTGAGACACCTTGGACTAAATTAAGCTGAGAAAGTGGATGTCATTCTAAAACTATGGCTGATCTCAAGCTACTCATGTGATGTCATTGAATATAGAGTGTGGATGAGAGGAGCATGGTTGGCTCTTGAGAAGTGGAATGAGCCTTCTCCAGCACATTACTGCTCTTGGCACAGCCTGGCGGCTCTTTTACCAGCTCTTCAGATACATTCAGATGGATTTATCCATGGGTATTCTGAACACATGAAAGGTTTCCATTTTTTTTTCTTGTTGCTTATTTGACACTTGTGCAGGCACACAGAACAGGGATACATTATTAATGAGGAAATAATGTACAGGTTTTGATGTAAACCAGTCCTACAGCAAGCTACTGACAGAGATGGGGATTACATTCCAGATTTCTGATGGACACCATTTGTTTGTTATCCTGTAAAGTTTTGAAAGCATATGACTATGTAGAGTAGATCCATATAAGTTTATATGGAACATAAATGAAAAGAGTGGACTTATTTTTACATCTTCTACCAGGTTCCTGTTCTTCAATGTGGTGGAGAGACCTGAATTTGGGCATGCCATCAACTACTTTTCTTTGTGTTTTTTTTGTTCTAAATTAAAAACTCAAGGAAAAACTATCATCACAATCTAATTTTAGAACAATTTTAAGAACCTCTAGAAGAAACTGTGTACGTTAGCACTTACTCTTTCTTCTTGCTCCCTTCTCTCATTCTCCTGATCCATCCCCAGGCACTACACTACTTTCTGTTTTTATGGATTTGCTTATTCTGTACATTTCATATACATGGAATCATACAGTATGTGTATTTTTGTGTGTGTCTGGCTTTTCTTCACATAGCATACTATTTTCAAGTTTCCTCCATGTCATAGCAAGTGGCAGTACTTTATTCTTTTGTATTGTCAGATTATATTATGTTTAATGGATATACCTTATTTTGTTTATCCATTCGTCGTTCAGTTGACATTTGGGTTGTTTTCACTTTTTGACTATTACAAGTAATGCTGCTATGAACATTTGTATACAAATTTTTAGGTGAATGTAAGTTTTTATTTCTCTTGAGTGTATATCTAGGAGTGGAATTGCTATGGTAACTCTGTTCTTAACTGTTTGAGGAACTGTCCAACCGTTTTCCAATATGGTTGTACCATTTTACAGTCCACCAGTCATTTATGAAGGTTCCAATTTCTCCACATCCTCAGCATCACTTCTTGTTGGCTCTCCTTTTGATTATAACCATCCTATTGGGTGTGAAGTGACATCTCATTGTGGCTTTGATTTGCCTTTCACTAATGATTAATAATATTGAACATCTTTTTATGTGCTTATTGGCCATTTATATGTCTTCTTTGGATAAATTTCTATTCAAATCCTTTGCCCATTTTTTTTTCTTTGAGACAGGGTCTCACTATGCCACCCAGGCTGGAGTGCAATGGTGTAATCATGGCTCACTGCAGCCTCAACCTTTCAGGCTCAAGTGGTCTTCCCCACCTCAGCCTACCAAGTAGCTGGGAACACAGGCTTACGCCACCATGCCCAGTTGATGTTTTAAATTATTTTTGTCGACATGGGGTTTCACTATGTTGCCCAGGCTGGCCTCCTCAAACTCCTAAGTTCAAGCCATCCACCTCAGCCTCCTAAAGTCTGGGATTATAGGTGAGAACCCCGTGCCTGGCCCCCTTTGCCCATTTTTTTTATTTTTTTGAGACGGAGTCTCACTCTGTCGCCCAGGCTGCAGTGCAGTGGTGCAGTCTCGGTTCACTGCAAGCTGTGCCTCCGGGGTTCACGCCATTCTCCTGCCTCAGCCTCCCTGAGTAGCTGGGACTACAGGCGCCTGCCACCATGCCCAGCTAATTTTTTTTTTTTTTTTTGTATTTTTAGTGTAGACGGGATTTCTCCGTGTTAGCCAGGATAGTCTCGATCTCCTGACCTCGTGATCCACCCGCCTCGGCCTCCCAAAGTGCTGGGTTTACAGGCGTGAGCCACTGCGCCCGGCCTCGCTTTGCCCATTTTTAATTGAATTGTTTTTCTGTTTGTTGGGGAGTTGTAAGTGTTCTTTGTATATTGTAGGTACAAGTATCTTGTCAGATATAAAATCTGCAAATATTTTTTTCCCATGCTATAAGTTGTCTTTCCACTTTCTTGATTATACCATTTGGTGCACAAAAGTTTTTAATTTTGCTGAAGTCCAATTTATCTATATTTTGTTGCTTGTACTTTTGGTGTCATATCTGAGAAACCATTGCCTAACCTAAAGTTACAAAGATTGCTCATTTTTTTTCTAGAGACAGGGTCTTGCTCTGTCACCCAGGCTGGAGTGCAGTGGCATGGTCATAGCTGACTGCAGCCTCCAGCTCCTAGACTTGAGTGATCCTCTGGCTGCAGCCTCCTGGGTAGCTAGGACCACAAGTGCATGCTACCGTGCCCAGCTCTGAAAGTTACAGAGATTTACTCCTGCGTTTTCTTCTGGTAGCTTTACAATTGTAGTTCCTATATTTAGGTTTATTTTGAGTTAGCTTTTGTGGATGGTATGAGGTAGGAGTCCAATTTTTTATCCAGTTGTCTTAGCACCATGTCTTGAAAGACCATCTTTCCCCCAGTGAATTGTCTTGGCATGCATGTCTAAAATCATTTGTTCATAAATATGTTTGGTTATTTCTAGACTCTCAGTTTTATTCCATTGACCCATACGCCTGTCCTTATGTCAGTACTACACTATCTTGATTTTAAAATTATTTTACCATTAACGGTGTTGGATATTGTCAAATACTTTTTCTGCATCTATTGAGATGATCATTTGGTTTTATACTTTATCATATTAATATGGTGTATTACATCGATTGACTTTGGTATGTTAAACCAACTTTGGGACTCCTTTCTTGCTTTCAAGCCTTTAGGATTTGCTAAGCCCATGAAAAGTTGAAAAAGCCTGGTTGCTGTCTTCTGCTGCTTTTTGAGGTTTTGATTTTGAATTAGGCCTAGCCTAAAGGTAAGAATGTGTAAATATCTTGCCAAACTTAATCCTGAGATTTACTCCCAGAAGGAACTGGGATCTGACAACTATGTATTCTTTAGGGGCAACAAAATGAATGGTCATCTTGTCCAAGGGATCAGGAGTAGAGGTAGCAGAGCTAGATCTGGTATATAGTGAAAGGTGTTGGAGCTGGGAAATTATAAATGGTCTGAACATGGTTGGGAGTCACAGGTGTGTAAAGCTGTGCCTTGGGCAGGGGCCAGAGTGGAGGGAAGAATGGGCAGAATGGAACAGGAGACACTTGATAAAGTCAGAAAAAGAAAATCTGGAACCATATTGTTTTAGAGCTTTTATACCACTCACCTGGGATTGATTGTCTCTGTTAGGCTTTTAATATATTGTCGCCCCAGTCTCTTCTGTAGGGTGACACTGGACTTGTCTCAATATCTGCTCCCAGCAACTGTGGCTTTATCAGTCTGTGCATATTCCCTACATCTGTCTTTGGCTACTGGGTTGGTTTGTGGCTCAGTCAATGACTGGGAAGTTAGAGGCTCCTTCCTCCAAGGCCCCAGACTATTGATGATCAGACCCCTCTAGGTCCCAGGAGTTGGTCCTTTTACCTGATGCTCAACATGACTGTGGGTGGATTTAAAATGGCATCCACTTTCTTGGCTTAATTTTGTCTCAGATTCATCTTGGCCTGGGTCATTTACTTTCTGAAGGATGTACAGCTGGGGGTCTTGCAAAATAATGTGAGTATTTCATGGGTGAGTTGGCAGTCCAGTGACTGAGACTACCAACTTTGGAAACCAAGAGACAGGAACCCTGCCATTTTCTATTTAACCTCCTCTACATCTCAGTTTCCTTATCTGCAAAATGGACATCCTATGAGTATCTACCTCACAGATTTTATTCAAGATGTACATGGAGTTCAAAAACAGTGCCTGGCCTGTGAGTGTTCAATAGCAGCTGTTGCTATAACTAATGATGGTGGTGGTACAAGTGATCTGGCCCCTCACTCTCCCCTGATGATTATCTGACATAAGCCCAGTTTACTTTGGAGAGTAGAGTGAATGGCTTTCTGGCATGCACATAAAAGTGGGAAAACAAGAAAAGAATGGAAAAATTTGTTGACAAGTTTGTGTGGCTGTGCATAGAAAATAAGCTTGCATTTGCATTTGATTTAGTTTCTCCAGTCAAGAAAATGCTAATGAGTATAAATAAATGGTGGTGCTTAATCCTGTAACTTAAGAGGGAAAAGAAGTCATTAACAAGTTTATTATTATTATTAATACTTACAGTAATCAGGCTCATTTGTAGAGGCTGATTAAAAGTAAATGTCCACATGAAAAAATACTGGATTTAAATTAATGAAAGCCAGAGCCCCAAATATTTAAGATAATCATTTGTGGTACCAAAATAAGATTAAAGTGATTAAGTTATTGGCAATATTTAAACAGGAACATGTGTATGTTTTATCTTTGTCCCTCTAAATAAGAATGGGGAGTAGGGATTTCCAAGTCTGATTCCTCAATAAACACTTTTCAGTTTTGTTACTCAGATATTAGTAGTTTCATTCAACAACTTTTGTCCCTTCTCTGATGGTCCCATGGATTTTTACACATTCTAGCAAGACCTTATAGAAATGTTTCAAATGAAGACTCCTTTGAAGTAGCTTATCATGAGTCATTCTTTGTTAGCTTATAGTTATACTGAAATTAAGCACTTAATATCAACTTATACAAGACATGGCAGGTCCTGGCAGGTCATGAGGGCTCTTGGAAGAAGTATATTGTCTAATTTTTTGCCATTCTGCCATTTAGTCACCTGCTAAGACATCAAACCTCTTAGTGATGGCATACCCTGTTTTAAGACATATATATTTTCCAAAAAAGGAAATGTTTTCAAGTTAAATCTTACTTTAAATGGTATAGGGTAATTCTTCCCTTAACTTCATTGTCTGGTGAATCTTTTGGAAAGAGCTGCGAAGGGTTCCTATTTCTTATGCCGTCAGTGTTCCTTTTCCTGCCTCTTCCCTTTCTGCCTGGGAAGGTGCTCAGGTGATTGCAGCATCCTAACATCCCTCCCTTGACAAAGGGGTTCTCTTTTTTCCTTCCCTCATACTGCCAGACCTCTCAAAAGAGTAGCTTGTTCCTGCTGCTTTCATTCCATCTTACTTCATAGCAAAGACTTGGAACCAATCCAAATGTCCATCAATGATAGACCGGATTAAGAAAATGTGGCACATATACACTTCATTTACTCTTTATTCTTTAACTCCTCACCAAATGTGCTCTTGAAGAGATCAATGAAGTCCTCTGCTCAAGCCACTTCTCTTTGGTCATTTTGTCCTGCTCACTACCCATTTCCTTCTTGAAATACTTTGTTCTTTTGGACTGAATACTGCCCTCTCCTGTGATCCTCATGTGAGAGGTGCCCTCCCTATACATGGAGGAAAGAAGCACACTTATCCCTGAAGACAACACAGGGATGCTAAGAGAAATCTGATAAAACAAACCTCTCTGTTTCCTCCAGTTTATTACACTTAGCTCATACTCCCTTTGTCTTATTTCATTTCTTCACAGCTTTCCACTCTTCATCAAACTTAGTATAAAAACACTCAGTTTTGACCTCTTCTTCAGGTCTTCATTTTCTAATAAAAGCTCCTGTGTCACATAGACCTATGATAAATAAATTAGTATATTTTTCTTTTGTTAATCTGTCTTTTGTTACAAGGGCTCTGGGCAATGAACCTACAATGGGCAGAAGGAAAAAATCATTTTCCTCCTCTACAAAGGAAAAAAGCAGAATATGAGGTTGAAAATGTAGATTGGGCCCAGATCCTCCAGATATGCCCAGATATACCTGTACCACAGTGGAAAGAGCAGATTAAGCTCCTTCCAGCGTGCCTACATAAAACGGTGCTGATAAAAATCCTACCTCTACTGCTGATACAAACATTAGACGAGGTAATACACACAAAGCAGCTAGCATAGTGTCTGGCACATGAAAAGTGTTCAATGAACGTTTGTGGTAAACTCTGAATAGAGTGCGTTAAAACGAGGACAGTCACGTGATCACGACTATGCCTCCAAAGTACTTAATTGATGGCAGTGGAGGCAGGAGGCAGTAAGACTAGATGCTACAGGAGACTGTGGTGAGGGGCCTGGGTAAAGAAAGTAATGCAAGAGAGACAATGAGTAAGACTTGGCACTGGGTTGGAAATAAGGACAAAGGAGAAGGGGTCAAAGGTGACAATAAGGTTTCAAGTTTGGTGACTGGCAAGAAGATAGTATCATTAGCAAACATAGAGAACACGTGACTTCAGTGTTGGTTGTACCAAATCTGAGATTGTCCTGGAAACTTTAAGAAGAGATATCTTGCATGCAGTTAGAAAATCAATCTAGCGCTTGTGAAAGAATTCTGGACTATAAATAAAGATGTGAAATGAAACCACTCTCTCTTCACACATGTTCTATGTTCTCCTGCTTTGTACTTTTGTTGGTTCTGTTTCCCCACTTAGAATGCCCTTCCTTCCTTTCTCTACATATATAAAATCTGGCCATCCTTCTGGGCAATCTATTTTAGGAAGCGTTCCTTAACCCTCACTATTTAAAAGCTGTCTCTTTTTCTTCCAAATGGTCATAGGGCTTTATCTCTGCTCTTCTTAGCAGACATAATTATCTACTTGCATTAAAAATACCAGGATTCTACGCATATATATTCTCCCCTGCTAGGCTGTAAGCCCATGGAGAACAGAGTTCCATATTTTCCATCTTGATATCATCCTGCAATAGTGGGCACACTGCCTTGCATGTAGTAGGAATTCAGTAACTATTTGTAGTATGAATGAATGAATGAGGAAATGGCATGAACTAAGTAGGAGACTGAGTTGTAGGGCAGTCTTCCAAATTTATTAAGTCACCAAAATTTATCTTTGGATATCTAGGTGCTCCTTGCTGGGCCCATTATCCTTTTTCACAATGTTTCCTTGCCATTCTTTACTTTAAGCACCTAGGACCCTCCTACTCTCCCCATTTCTACCAACTTTGTGACCCAAGGCAAGTCACATAAACTCTCTCAGCCTCATCTCCCCAGATGTAAAATAAGCATGATGTCAATATGTCCTGGGTTGGTGTGAGGATTAAACATATGAATCCTACATAAGTAGTTGTGTAACGTGTCTAGAAAGCACTAAGCATGTAGTCCACATTCAGTGATTGTTGTTTATTTCCTCTCAATTTTTTCCCCTAAAAAAGTTGCATTCACAAAAAGGTTTAAAGACTAATAAAGATGCTTAATGAGTTACCATTCTTTGGAGTATTTGCATTTTAGTTTAGTTAATTAGCTCATTCATTTCTTTATTCCATATTAATGGGTTTTTTTGTGGGCCTCTGTGTATTTCAGAGACTGTGTTAGCTTTAACAATTAAAAATTAAATAGCGAAATATTTGGTGTCAGATGTTACTTAAATTTTACCTAGTAGTTTGAATCCAAGCACACAGACCTAGAAGGATATTTGAGTTGTTTTAGTAGTACGTTATACCTCACAGTATTAGGGTATCTTTCCTTTTTGAAAATTTCACTATTGATGGAATTCCTAACTTGAGAACTTTATTATCTCTGAAGGCAAGGATAGAAGGAGAAGAAAGTAATGCAAGAGAGACAATGACTAAGACGTGGCACTGGGTTGGAAATAAGTGGCAGCACACTAAACACCATAGTCTTTCCAAATGTTGCTGTTTTGTCTTAACAGGGCTCTGTTTTTGTAATGAAACTATTTGACGGAGGTACATTTGGCATACTTCTCTAAGGATCCTGGACCTCATGATAAAATGATTCTGAATATCCTGTGCTGAGAGGCACTGTGAGCAGCCAGTGATTTCCTTGGTACTGCTTTAGCCATAACAGAGATAGGCCTATATGCAGAGCTAGGGGAATTCAGGAGACAAGACATCGAAGGACTGGGGTTGCAGGAGGGTGTTGGTGATTAGAGCAGGGACGCAGCCCTTTTGGATTCCTTAGCACTTTTTATACATCCAAAGGGCTAAAACATTCTCCCAATGTCTGTATAAAAAATTATGGCATAATTTCTACTCACATTACAGGTGGGGAACTGAGAAGCATAGAGAGATTCAAGGCATGTTTTATCTGACTCCACCGTACCTGTTCCTTTTTATCTTCAGTCCCTTAGTATCACCGACTGTAGCCATCACACCACCTTTTTTGTTATTCCCTAATTGTACCATGTTTCTCTCCCAGCTTTCCTGTAGAAGAGGGAGGTATACTGATCCCAATTTACAGATGAGAAGACTGCAGCTCAGAGAGCTTAAGCAACTTGGACTAGCTCACCTGGTTTGTCATGGCAAGTCTGGGACAGAATTTCGGCCTACTGACTGCTAATCCATTTCACTTAACCTCCCTCCTTTCAGACCTTAGGAAAGCAGAGGTCCTAGGAGGACCCCTCAGTGCATATTGAATCTCTGCACCAACGACAGCAGACACAGCAGATGGAAGAAGGAAGGATGCACTACCTATAAGGCTCTACTTATTCCTTGCCCAAGGATTCTCCTCTTGGCAACTTAACCACTTTCTAGAGTCAGCATTTAGTGATGGTTGTAAAAACACAAGCAATTTAGCACACAACACTCTGAACTGTAAACTTGGTAAATAGGATCGGGGGAAGATTTAAGTGGAAAGGACAAGTGCTATAAAGACTTAACAGGAATTCGTTAGGCTTCACAGATAAAGCAGATAAAAGATCCATAACCACAGGCAGGAAGTGAAACGAAAATCCTAAATCGTTAAGATGCAATGAGGTCCCGCCACAATTCATTAATCAGATCATCCTCAGGGGCACTGGCTCAAGAATTCAAAGGAACCCAGAGCAGGAAGGCTTCGATGGCCGCCATTTTAGATGAGAGCAAGGTCTTCCTGGCAGGCGTGGATGTGTCGTCATCTCAATACTACCATTTCTCCTTTGACCAATTCTTTCTGTTTCTATATGGCAGTATTATTTGCTGTCTTGCTGTCATTTATACTTTGCTCCTTTTCTTTCTCCTCTCTGCTTCTCCACTTTCCTCTCTTAAAAAAAATCCTGTTCTTTTTCTTCTCCACCTTACTCTGCGTTTACCATCTCTCTCTCACCTTCTCTCCACATATTTCAATTTCCCACCCTCGTCAGACTCTCCTTGGACCTGCTTTCCTCTCTTCTTCACCCTCATTTCCTACTGCCTCGCATATTCTCCCTGTAGGATGCAGCACTTTCTCCGGCCTGCTGTGTGCAAGCTGTGTGTGGGGGCGAATTCACTCAACACTCTTCTTTGTCTTTCTCACATTTCTTTTAGCATTTTTGTATGACTGAGAGAAGCAGAGGGGTAGAGCATAAAATAACCAGTTAATTTGGTCCTAAATTGTTTTCTTTTATCATTAAATTAGATGTCCTCAGATTTCTTTGTAAAATCCAAACATAAGTAGGCTGAAAACTGTATCACTGTTCCTTTGGAAATTTAAAGGGATGCAGTTGAAGAGAATATTAACTATTATGAAATGTATTTTTCTCCTCACAGATTTTCTGGAAAAAAAATACTGGTATGACTTTTCACTCTCCTATTCTCTGTCCTTCTCCTAGAAGGGATGTAAAATATTTTCAAGAATTGAGCAATACTTTATTGCAATTTTTGTACAGTTTTCAAAGTAATTGCCTGTAAGTGGAAAGGAAGAACTAAAGAACTTAGGAGCAATGCAGTGCCACTTTTAATAAATCAAAAGGGAGGGAGAGTGGGTATTGTTAAGTGACAGAAGGGAAACTGCTCAGAGAACAAACTGTCTATCTCTCTCTCTCTCTCTCTCTGTGTGTGTGTGTGGTTATTGTTGTTTCTGCAGCATCTTGAAGATCCATTCTAGTCTCATGAGTTTTCTACAATTGCTGGCAAGATTGTAGTAGGACGAATATCTGTGCTCCCTTTCATAGTAAAGTTCTGGATGAACCCAGCACACGTTTGGCTGCAGTAAAAAAGCAATTTTTCATACACCAGGGGGCTGCAATTTGAGTATTGTAATGATTAGTGATTTCCTTCAGTTGCAGTTGACCCCCTGCTCATTTTTATATAGTAAATGTAAAAAGGAAAGGGAAAAACTTGACAGTGCTGGTTGATTGAAATTCCAAGAGGAACTTTCATGCAGATAAAACATTGAGAAAAGCCAGGGTGCTGGGAACTTCAGAATGAAAAAAGTGAGAAATAGAGAAAGAAAAAAATATCGTTGAAAGTTCCCTGAAGTCTTTCTGATTGCAAATAAAGTGTATGTACGCTTTAGGCTGTTTGATGTGCTATCTCCATATTTAATGGCTTTTCATCTTCTCTCTAGTATCATGTTCTCTCTTTTCTTACTTCCTTTCCCTTTTATTTTCCCCACCTGCCTATCTTTCTCCTTCTCCTTTCTTTTCTTTTCCTCTTTCCTTTTTCTCCAGAAAAAAGGCTATAAAATGTCTCTCGAAGAGGCAGACTCTATAATGGTGCCTGGTTGTCATGGAAACACACAGATTGCAAGACCTTGAGTCCTGCCACCATGATCTAGGATGAGACCCTCATTGGGTCAGAGGCTAAGGCTGTCCCTAGAATTTCTGGATAAGGGAAACCAGGAAATATAATGTCATTTGAAATATAAGTCGGTGCCCACAGATAAAAGCTAGGAAAAGTGGCATCTAAATAGTTGTTTCTTTGTTTCGCACTCTTCATAATTACATTTGCTGTTAAGAATATAGATGAATGTGGCTGTCAGTGTGACTGAAAAATAAGCATAATTGCAGTATTTTCTTATTCTTTATTTGTAAAATGATATGGTTTATGTCTTTGAGGAAGGGTCGCAGTTTGAAGATATTTTGCCAACTCTCTCATATCAAACCTGGTGCAAAGAATTGCTTTTTCAATAGAATAAGAATGTTTGGTGATTTTATATATGCCATCATCATCTTTCTTCTCCTAAATCAGTAACATCACACTTTGCAAAGTATATCAGATTTTATCGAGATTGTTTCATATAAGCCCAGTATTTCAAGCTAGGTAATATGGTGTCACCTCTGTCTCAGACCAGGTCTCTAGAACACTCAGTTTTCCTTTCTCTTCACAGCTCCATATGGCACCAAAGGTCATATCACTCTTAAAGATTAGGTACTGTTATGGATAGAGGCGAAGGCAATGGGCTAATTAGGTGAGGACTGAGCAAGATTCACTAAGACCTGTGACCTCTTTTTAGTTTGGAAAAAATCTCATTTCTCTTTTGATTTATCTCAGAGACACTCCTCTTTTCTTGTTTCACCTCCTCAGCCCCCATACTGATTCTGCTGTTATTCATTTGCAATGGACTCTGATGACCCCAGAAGCCAAAAGCTCAAAACCGTTCAAAAGCCATCCTTTTCCTATGATGGCCAGAGAGTTTGCTCCTTAAATCATCCTAGAAAATAAGGGAAGTAGTTATAGTCCACTCTTTAGAAAAACAATAACAATGAATGCAGTTAAGTTTCCTCTTAAAACAGATGACCAATATTTTGACCATACAATCTATAAAAAATACTCTTTCCTCCAACTAGTTCAGCAAGCAGATTGAGTGATAAACGCATAAATGGTAAGAGATTGGTGAATGCTCCTGTCAGGTGACATATTTTACTCCATAGGATTTTGTGAGGCATGTCTGATTTTGCAGAGCTCTCAGGAGTGGAAGGCAGTCATTGCTCCAGTCTGTGACAGCTCACCAGGGGCTTACTCAAACAATCTTTAGCACAAGCCAGTGCAGGCAAGCCTCAATTGCCCAGATACTCCTTTAGCAGATGCTTCTCTCTACCAGTTATCCCCCTATCAGCTGTGTCAAACCTCAGCTTTATACTGGTTCTTTTCACTTAGCGCATAAAAAACTCAAGACGTCTCTATTCTTAAAAAAAGAAGAAAAGAAAAAAAGAAAGAGGGAAAAGCAAACAAAGTCCAGTCCTTAACATCATGCCTCTCTTATTAACCACTTACTACCTTTCTTTCCCTTAGTAGCCAAAGTTTTTTGTTTGTTTGTTTTTTCCTGCAGCACTTGTTTATTTTTTATTGAGGTAAAATATACATAAAATAAATTTACCATTTAATCATTTTTAAGTGGATAGTTCAGCGTTGTTGTGTATATTTACATTGTTGTGCAATCATCACCACTATTTTCAGAACTCTTTCATGAAATTCCGGCTGGGTGCCATGGCTCACACCTGTAATCCCAGCACTTTGGGAGGCTGAGACGGGTGGATCATGAGGTCAGGAGTTCGAGACCAGCCTGGCCAGTATGGTAAAACCCCGTCTCTACTACAAAAAAAAAAAAAAAAAAAAAAAGAAAGAAAGAAAAAATTAGGCGGGCGTGGTGCGCGTCTGTAATCCCAGCTACTCAGGAGGCTGAGGCAGGAGAATCGCTTGAACCCGGGAGGCAGAGGTTGCAGTGAGCCTAGATCGTGCCACTGCGCTATAGCCTGGTCCACAGAATAAGACTCTGTTTCAAAAAATAAAAAATAAAATAAAAAAATAATAACTCACCGTTCTCCCTTCCCCACCAGTCCCTGGCAACCACCATTCTACCTTCTATCTCTATGCTTCTGACTAACTCTCACTACTCTAGGTTCCTGATGCAAGTGGTGTAATATGATAGTTATTTTTTTGTGTGTCTGGCTTATTTCACTTAGCATAACATCTTCAGGGTTCATCCATGTTAGAGCATGTGTCAGAATTTCCTTCTTTTTTAAGGTTTAGTAATATTCCATTATATGTGTATATCACATTTTGTTCATCTGTTCATCTGTTGATGGACATTTAGGTTGTTTCCTCCTTTGGCTGGTATGTATAATACTGCTATGAACAGTGCTATATCTGTTTGAGTCTCTGCTTTTAGTTCTTTGGGGTATATATTCAGAAATGGAATTGCTAGTACAGCCAAACATTTTACTTTTGTTTTGCTTTTCAAAGTAATCAAATTTCATAGTTTGAAAGTCAAAAAGTTATAGACAGCTTATAACAAAGAACAGCAGTCACCTGTCCTGCCTCTCTTCACCCAGACCGCTTCTTCAAAGTCACCCACTTTAAACTCTTCAGCTGTTTGTTCTGTTTACCATATTTACAAATTTCATATGGATTTGCTGATTTTCCTACATTGGCCATTATACTCACTTCCCATTATAGAAGATAAAGGCTTACTTCTTACATATCATTATGGTGGAGTCTTTGAAAAAGTGGCTACAACAAATTCTCCCATCCCTGTGTGCATACCGCTTTCCAAAGTGCCTTTGTAGCTCCTCCTGTCAAGAGGTAGGATCTGTTTTTCTACCCATACAATCTAGACTGGCCATATGATTTCCTTTGACCAAGAGAATGTTCTGGCAATGACCCTGTGGGACCTCTAAACCTAGACTTGAAGAACCATTTCACCTCTGCTCTTGGAACACTCCTCTGAGGCTGTCATGTAAACAAACCCGATCTGACTGAAGGGTGATAAGATACTTGAAACACAGACAAGGCATCCTAGCTGAGGCTCTTAGGCCTACCAGTAGACAGCCAGCACCAGTCCCAAAACATGAGTGTGAGGTCATCTGGAGTCCCCCAGATAACAGCCATGGGAGCGAAGAACTGTCTGAGCCCAGTCCAAATTGCTAAGCTACAGATTCATAAGCAGACTTCAGTTGTTTTAACTAAGTTTTGGGATGATTTATTACCCAGAAATAGATTTCTGATGTTATTCATTGCTCATGCATATTTCATCACCTTGTATCTTCCTAATATAATTTTATAATGCATTTGATCACATCTATATTCATTATTTTCATAATTAATAATTGTCAACATAACATTGCTCAATGCTGAGCCCAGAGCTATGTTATGAATGACTCAACTTTTGGTTCTTTTTGTTTTGTTATTAAATTTACTTACCTTTCTTCCAGTCTGTTGCTAAGTCTTCCTATATCCTTCAGTAACTATAAAATTATTCTCAATCCAATCTTCCACACTATAAGCCTATCAGAAAATCTATCACTTTTATTTTCTTCTGGAAACCTGTCTCTCAGAGCCTTTTTCTTTTCTGCTTTAATCTGGACTGGCTGCTCTATAAAATGGCTGCCCAGCTGTAGTCATGGGATTTGCTTTCTTATTATAGTGGGAATTCTATTGACCTCCTTTATCCTGTGCCCACTGTTGTGTGGCTCCCATATGTTCCTCTTTCTTTTTGGCAGTAATTATTTTGTTTTGTAGGAACTTATCCTCTAGAAGTTTCCTGAGAAAGAATGCATAAGAAGTATATTTTTTGAGACCTTGCATGTAAGGAAATAACTCTATTTTCACTCTTGATTCACTGTTTGGCTGGGTATAGAATTGTAAGTTAGGCATTTTTTTCTCAGATTACTTTGAAGACATACCTCACTGTCTTCTAATTTTCAGTGTTGCTGTTGAGAAGTCTGATGCCATTCTTATTTCTAGTTCTTTGTATGTTATTTGTTTTTTCTTCTTAGAATCTTTACTTTATACTCAGGATTCTTAAAATTCATAGTCATGTCATGCTGTGAATTTCTTTTTCATCATTATGTTGGGCCTTTGGACTTCTTAATCTGGAAATTTGTTTCCTTCAAAAATACTCTTATATCTTTTTCTTTGACAATTCCCTCAACCATCCTGTATTTTCTCTACTTATTAAGAATTCCTCGTTTTGGATGTTTGACTGCTTAGATCTCCTAGTTTTTATTGATATGTCTTTTTGATATACCTCCTATGAGATATCCTCAACTTTGTCTTTTAATTCTTTCTTTTTCTTTTATTTGAATGCTAGACCCACGTATTCAACTGTTTGCACACCTGCACGAGGTTGTTTTTCCAGACTTTCCTAATTCAACCTGTCCAGGACTAAATTCATATTTGGCGAAAGTCCTTGTTGTCTGTTATCTGGCTGAATGGAACTACCATCTTTCAAGGAAACCCAGCTATCATTGACACCATTCATACTCATAGCCTAATTGAAGTCCTGTTTATTCTGCTTCTTTAATGGTTCTTTAATATTAATTGCTCTTTAACACCCCTAGCTCTGCCCTAGCTCAGGCCATTGCTGTATCATTCCTGCATTATGACAATGCCCTCTCCACTTATATCTCTGATTCCTGGGTGACTCCAATCTAATAAATTTTTATATTGCAACCAAACCTTGAGATTAAATTCAAGCATCATTTTCCCCACTCTTCACTATGCAGGCTCCTGTTCTACATTTTTTCTTACCTCTATTACACTTTTCTTTTGTTTTTTTAATCTTGAGCATTGTCGTTGTCTATTCCCTTGCTTAGCTTCTACCCTAGACCCTGAATGACTTTAGGGCAGGATAATGGTTGTTAGCAAGTTCACAATAAATATTTATTGCAAAAATCTGTACCCCCTGAGGTAGAGCATTTGATTTTTGGATTACTCTTTCTGTTAGAATATTTTCCCTCATAATGAGCTGGAATTTATTGTCTTAGAATTTCTTCTAATTCATTATAATTGTATTCTGTGACTATAAGCCCCAGATTTTCTAGAACATAATATCTGATTTCAAATACTTACTATTTTATAAGCTATCACAGGGTCATGCTGGAACTTCCAGCTCTCCGTATTCAAACCATATATCCTAGGTTAAGTCTTACACTCAGAAGTGGCACAAAAACTATTTGTGTCTTGATTTTTGGTTTGGAAAGTTGGGGAACTGCACAGTAGAGAACCAATCTAATCCCGCCTGTTTAGCACAGATACTGAAGTCAACAATTATGTTCCTTTTTCCCTAGATTGATTTTTTTTTTCCAGGTGAAAGCTCATAGATTGCTCTTGACTTACCTCTGGATCTCTGTGCTCCTATTTAAAGTGTGTGGTGAGCCCAGGTGATGCTACCTGTGCAGAACAGATCAGACAATCTCCTCCCTGCCTCTGGACACTGACCTGCTTTTAACACAGCCCAAGTTTGCTTTTGCTCTCTAGGTACAACCGTATTATATTTATGACTTTTAGGTTTTTCTTTTTTAATCTATGATATCAGGACATATTTTCTACATTGTACACTTGAGCATTGAGTTTATTCCTGTTAAAATGCATCTGGTTGGGCTTGAACCATCATGTAATGTCACATTTTACACTGGATCCCAATTCTACTACCCAGTGTATTATCCTGCCTTCTCAGACTTGTGACAATAAAATAATGTTAGTTTGAGTTATTGGCCTGTGCCCAGTGTGGCTGGAACTTCGAAGGACATTTGTTAAAATAGAATTCTCCCTCTAAGTTGTTTTCCTCTGATGCTGTTTGGCTTGTGAATACCTGTTTATGTGCTTGAATTTCACCCAGTATTATATTTCACAGTAGGAACTTGGGGTGAGAAAAGTATCTTTTGAGCTAACACATAATTAAGGAATATAGTTCTCTAAGAAATAATTTTCCTCCATAATAGAATGGATGCTGTAGTCCTATTCAAATACCTATTCCAATATTTGTTCATAGTTCTTCTGTCATGTAAGCATTTGCAGGTCCATTTTAGTAATAAGACAACTAGTTATAAATCCTCTATCTCTAATCTGAATATTTCTAAAAAACTATAGACTTCAAAGTTCTCAGGGGCAGGGGCACGGATGCTTTTTACTTCTCTATCAGGTTATCCCTTACCTGCCCTACCCCCGCCCCCCGAAAAAAAAACTTCCCTAGATAAGTAAACATTTTTCTCTCTCCTACGTCTATACCTTCTCATATGCTAGCTTTTCTTTCTGGAATGTCTCTCCCTTCCCCATTTGCTGTGGGCTAAAGTTCCTATTCTTTCTCAAGGCCTAACTTAACTTTCACATCCTTTGAGAAGGCTTTCTTCATATTTAGTCAAGCCTCAATTTTTCTTCACCTTGAATTCTTAAGATATTCATTATGTTAACTATTTTTTCTTGAAACTGACTTGAATGGCTGGGCACTGTGGCTCCACCTCTAATCGCAGCATTTTGGGAGGCTGAGGCAAGAGGATTGCCTGGTTCCAAGAGTTTGAGATACTGACTTAAATGTCACATTGTTTTCCTATTTAAAGGATCTGAATATGCTAGTATTATTTCCTGAGATGGATTATAAACTGAAGGTGGGGACCACTTCTCCTTTTTCTATGACTCCCTACTATTCTTTGAAGAGTTTTAGGTACACTATATTAATATAATTGGATTGAAATTTTGGAAAACTTGAGGAAAGGAAATGCATCTAGGAAAGCAAGGCTGAAGGCTCATTACTTTTCTTTAAAAACAAGCACATGGAAAGAATACGCTCTTTGAAATCTTTAGAGGAATATGTCTCAGAGCTGCTGCAATTTTTCACAAAAGCATTCTAAGTCTAATTTGAACATCTGCTATCACAAGAATTTTACATCCCTTCTGTGGGCTCATGGGAAAGGGCCATGAAGGAGAGGCTATGATGGATGGTCCGGGGAGCCTCACCCTAGCCTTGGCACAGGGCAAGGCTATGAAACTGCACTTTTCAAGAACCAGCAGGGAACATTTGGAATTTCTCCTGTTAACACAAGGGACACATAATTTGATTTTTTATGTTTTGTACTTTTTTTTTTGCCAGAAAAAAGGAGAGTCCTTGGATATTTTTGGAGAGTTTTATCACCTCCAACCATTTGGTTTCAAGGTAACAATACATGCTTGTTTCTTCTACCACCCTCATTCATTTTAACTCATCTGGGAGGTCAATGTGGAAGGATTAGGTTTGACTCTGTTTAAAAAGCCCAGTTTATAGTTAGCCTAAGCAGGTCATTTTTACCTCATAGAGCCCTACTTAAGCAATGGAATCAATCACTTTCTTCATTAGATGTTTGACATTTATTAAAATAATATATTGTGGTATGTATTATAATAGAGCCTACTATCCACTATGAGTGATTTACACCTTTTAAATATGTTTTATATATATATTAGGGCTTTTTTATGTAGTGAAGAATTAAATTTACACAATGAGAGGCCTGACCTTTGTCCCTGCCCCTGGAAGATAATCTCTAACCCTTGGACTTTCCAGAATGATAGGAGTGTCTTTGCTATTCATAGCGGATTCCTCAGACTGCACCTGACCTGATAGTGTATGCCAGTGAGATGACTCGGGGGGAGGCTGTCCATGCTAGAAATGCCAAGCATGTGATTAGAGGGTTTGGGCTTTCAGCCACGTGATATCAGCCTTACCTTTTGGGAGGAGAGGGAGGCTGGAGATTGAGTTCATTCGGGAGGGCGCTGATTTAATCAATCGTGCTTGTATAATGAAACAAACAAACAAACAAAAAAAAAACCCAAATACTCTGGACACTGAAGCTTGGGTGCACTTCCCTGCTTGGGAATACTCTGGGTGAGTTGTCACACATCAATGCTAGGAGGGTAACAAGTCCCTGAGGATAGTGGAAACTTTGTGTTTGGAAATCTCCCAGATCTTACTCTGTGCTTCACTCTTTCTTTGGCTGGCTCTAATTTGTATCCTTTTGCTATAATAAAACTGTGATCCAAAGTGTGATATTTTCCTGAATTCTGTGAGCCATTCTAGGAAATTTTTGAACCTAAGGGTGATTGTGGGAATCCCCAATTTTTTAACCAGCTAGTCTGAAGTGTGGGTGGCCCTGGGGACCTCTGAACTTGCAACCGATGTCTGAAGTGGGAGCAGTCTTGTGGGGACTGTATCCAAAGACTGCCTTTTCTCTAACTCACTGTAGTAGTCTATCAAGAAACAGGAAATAGAAAGAAGAAGAAGACAAAAAATATTTATGTTAAACCATGAAACCCAGATAACTAAAGGTAATTTTTTAACCCTATTTCTCCTACAACAAAGCTGGGAAAAGACTGGAGGTTTTTGTTTGTTTGTTTGTTTTTGTTTTTTCTTTTTTTGTCTGTGTTTCCTCTGTTGAACTTAACGCATAAAACTTTTGAGAAAGCCCCCTTATTTTTCTAGGCAGGGGACATAGCCCACAACCTCTAGGTATTTAGGATCAAAAATGTTGGAATCCTGAATGGCTGAAGGTGGTGGTGATGGTGAAATAATTCCAAATCTCTTCTCAAGGTGGAGCTATTTGGGCATCTCTATTTTTTGCAAATGGAGATGCAATGGGAATCACAGGATCCACCTCGTTAATAAGGTAACTGTAAATAGCCAAGAAGACAGGGAAAGCTACTATTTAAAAGCTAAGTGCAGTGGTGAGGGATGGGGTGGGCCAAAATGCTTCCCTAGGGTTCTCTGTTTTGTCTTCTAACCTCTCAGCCCTTGGAGGACCTCTTTCCTTATTTTTCTTCTTCTCATCTTTGCCTTCTCCAACATTGGCCTTTTGCTATTTGCTCTCTCTTCCCTTCCTATCACCTATGCATTCTGATCATTTGTTGATGCTCTATAATGATCCACCCATTGACAGGGATATTTGCATTTTCTTTTTCGTTTCTTTTTTTTTTTTGAGACGGAGTCCCACTCTGTTGCCCAGCCTGGAGTGCAGTGGCGTGATCTCTGCTCACTGCAACCTCCGACTCCTGGTTTCAAATGATTCTCTTGCCTCAGCCTCTTGAGTAGCTGGGGTTACAGAGACCCACCACCACGGCTGGTTTTTGTTTTTTTTTTTTTTTTGTATTTTTAGTAGAGACAAGTTTTCGCCATGTTGGCCAGGCCAGTCTTGAACTCCTGATCTCAGGTGATCTGCCCGCCTCGGCCTCCCAAAGTGCTGGGATTACAGGTGTGAGCCACTACACCCAGCCGATATTTGCATTTTCACAAGGACAAAAGTCTTAAACCTAAAGATCAAGCATAGAAGGTGAAATTTCCAATCTCATTTGCTGTGAAACTGTAGATTCAGTGGTCTGAGAACAGCTCTGTGGAAGTCTCCTGCCCAGGCTGACTTCCACACCTCACTCATCCTAATGCTGTGTTTCAGTGAGGACCTCAGGCTACAGAGGGGCTGTTATTCTTCCTTGAGCTGGCCTGGAAAAGAAAAATTAATGTTGGTAATACTTTAGAGAGAAGAATATAGGAAATTTGTAAGTGATTCATGAATCATGTTGGCTCTCAGCAGCAGCATTTTGAGGTGATTCTGGAGAGCGTGGCCTTGAGTAAGCCCTTCAGAGAAGGTGGCTTGAGGCCACAGCTAAATAAATCGAAATTGAGTGAAATCAAGCTAAAAACAGTGGAAGCCAGCCTTAGAGGCAGCAGTCCTCCTGTGTAAATACACAGAAAGGCCTGTGTCTTTTCCACAAACAACTGTGGAATCTTGGACAAATCACTGTTCCTTTCTAGACCTGGTTTTCTTTGGCAAGTCAGATGTTCTTTAAAGACCCTGTAAGCTCTAACAGTGTCATGATTTTTAGTCCAGGGATGAGCTTAGGAACAAGAGAGAGAACCATCATAGAATAAAAAATTTACATGAGGTAGGCTACTTTGGAAGCCCAAATATAGTGTTTGTGCCCTGAACATTTTATGTACATACTCTTTGCTTTGGGACAAAAGGAGAAGAGCTATCCATGGATCTGAAATCCAGTGCTTTTTGATGGTGGGGCCAGTGGAGAAAGTAGAAAGTGGGAGTGAATGCAATTGGTGAGGAGAAATGGACAATATGAGCCATTCTTCAGCTTTCCTCCTCATTCTATTGCTGCTGCATAGAGAACCTCACCTGTAAAGAGAAGAATATCTGGAATATTTGTCCTTTATTATTTTATGAATGTTTATTATGACAGCACGTTCTAACCAATAAGTTTATGTCCAGGGATGGTCCTCTGAACTGTGAACAAGGTAGTCTTTATCCATCTTTAAAATTCTCTTATCTCTTCTTGTGATCTCTTTCATCATGCATTCTCAGTGCCACCTTGGAAGGAAATGATACCTTCCTAGTTAATGGCAGCAAACTCTAGCTCTTCTGAAGTTGGCCCTATATGGAGGAGAATCTCCTGTGGGGTAGGGCTTCGGGGATTGGACTGCTCATAGATTTATCTTGTTTTTGCGGTTTGTTTCTTGGATGAGACCAACACAAGTGGCCTCACGAGTACACTGATCCAAGTGAGATACAAGTTTCCTTTCCCTTGATTCTCAGTAGTCCAGCTGAACTAAGACTAGACTTTCTCATGAGTAGGACAGGTAGACCTAAGCCCACAAGCAGGATAGTAGTGTGGTGTTCTTCCATCTGATATGTCTTTGCAAGTGATGTATTTGGGGAGCAGAGAGAAATACTCATGATAGTAGCACTTAGCCTTTCCTTGATGATCCCTGAGTAATTTAACCACTAACCCACATCTTCATACCCAATTCAGAAAATCAAAAGTCCAGTGATTAACCAGTTTTACCATTTTTGGAAGACCTGACCCTCAGGGTCTCTCTCAATCTTTCCCTCCCAAATTATTTTCAATCAGTACGCTTTTTCTTTTAGAGGAGCTTCAGTAAATACAATTTACTCCTTGCTGAATTTCTGGCAGTGTTGTAGCCCCTTCAAGAGGGACATTTCAGGCAGTTGCTCAACTGATTTGGTCTCTCACAAGCTGAGGGTCAAGTAACTACCATACAAAGAACACTATGAAATTTTCTTTATAAATAGATCTTTTTTGAGTGCAGACAGTTCCTACCGTATTCTTCAGGTATCTTTGGGAAGAGACCCAGCCTGGTCTCTCTTTATGGGGAGGACATTATCTTTGTACATACCACCTATGGATATCCACCCAGACATCTAGACTCTGATGTCTAGATCTTTCATTTCTGGTTTCTTCTCGTACATTAGCGTATACCTTTATTACTGAACACTAACAATGACCCTTCATGAGGCCGTATCTAGTTACAGGGGAGGCCTTCATAGAAAAATCAGTCTTCATGGAGTAACCATAACAGAATATAATGTATTATAACCCCAATAGTCGTGACACATTTACAGTAATAAGGAGCATTTTTCTACTCATCCCACTCCCAATGACTGCCTCGAGCAGTCAAGATGCCTTCACTGCTGCTGTTCAAAACCTCTTTATTCCTCTTCCTCCATTTATAGCAGAACCCACTCTTTTTTTCAATAAGCTGACTCTTAGAAAAGAACTGATAAGCTAAATTCCAAGAAGGTGCTCCTGGCTAAAAGTAGCATAATAGATAATTTAACTTTGGAGTAACAATGCTTTAAACCCAAATGAGCCAGGCTCTAAAAATGAAGTTTAGTGATTGTTACAGGCCACTAGGAAGATATTTTGTGTCTGAGAGACTTCCCTGGTTCAACTTAAATCACACACAATTAGTAGAAGCTTATTCCAATTATGCCTGCATGATGCCTGCCTTGTGGCTGGTTGCTTGGGCTATTCTTTAATAGAGTGAGGGAGATTTGGAAGAAGTAGGTTCCTACTAGGAAGTCTCTCATTCCACCATTATTGAGCTGCTTACAGTGCTGTGTGTGTGGTGGTGTGTGTTGGGAGGTGGTAGGTGGTGGTTCACTGCAGAGTGCTGGAAGGTATTACAAACCTTAGGGTAAACATGGCAACCCTTTTTGGAGCATAAATCTCTTCTTGAATATGTGGGGAAAATAAGTGCAGTGAGATTATTTATTGAAACCTTAATTTGTATTTTGGTTGAGGGCGTGGAAGCATCAGAAAGAATGAGAACAATTTTTTTTAAAAATTTTCCTGAATTCTGAGAAGGCCATTGTGTTCTTGTTGCAGTAGCAGCTTGAAGATAATTATCTTTCAGGCTTTCTCAAAACTCTAAACTCTTTGAAATTGTGTAAGGGCATGTGTATGTATATGCAGGGATGGAGAGATGTGAAGAAAAGAGTTGGAACTGACAGAGAAAGGAGATTCTGAGAAGCCTGGGAAGGGATGCAGGGCTATGAGGGGCCCGGATGCCCCTATCCCTGATTGGCAACTGAGAACTGCAGAGGGTAGGCTGGCCTTGAGTGCTGGGCTCTAGCCTCAGCAAAAGTCCCAGTGGTAGAGCAGAGGCTTGGCAGGGAATGTGTGGAGCTTCTTCACCCGCTAACTCCAAGGGCCATGCACAGCTGGGCAATGAGCCTAGTAGTGGTAACCAGTACAAACCAAGGACTGAAGGCCCTTCCTCAAATACCCTGTCCCAAATACCCTGAGACTTTGATAGTACTCTGGGAGATATAGATGTGCATATAGAGTTACAGGATTGAATAAGATAATTTCTTGCCAATCTGGCATAGAGAGGAGGGGGCCTACATTAGATTTAGTTTTGCAGAAAAAAAATCTAATGTTTGTGGAAAACTTGGTGTATTGGTTATTTATTGCTGTGTACCCCAAAATTTGGTGTCTTAAAATACCAAACCCTGTAATCCCAGGACTTTGGGAGGCTGAGGTGGGTGGATTGCTCGAGCTCAGGAGTTCAAGACCAGCCTGGGCTACATGGTGAAACCTCGTCTCCACCAGAAAAAAAAAAAAAAAAAAAAAATCAGCCAGGGGTGGTGACATGTGCCTGTAGTCCCAGCTGCTAGGGAGGCTGAGGTGGGAGGATCACTTGAGCCTGGAAGGCGGAGATTGCAGTGAGCTGATATTGCCCCACTGCATTGCAACCTGGCCGACAGAGTAAAATCCTGTCACAAAACAAAACAAAACTGAATGTTTAGTTAGATGTCGCTGGCTCATGGTTTCTCATAAGATTGCAATCAATGTGTCAGCTGGGACTGAAGTCATCTCAAAGTTTGACTGGGGGAAGATCTGTTTCCAAGCTCAGTCATGTATCAGGCCTCAAGTCTTCTCTGGATATTGACTGGAGACCTCATTTCCTTGCTCTGTGGACCTCTCCACAGAGCTATTACTCACAACATAGCAACTTGATTACCTTAGAGAAAAGGCTGAGAGAGGGAGAGAGACAGAGACAGACAGACAGACAGACAGACAGAGACAGAGGGAGAAGAGAGGGGGATAGACTGGGGAAAAGAAAAGGCAAGGTGTGGGGAGAGAGAAAGAGAGACTAATACAGGGGCATAGTCTTTTTGTAACCTAATCTCGAAAATGGCATTCCATGGCTCTGCCACAGTCTATTAATTAGAAGTAAGTTGGTAGGTACAGGTCATATACAAAGACAGGAAATTGTACAAGGGCATGAATACCAGTCTGTAAGGTGAATACCACCATACAGACT
This sequence comes from Homo sapiens, assembly GCF_000001405.40. Classification (NCBI taxonomy): domain Eukaryota; kingdom Metazoa; phylum Chordata; class Mammalia; order Primates; family Hominidae; genus Homo; species Homo sapiens. The sequence continues at coordinate 48,805,816 of NC_000002.12, forward strand.
GCCCACTACACCTGAGTTTGAGAGGGCAATTTTGTTTCCTCTATTCATAAGCAAACATAATTATGTTATGGCATAGAATATGAGATTCTGGGGTTGTTAATTCATGGACTCCTAGTACGAAGCATTTTGGAAGCTTTGTATTCATATGGTTCCTATGCTTAAGGAATTGGCCCAAGTAGGGCTTCCACTCAAAGGACACTGGTTGCTATTTGGGGGCTGTGAAAAGACGGTAGGTAAGTGAGAAGGAAAAGAAAACATGTTTTGCAAAATACTTTGTTTTGCTGAATACAATGCAAGAGAAAAAGGAGGAATAAGGCACGGCCTTGCTCTCAGATGTGACATGGGTAAGTTGGAATCTAGAAGACAGAATAGAAAATAGTGCTGGATTGAATTTAAGCCAATGATCACAATAAATGTTCATACCAAATAGTGATAGATGGGTGAGGCAGGGAGAATGTCAGAGGGCCCCACTTAGTATTAAGAAAAGATTTTGAAGAAAAGGTGAAATGTGACCTGCATTGGAAATTTGGGGATGGAGGTGGGGGCAAACAATGTGGGCAGAGGTTTAGAAAGAGGAAGAATGATGTCTTTGGAAACTGACTTAGTTGGAGGGCAGGTTTATATGGAGTCTGGGTCCTGGATTTTTCATCATTGTTTGTTCCTCATCTTCAGTGTGTGTTTTTGGGGCATCTCCTGCCTGCATAGCTCTGTCCTTGGTGGTGGTGGAGAGCCTGAGAGCCCAGGATGACTCTGGAGAACATGGCCCTTCTTTAGGGAGCTTCCTGGTGGGCTCAAGATTTCTTAATGCCATATCTGATGTCACATTGCTCACCGCTGTGATTCCAGGATGGAAAACTGAATAAGAAGCATTTTTTCTTTCTCTGGAAGGGATAGCCTTTGGGGGCAGAGGGGAAATTAGCTAGAAAAAAACCAAATAGGCTTCTCTGAAAAAACAAGGTTTAATCAAGGATCTTGAGAAAATAACCAGCTGTTTTATGAGCAATTTGACTATTCTTTTGAAAAGAGTTAATGTACCACAAGGAACACAATTATTTTTAGAGCCCTAAGGAAGCAGGGATTTGTTTGAAGCTCCAGATTAAAGGTGGATCCAAGGTTCTATGAGGTGACGGGCAAAGAGACCAAAGAAAAAGTTTTCTGAACTTTGAATTTGTGTAACTTGTAAGGAAGAGGGGCTGTTTTATTTTTTTCCATTTTATTTCCTAGATCGCTTGTCAGAGCTTAGATGTCGCACTTTGGGGATTTAATGAGTTGACATTTTCACAGGCTAACCTGGTAATTAATTTCTGCTCATCATGGGGCCAGTGTCAGCTCATTCTTCCTTTCTGATCCAGAGCCAGGAGTGTGAGGTCTGAGTCCTGTTTGTCTGACTTTCTCAGGAGCTGGCACTGGGCAGCAATGGGTGCCCATAGGCTGGACCCCTTTTGGGGTCAAGGCAGTGGTTGGTTGAGAGATGAGTCTTGCAGAACAAGATGGGCCCCAGAAAATTTAGGGAGTTGAAATCTTATGTCTCTGTTCACACAAACAAACACAGTTACTTTGTCTTTTCCTCTCCTTACAGTAAAGAGTTGGTTAAGTCATGGAATCATTTTAAAAAGAATCCAGTAAATATACATTAATATTTATCTACATACTATTTGCTTAATCACTCACTTACTTACTTAAAATATTTAGTTTAATTTTAATCTGAGTTTTTAGGGGAACTCCTGTCAGTTGATGTTGAGCCAAGACTGCTCTCTAAGGATGTATTGCTAATCGTAATTTTGTGTTGTCTTTCTTGTATAAACATCTCCCCTAAATGCATCATCTCTGATTTCTAATTTTAGGGTTTTAAAACATGGAGTGAAAGTTATACACACTTGCAAGGTAAAATCTTAATATTTTATAATTATAGTTGTCTCATTCACATCTGACTCACTGATAACTTTTATTAGCATGGTGTGATGGATATTTTTCAATGTATTCTGCTTAATTTTTAAAATAGAAACATTCTTCCTTTTCACACTCATTTTATTAATATACACAATATTTTATTGAATTAGATATTTACATCAACACATGAAACTGACAAAACACATTTGGGAACAATTTACTCTTGGAAAGAATATAACTAAATTGGTGGGATGCAAGGATATATTATTATTTATTACTTGTTAGCTTTGAGCTCAGAGTGCTGTATGTTTTAAAGGGAATGAAGGATATCAGCTCATCTAGAATAGGGGTTAGCAAACTTTTTCCATAAAGGACCACGTAGTACATGTTTTAGGCTTTGCAAGACTCTACAGTTTCTATGGCCAACTACTCAACTCTTCCATCATAGCACAAAAGCAGCCCTAGACAATGTGTAAATGAATGAGTGTAGTTATATCCCAATAAAACTTTGTTTCCAAAAACAGGCAGCAGATGGGATTTGGCCTGAGGGCCATAGTTTGCCAACTCCTGATCTAGAGTACTAGTTAAGCTGAAGTAGATTAAGAGAGTTGCTATTCCTCTTGATTCACTCTACCAAATGTTTGTTAAATGTAAATTGCATGCTTACCTGTTCATATCTGTGATAGACAGGGTAATAATGTGGCTTATTCTTCCTAGCTATAATGTGATGCATGCCTTTGTGTTCATTCTTCTGTGGCTTGATGTCCTTTCCATGCCCTTTTCATCTCCTGGCACATTTCTGCCTATCTTTCAAAACAGCTCAAAAATTACCTCCTCAGGGAAGCCTCCCCTGTCTGCTGGGCCAACTTCAATGGCCCTTCTCTGGGTTGTTGCAATTGTCATCCCCTGCAATCCTCCAACCTAGTGCTTGTCATGCCGTATTGTAAAAAATGGGCTTTGTGTCTCTCTCCTTCAAACCTGTGACCTTTTTGAAGGCATGAACTGAGACTCAGTCATGTCCATATACCTTTGTACATAGCAAGCATTCAATAAATGTTTGTTGAATAAATGACAGAATCAATGTGGCAAAGCATGACATAAACAGACTATATGAATAGCCATTGCTATTATTTGTGTGTATGTATTTTGACTTTGTAACTTTTTTCTTTTATTTATTCACTAAGAAGATGGAGGGAGTGTGGCAGCAGATCTTGACAAGTTTTCCCATAAAAACAAATTTACTTATTTGTTATTTATATACATTTTAAAATTTATAGACATTAAAACATAAAAGTAATATGTGTATATAGCTTTAAGGTCAAATTGTGCTACAAGATTTGTGAGGCAGGCACTTGTTTGGCTATTTGCAGCCATTCTCAACCCCTGTCTCTGTTGCTTGCTTTCTACTGCAGAGGATGAAAGTCCAGATTCTCCCATCACCAGCCTCTCTCATAGGCAGAGGTGGCCATGTGACCCAGTTTCGGCTAACGAGATGTAAGGTGGACTCTACTCAGGGTCTTCCAGGAAAGATATTTTCCTTTCTAATTGTGGTGAAGACTGCCAGGTATCTGTTATTTTGTTCTTCCCTTTTTTTTTTTTTTTTTAGAACTTTTAAGTTTTAGCTGTGCATATGGCTACTAGGAATAAATACTGCATTTTCCAGTGTCTTTTCTAGCTAGTTGTGGCTTTGTGACTAAATCCTGGCCAGTAGGATATAAGCAAAAGTGTTTTGTGGCAGCTTTCAGGAAATTTCGTCAAAAGAAAGCTCTCATGTGTCCTTTTTATTCCTCATTCCTCCATCCTGCTGGCTGTAATGTTGACATGATGGCTGGAGCTGCTGTAACCTTCTGGAACTATGAAGTCACCTTGAGAAAGGAAGCTGTGACTAGTAGAATGACAAGAGAGATGGAGGCTTGTTTTCTGAAGGGATCACAGAGTAAGTAAACCTCATACCAATCCTGGACAACCTACCTCCTCTAGAGTGGCGAGAACAAGATTTTGCCTTGCTCTAGACATTCTAATTTTGGGTCCCTATCACTCATTATCAAAACTAATCCTAACTGATTCACTAATGAGAGGGAAGAGTTACATGAAGACAACTTTCTTGCTCAGTCACGGGCAATCTGTCTCCCATGATCTGCCTGTGAACACAATGTTTGCATCTGTGGCAGCCACCTTGCAGCCCTGAGTGAACAAGGTTGAAAAGCAACACACTGAGGATGGTGGAGCAGAAAGCTGGAAAGCAATGAGTCCTCAGTGATGTCACTGAGCTTCCAAGCCCATCTATTTCTGTACATTTTTTGAAAAAGTAAACAACAAGTATCCTCACATAGTAAGCCACCGTTAGTCCAGTTCCCTGCTACTGGTATCTTAATTAACTTGGTTTACACAAATCAGTAGTTCCTTGTCTCATGCCTGCTCATCCTGATTCTGTCTCTGGTAGGGAACCACTTTCAACTCTTAGCTGCTTTTCTTTGCTGTTTAGCTAACTAGGTAAAATAAAAGGATGATGATTTTGCTCTCTTAAATAACTCCTTTTATACACTTCCTTAATGTCTTAATGTCTCTCCTTCTGTCTCTCAATATAGCGAAGCCACTATTTTTGTTCATCTTGACTTTGTCAATATTATTTACAGCTGAGACATAGTGTTCTACAACTTCATTTTTTTCTTTTGCAACTTTTCCTTGGAATCATTAATTGACTTCCTGTATCATTTGCTTAGTTTTCTATGTATCTATCAATAATTCATTCCCATATATTTCACTAAAGCTGTAAAACTCGTTTTACTCCATTTAAACACATGAAGTAATCAAATAGTTCCTTTATTCCTGTAGGAGACATCTCCCTGGGAGCCTCTAGTCAACTACTCCAAATGTGGACGAGCTGCTATCTCAGTTTGCTGCCCAGTTATCATCTTAAGATTCTTTTGACCTCTTTCCTGTGTTGGAGTCCCTATTCTTGATCCTCATGTCTCCTTCTTTCCTGGTTTTCTCAGTTGTTTGGTTGGAACACATTTGGCTGAAGCTTTCTAAAAAAGAATACATGGGCAATTTTCTATTTTTTTAAAAAAAGATTGAGCATGTCTAGAAATATCTTTATCTGACCTTCTTACTTGATTCATGATTTGGCTGGCATAGAATTCTTGGCTGGAGAGTATTTTCCCTCAGAATTTTGTAGGCATCTTCTTTTAGCTTCTGCTGCTTTTAAGAAATAGGATGCTATTCTTACCTGCTTTTTTTGTTTGTCTGGAAGCTTTAAGCATCTTCTCTAATCTCCATTGTTCTGGAATTTCATGGGGATGGTTTGTGCCTTTTTTTTGTTTATTTTACAGGATATTTACTAGGCCATTTCAATCTGGAGACTCATGTATTTTAGTTCCAGAAAGTTCTTTGTATTACTTCTTTGATTGTTTTCTTTCCTCTGACCTTCTGTACTGATTTCTAGAACTTATGTAAATCTGATATTGGATTTGATCTTCTGGATTGACTCTATTTTCTCTTTTATCTTCTACCTATGCCTTTTTGTTCTAATTTTAGAAATATTTCTTCAACCTTATCTTCTAATGTAGTAAATTGTATTAGTCCATTTTCATGCTGTTGATGAAGACATACCCAAGACTGGGTAATTTATAAAGAAAAAGAGGTTTAATGGACCCACAGTACCCCATGGCTGGGGAGGCCTTACAATCATGGCAGAAGGTGAAAGGACATCTTATATGGCAGCAGACAAGAAAGAATGAGAACCAAGTGAAAGGAGAATCACCTTATTGAACCATCAGATCTTGTGAGACTTATTTGTTACCATGAGAACAGTATGGGGGAAATCGCCCCCATGATTCGATTATCTTCCACATGGTCCCTTCCACAACATGTGGGAGTTATGGGAGCTACAATTCAAGATGAGATTTGGGTGGAGACACAGCCAAACCATATCATTCTGCCCCTGGCCCCTCCCAAACCTCTTGTTCTCACATTTCAAAACCAATCACACTTTTCCAACAGTACCCCAAAGTCTTAACTCATTTCAGCATTAACTCAAAAGTCCACAGTCCAAAGTATCATCTGAGACAAGACAGCTCCCTTTTGCCTATCAGCCTGTAAAATCAAAAGCAAGTTAGTTACTTCCTAGATACAATGGGGGTACAGCCATTGGGTAAATATAGCAATTCTGAATGGGAGAAATTGACCAAAACAAATGGGCTACAGGCCCCATGCAAGTCCAAAATCCAGCAGGGCAATCAAATCTTAAAGCTCCCAAATGATCTCCTTTGACTCCATGTCTCACATCAAGGTCACACTGATGCAAGAGGTAGGTTCCCATGGTCTTGGGGAGCTCCTGGCCCTGTGGGTTTGTAGGGTACAGCCCTCCTCCTGGCTGCTTACATGGGCTGGCGTTGAGTGCCTGAGGCTTTTCCGGGCACACGGTGCAAGCTGTTGGTGGATCTACCATTCTGAGATCTGGAAGATGGTGGCTCTCTTCTCACAGCTCCACTAGGCAGTGCCCCAGTAGGGACTCAGTATGGGGGCTTCAACCCCACATTTCCCTTCCACACTGCCGTAGCAGAGGTTCTCCATGAGAGCCCACCCCTGTAGCAAACTTCTGCCTGGACATACAGGCATTTCCATACATCCTCTGAAATCAGGCAGAGGTTTCCAAATCTCAATTCTTGACTTCTGCGCACCTGCAGGCGCTATACCATGTGAAAACCGCCAAGGCTTGGGGCTTGCAACCTCTGAAGCTAGAGCCCAAGCTATACCTTGGCCCTTTTTAGCCATGGCTAGAGCAGCTGGGATGCAGGGCACCAAGTCCCTAGGCTGCACGCAGCAGGGAGCCCTGGGCCAGGCCCATGAAAAAATATTTTCCTCCTAGGCCTCAGGGACTATGATGGGAGGGGCTGCTGCAAAGGTCTCTGACATGCCCTAGAGACATTTTTCCCATTGTTTTGGTGATTAACATTTGGCTCCTTGTTAACTTATGCAAATTTCTGCAGCCAGTTTGAATTTCTCCTCAGAAAAGGGTTTTTTCTTTTTTATCACATTGTTGGGCTGCAAACTTTTCAAACTTTTATGCTCTGTTTGCCTTTTAAAACAGAATGCTTTTAATAGCAGCCAAGTCACCTCTTGATTGCTTTGCTGCTTAGAAATTTCTTCTGCCAGATACCCTAAATCATCTCCCTCAAGTTCAAAGTTCCACAAATCTCTAGGGCAGGGCAAGATGCCACCAGTGTCTTTGCTAAAACATAGCAAGTCACCTTTACTCCAGTTCCTAACAAGTTCCTCATCTCCATCCGAGACCACCTCAGCCTGGATTTCATTGTCCATATCGTTATCCGCATTTTGGGCAAAGCCATTCCACAAGTCTTTGGGAAGTTCCAAACTTTCCCACACTTTCCTGTCTTCTTCTGAGCCCTCCAAACTGTTCCAGTCTCTGCCTGTTACTGAGTTCCAAAGTCGTTTCCACACTTCTGGGTATCTTTACAGCAGCACCCCACTCTACTGGTACCAATTTACTGTATTAGTCCATTATCATGCTGCTGATAAAGACATACCCAAGATTGAGTAATTTATAAAGAAAAAGAGGTTTAACGGACTCACAGTTCCATGTGGCTGGGGAGATCTTACAATGATGGTGGAAGGTGAAAGGTATGTTTCACATGGCAGCAGCAAGAGACAATGAAAGCCAAGCAAGTGTTATAAAACATCAGATCTTATGAGACGTATTCACTACCACGAGAACAGTATGGAGGAAAATGCCCCTGTGATTCAATTATCTTCCACTGGGTCCCTCCCGCAACACGTGAGAATTATGAGAGCTACAATTCAAGATGAGATTTGGGTGGGGACACAGCCAAACCATAACATAAATTTAAAAAGTATGCCTTTATATTTTTAATTTCAACACATCTTTCTTGTTCTCCAATTATATTCCTTTATATGACATTTTACTATTCATCCATAGATTCCTTATTTATATCTTTGAGATAACATTTTTTGAGTGTATTTGAAATTCTCTTCTGCTTCTTGTGTTGTCTCTTTTCTTTTGAGTTTCTTTTCTTTTTGTTTGTTTGTATCTTTCTCTTTTATGTTGGAGGTTTCCCTCAAATACCTTTCCATTTTAAGAGGAAAGTGCTAAAAATATGATTGGAAGATGCGCATGAAGGAAAGGGGGTTGTGCCAAAATATGGATGATGGCATGCAGACTTAGCTGTTTCATTGGAGGACCCCTAAATATCACCATCGCTATTTTTTTTTTCTTGAGCTGGTCAGTTTCTGCAGAGGATCCTCACATCTTCTGCCTGGAAGTATAAGCTTAGTTCCTAGAGTTCCAGAAACTGGGGATGGGGTGATGTCTCACCACTTAGGATGCTAACTTCCAATTAATTCCTTTGTAGTTTTTTTTTTATGTGTGTGGGGTTTTTTGTTGCTTTTTAACGGATTTATTGAGGTATAATGGATATATTTCCTTGCATTGTTTTTTTCCCATCCTGTGTTGCATAACCCTCTCCTTTGTTCTTCCCTAGAGGGGGATTCTTCAGAAGTCCATGGTGATTTCAATTCTTAAGTTTTTCTGGGGACTGCAGCACAAGCCACCTTGACTCCTAGTTTAGGTTTCAGTTTTCTCTGGTCTGACAAGTAATTTACCACAGCCCATCTACTCTCCAGTTTTCACAATTTGAATATTATCATAATTTTAATGGTATTTGAGAGGAAGTGGAGAAAAATGCACATGTTCAATCTGTGAAGTTTAACCAGAAGCCCTATCAGTTGTATTTTACCAGCATTAATACCATCAATTCTTACTACTCATATGTGGGTCTCTTGAGCTGTTTGGAAGCTAGGGATTAGGAGTAAAGGATGTACATACATGTGTGCATGCTTCTATCTCTTTGTGTATATGTGAGGTTATAGTATGAGATTGTATGTGTGTGTGTGTAGTGGTTAAAATGAAAACAAGTGTGTTTGCTGGGGAACTATTAATAGGACTAGAATGATGAGCTTCAGGAGTTAGAAGGTGAGAAGAAGAGCAGAAAAGAGAAAGGAAGCAAACCTGCAAGTTTTGGAGTGATGGGTTTCAGGACATGTTACCCCAAAATATGGCACCTTGGCAGTTGAGGAAACAGCAGAAGAAAGAAGATCTCTTTGACTTTCTCCTGCTCTTCTCTCCTGAAGCAGGCCCTAAAAGAATTCTCTGATCTTCCTCTAAAGCAGTTCTTAAGACCCTCATGTGAGAAGTGCCTACCCCATACTCAGAGGAAAGGAATATGCTTAACTTTGGAACCACAGGAACACAGAGAAGAATCTGAACAAACTGGCTTGTCTAATCAAATATCTCTACAACTATCCACTTCTTCATCAAACTTGGCATAAAAATACACAGATTTCCCTGATTCTTTGCGTCTTCATTCCTGAAGGTTACTATATCATGTAAAACTTGTATTAAATAAATTTGTATGCTTTTATCTTGTCTTTTGTTACAGGGGCTTCAGCCATGAACCTAGGGATGCAAGAGAAAAGCAATCTTTTCTCCACCTTCAGGGGTAATGTTCTACCTCAATGAATATTTCCTTTTCTTAACCTGGCCCTTTAGCTCATTTCTTTAAAGCAGAAACACTGGGAGTAGGATTGAACATAGGAAAGAGAAAACTTTGTTCCCTCTCCAGAGCCTTTTAAACTCTCTCTACTACCTCACCTGGTGACTTTGGACTTTTTTAGAGTTCTCTAGGTGCCCAAACTTCCACTTCCTTCTTACCTTTTATGTAGGGATCTCTGTTTCTGCCCACTTCTTGGATAGATTCTGAAGATACAAAATGCCTTCTTCTTTTTCTTCTTCTCTCTCTCTCTGTTTTTTTTTTTTGTTGTTGTTGTTTTTGTTTTTATTTTTTGTTTTTATTTTTTGAGACAGTATCTCACTCTATCACCCAGGCTGGAGTACAGTGGTGCTATCTCAGCTCACTGCAACCTCAGCCTCCCAGGTTCAAGTGATTCTTATGCCTCAGCCTCTCGAATAGCTGGAATTAACAGGCACATGCTACCAAGTCCAGCTAATTTTTGTGTATATATATATATATTTTTAGTAGAGATAGGGTTTCGCTATGTTGGCAAGGCTGGTCTTGAACTCCTGACCTCAAGTGATCTGCCTTCCTTGGCCTCCGGAAGTGCTGGGGTTATGAGTGTGAGCCACCGCACCTAGCGTGACTTCTTTATAAGCATTCAGCATCTCATTTATTTTCTCTAATACCTTGTACATAGGTCTAGTTTTTTTTTCCCATGGGATAGATGGAGAAACCAATGTTTAGAGAGATGTAGTCTTTTTCTCAGACACACAGATATCAAGTAGCAGAGCTATGATTAGTCAGCTGCTCTGGGTTTAAAGTCCATACTTTAGCTAATATACTATGCTGCTTCATTGTGCTAAATTGCATGAGTATTCATTTATAAATATATAAAATGAGAACACGTCAAAATCAATTTGATGAACACACTGGTATTTGATGTACACATAATTGGCATTTGATGTACAAGGTAAAATATAGATTCTTGCTGAGGTAGGAGTACAGCTCTTTTTTTAAAAAATTTCAAACTTTTATTTTAAGTTCAGGCGTACATTGTAGGATGTGCAGTTTTGTTACATAGGTAAATGTGTACCATGGTGGTTTGCTGCATAGATCATCCCATCACCCAGGTATTAAGCCCAGCATCTATTAGCTATTCTTCCTGATCCTCTCCCTCCTCCCACTTTCACCCTCTGACAGACCCCAATGTGTGTTGTTCCCCACCATGTGTCCATGTATTATTCACCTCCCACTTATAAGTGGGAACATATGGTATTTGGTTTTCTGTTCTGGCATCAGTTTGCTAAGGATAATGGCCTCGAGTTCCATCCATGTCCATGCAAAGGACATGATCTTCCTCCTTTTTATGTTAGGAGTGCAGTTCTTAAGGGAGAAAGGCATAGCCCCTGCCTTCAAAGAACTTACTTTCTGCCTCTCAATGTCAACATCTAGAATTGGGAAAGACAAAACTTTAGGATTTCAGATATGGTGTAAAATCTAGGCTCAAATAATAGTTGTGTTACTATGAGCCAAATCTCTTCCGGGGTTCATAGGTGTGAAGATCAAGAAAGAGAATGAGAAAGAAGGGTTTACCACCACCCTATATAATATGTAATTACACCCTATGTAGGTAATGCAGTATCATTATCTGTATGTTAAATGCAAGGAAAATGAGGACTGTGAAGCTGAGTTCCTTGACCAGCATTACATGACTGGAACCCAGTCTTCTGAAGATCAGCACAGGATTTTTGTCTTTTCACTGACATATTTTTCCAGCCCTATATAGTTTTTAAAGCAGCGATAAGGTAGATAATGAAGGTAATATCATTTTCATTTTATAGATGGACAAACTGATGAAGAGCTATTTTCAAAGATGCTTTTAGTAAATGCTATTTTAGGATGGATCTGAATGGCACCCCCAATTTCTAAGCAGCTTGGGTCCATGGGATAGAAGGAGGGGTCTCAAGATGGAGGGAGGAACAACCAACATTTATTGAACTTCTACTGTATGCTAGCCAGCCAGACACTGTACCAGAGGTCACACATGATCTTGTTTAATCCTTACAACAGTACTGAGAGGTTATGATTTGTATCTTCATTATGTAAATGAAGCTCAGAGAGGCTATGAAACTTTCCCATTGTCACACAGACCTTCAGGCTATTATTAAGTGGGTTCATTTTATTAACATTTGACAAAGTTAATATTCAACTCCAGGACTATATAATTTTAGAGCTCACAGGAGTATGTGTTGATAACATTTTCCCCAGTGTCTGTGACTTGTCATTGAAATTTCTATGGCTTTCTTAGAACTGAAACCAAAGGTAAGCTTCTCAGCAACCACTTTGCAAAGATGCCTCTCATTTAAAGAGCACACTCATATCTTTTTCTCTCTGTTCTGGGAGAAGGATAAATCGTGTATTTGAGCAGATGTTTCTTCAGTGGGTACTTAAATAATGGTTTTTCTTTTTTTTTCTTACTTCTGGGTCCATAGACAATATTTTTAATTGCTCTGCTTTTTTCCCCTTGCATTATAAAAGCCATGCTATGAAAGTTATAAAAGTTAGCAAATTTTATTCATCTGCTAAACTCTCTGCCTCAGAGATATATTTTGTTGGTTTGGATTTACTCAAAAGTATTATAAATAAAAGATTTAAACATAAAATGTATTTGATATGGAAATTCAATAGTTAAGAAGCCCACAAAACTTGCCATATGTTTGGTGAAAAGCTAGCAGTTCAGGTGGGTAAGTATTTATTGCTTCCTGTAGGGCCATATGAGTTACTTGGGAGCCATGAAATAAAAAAGAGACCCTTGCCTGCATTGGGGAAAGAGAGTGTAGTGGCATTGACTTCGTAATTAGGGAAAAAAACCTAAATATGAGGATGTACTAACACATATTTCTCCTGTCTCAAAAATACCTTCTTCTTCTAAAGATAATGACTTTGTATTTTCTTTTGCTTATGATGCTATTTTTTTTCCAGGGAGTTCAAATTTTATGCTTGGAGGGTGACCTGAGGAGAAGTTTACTAGACATGAGTTTTAGAGTATGTAATTTCTAGGGCCATTTCTGGAAGCACATATTGGCTGTTGTCATGGATGAGGTGAATGAGCTGCTGCCCACGTCCGAGGGCAACCTGCACGCAGCAACACAAAGCCCTCTCAGGACTAGTCACTGAGATCCAAGTGGGAATTAGTTCTGTTCCCTTCCTGTACTTTACAAAGCAATTCAAGTACATTCCTCAGCTTATCATATCAGAAGTACTTTCCAATGGGCTTGTTTTTGGTTCTGCTTAAATTAAAAAAGCCTCACATTTTCATTATTTTAGTTTTCTATCTAATTGTGCTGAAATGACGGCTAGTTCTGGATTTTCCCCGATTTTTCTTTGTTTCTTTTTTTTTTTTTTTATCTTTGGAACACATGAGGCACATGTTCACATATGGGTTTTAATTGATACTCTGCCTGGGAATTGCTGTGGCATCATGGGAAATACAAAGGAAGTGAAGTGATCACCTGTATGAGAGTGATGAGATTAATATACTCAAATAATCAGAGGAAAAAATAAGGAGTAAGTACAACTGGACTCTCATGCCTGCAAATATTAGGTGCTCAAAAGCATTTGTTGGTAGAGTGACTGAGAGAAGTTAACAATCTAGAATCCTCAAATAAACAGAAAGAGGTTCAAGCAAAAGGCAGGATTTGAACTGGATTTTGAAAGATCCGCTGTAGTTAGATAGATAAGAGGGAAGTCCTACCCAGCAGTGGAGAATATTGAACAAAACTGAAGAGTTGAGCAGTGGCTTGATTCATGAAGGGGCAAGTTAGATGATCTATCTGGATCAATTGGAGTGTCATCTTGGGGAGAGATGAACAACATATCTGTAAAATCTACACATTTCTGCACAAGTCATCCTGGTTCTTCTTAGTTACTATTATTTCCAGTCTGTTGGCACTCCTAGGCTTTGGGGAGCTCCCTGCTGGGTTTCATCTATCCCTGTAAGCATCAGGGTCAGAGATACACTTGTTTAGAAAAGCAGCATATAATGATAGAGGAAGTGTCTTCAGGTCCTATAGGGTGTTTGTGTGCTAATGAAGAGAGGCATTCCCGAGTCCCTAACCCCTGGCACCCAACACTAGATAGCTTGTGTCAGCATTTCCTTGTCATGAATTTCCTCCTTGCAGAATCTTGCATTGCATTTCAAAATTATGCAAAGAGGTTTTTAGAAGCATAAAAGGAATGCTTAGTTATCCCTTTATTGGTGAGTAAATTAGATGGTTATAAAGTTAAATAAAACCCAGAAAGTTCCAACTGCGTTTTCTTAAAATCCTTTGTCAAAACAAATAGCCTTGAAATGCACATAAAAACTTAAATGACATTGACTGTAATGAAACATGGAACCTAATGAAGTTGAAGTGCTATGAGAGTACTGGGAAAGCAGGGCTGCTTTTATCTTGCTGGAATGTTTATGTCCTTGCACGTCTCCTAATCACACTGTGGTAACGTCATTTGGAGAAAATGCTTCAGGAAAGATTGCTAATAAAAACCAAAAATAATACAGCCTCAAGTTAACAGTCCAGAGTACCCCAAGAAGTCAGACCAAATCTGTTGTCTGGTATAGAGGGCACTGGGCTGGAAGAATACTATTAGAGATGTCTCTGATTGTATATTTGGGTATGTGAATGTTTGGCAACATTGATAAAGGGGCTGTCAACTATTCCTGGGATAACATCTCAAAATTTACCTGTTGGAAATAAAAGCCTTTACCATTCTCTGAGAAACCAGCTTTCTATCCACTGTTTCTATTTCTACAAGTGAGTCTCCCTCCAGACACTCAGACTTGAGGCTTTGAGTCATCCTTAGTTCTTTCCTCTCTCCTCCTATACTCCAAAGTTACTAAATTTTTATCAGTTCTTCTCTCAATGCTTTAGAATCCTTCTCATTCATTCCATGGCTATAGCCATGGCTCAGCAACTTCTACCTCATCCTGCGCAAAGTGGTCAGATTAATCATCCTAAACTCTATGAGTGTTCACCTGAACACAGCCCACAGGATAATCCTGATAGTCAAGGATTTGACTTTAGCACCAGTTCCAATCTGCTTTCCAAGCTTATCTCCTGAAATTTCTGTATGAACATGAGTCCAGTTCTACAACCAGACTGATACTGCATGTTTTCCACTTAAACATGGCTTGTTCATTTTCTCACCATTCTCTTGTTTACTTGTTCCTCTAATTAGGATGCTGCCTTTATTTGTCACTACTTATGCAATTTCTTGCAAAGCAATGGCTTGTAAAGTTTTCAGTTATCCATTCGAGAATCTGATGAAGGCCATTAACTTTATCCCACAAAAATGTATCTCTAGAGGGTTCATTGAGACCTGAAACTCCATTCATGCACTCCTTAGGAGAACATTGACCTTAAATTAAGAATCCTTGCTCAAGGTCAAGTTGAAATTCTCAAGCCTCCATGAAACTTTCCTAAATCACTCTGGCTAATGTTGATAACTTCTCTACCCCTTCCTTTCTCTTCTGAACTTCACTGAAATTGTTCAATTCATTTGGTACTTACTGAAGACCATTGTGTGTTGTTTGTTTTCTTTCTATGCACATGGCCTGTTTACTCAAACAAACTAAAATCTCCTTGAAGGTAAAGCCCCGCTATGTATCTCTTGGAATTGTATATAACTCAGTGTTTGTTGCTTTGATTGGTCAAATAATACAATCAGGCATATATAAGAATCCAGTTATTTTCTTCTTCTACTCTAGTTGCTGTAGAACATGTTCTAGAGAGCCCTCTTATGCTCACCATGTTCACTGGGTCAATTAGAACCTGAAAATTCTGGAAGACCTCTTGATCTGTAAGTTTACCGGAATGATTATCAGAGTGACCACTGGTTCTAAAATTCCTGATCTAGAAGGAATAAAGGAAACTGGTAATGTCGATATTTAAGGGCCTTTTGGGATGCAATAAAGAGACCGTCACTTAGTATAGGATATTGGCAAAATTGTGAAGATGATGAATATGTTCTTGGGGTGTCCACTTTCCTTTTCTCTATTTTCAAGGCTCGCTCTTCCCTGACATTATGTACCTGAAGTATCCCCTCTCCTAAACTGAATCCTAGGCTTAATGGCAGCTTCTTTATTCTTTATAATTACTGATAAATATAATTATATAATTATTATATCAATATATAATAATTATATAATATATTATATAATCATTATATAATCATAATTAATTATAATTACAAGATTACTTGTAATTAAAATCTTATTTCTAATTATGGCATGAAAAAGTTTTCTGGTGAAGATAGTCCAGGCATCTGATAGTGTGTAAAAGATAGTCCAGGCATCTGATAGTGTGTAAGTATGGCTCATGCTTAAAATCACCCCATGGAATTTAACATCTATACCCTTGTTTTTCATCCCTAAAACACACACATATACACACACACAGAGATGGAACTGCCTTCTGTGTAGTGGATCTACAGTCTTAATAACACTAGTCATTCATTGAGGAAACCCTTTCCTAAGTTTCTCAAATAACCTGAGCCATGAAGCCTTTACCATAATCCCATCATGTTCTCTGGTAGGTAAGGAATATGTAATAGGAGGAAAGCGGTGATAAGGAACTGGAAGAGCAACACATTATAGGTTTAACATTAAGAAGAATTGGTGTAGATGTAACAGTTGCAGGAGTGCTTGAGTCACAAAGCCTAACAGCAGCAAAGGCTATCTATATATTGCCGGCAGCCAAGATCAGCGGCCCTCAAAGTAGTTTGGGTGATATCACCTGAACAAGCCGGTGTTCTTTGCTTACACCATACTCTTTGTGGAGCACCATAAAATGGTGATATACTTCACTCCAGCAGGCAAACAAGGAACAATGTTGCTAGCAGAAACCACCCCTGTATTATATGTATGCAATAGAATCTCACTATCAGGAACACACTTGCACCATACATAATGAAGCATGACACCTCAGTCTGGAGTAGGGGAAGGATGACTTCTCCAGACTGCTGACAGAGAGAGAAGGTCTGCAGATATTGGGTGTGGCTGCAGCCCTCCTAGAGCAGTGGCTTGAGCAGAAGGAAAGTCAGTGGCCAGGGCCATCTGGAGGACAAAGAGCCATTTCTCCCCCCTCCCCCTGCCAACCCCTTTTCTCTTGAAATTTTTAATTTGTGTTTTTTTAGAACTATATAAGCCTCTGGGTTCTGATTCAACCAAGGAAAGGTGGAGAGGGTGTCCTAAATAATTGCACATAGATTTTCTGCTCAACAGGTGGGACTGTTTAATTTGATTTAAAACAATAAAGAAATGTGATATTTCTTGCACCCAAGTACCATGGAACAATTCTTATCATTACAGTTTTGGTTCCGATTTCACAGTTGGGACTGGTCATCCTCAACATTGCCTATATGAAGTCCTGATTTGAAGAATTCCTCCCATCATTCTGTTGGAATTTGGCTTAGGTGCATCCTATTGTTACATTTCTGGTGATCACATAATCTGCTCTCTGTCTGAGTGTGCTAATAGAACACAGGGACAGGCTGTAGGGTTTAGAACATAATGACGAAACAATTATGTCTTTTTTTCCTGTGAATTGAGGAAAGACCATCATCAGTCAAAGTCATGTGAGAAACACCTGGGTTCAGTTTCCACTGGATGACACAGAAGTAGAGACCTATAAAAATAAAGCAGTGCTTCTCAGACTTTAGTGTCCATGTGAATTACCCCAGCATCTTGTTAAAATGCAGATTCTGACTCAGTAGGTTTGGGGTGGGGCCTGCAAGTTTGCCTTCCTAACCAGCCCCCAGCTGAGGTCGTCCACAGACCACACTTCGGGTAGTAAGGGTATAGAATATTTGATGAAATTTCTGTTCCATCTCTTCCTCTAACTTGCTCTTTGACCTTTAAGTTATTTAAACTTTCTTGATCTCAGCTTCCTTAACTGTAAAAGAAGAGAATTGGCTTTAGCATTCCCAGGAAGGACATTTGTTATGTTTTGCTACTCAGTATGCATTGCCTTTTCCTAATAGCACTTTGATTTCCTTTAGGGGAATTTACTGCCTTCCTTTGTGTGCAGTTGTGATGGGTAGATAAGTCTCAGGGCCTTCTGTCCCATCATGGCAGCTGAAGGAAACTCTAGAAGCTCGTTTCCTAAGATCTGTCTTTCACAGCCTAGGTATAGCAAGAGGCAGGATAGGACTAAAACTTAGTGTGTTGGTTTCTTTCTCTATCAGAACTTTGGTCTTGAGTACAGTATACCTAAGGTAGAGGAACAGTCTAAGTTCAGCTCTTCCAGCTGTGGGGCCTGGGCTCAATTGACAGTAAGAACTTGTGGAGTCTCCTAATTTCTGTCTTTCCAAGCTTGGTTCCCTAGTCTTGCCTTCAGTATTGTGAGCAGCACCATAGCTTTCCAGAATATTCTCTTTTTACTTACGTTACCATTTAATTCCAGAAAGTCCATTTCTGTTGCTTGCAACCAGAAATTAATATACTCCTCTTAGCTTCTGGCTAGAGATTTGTAGGATTTAAGTCCTGAGCAGCTTATTGATGAGTTCGATTACTGTTTTCAAAAAGAAAAGGAAAAGGCATCAGAATATTTTCCCTAAAGAAGATCAATGGTTTTGAAATCTTGGCTGTGTAGTTGGGAGTAGGTTACCGGTGCTGGTGAGGGATGTAGATTATTTTCCAGCAAATCGGTAATTGTAGTAAGGTAATGAGGTTATTCTCCTGGAGAAACAGGTGAAGACAGAGATGGAACTTGTGCTTCAGAAGCAAGCAGTGAGGCTCCTAATGAGGCATCTTGGACCTATTTATACTTGGAAATGCCAGGGAGCATTTATATTCTGCTTACTTTGACCCTAGTGCAAAAAGTTTTCTGAGAGGCTCCAGAGCTTTCTTTCCAAAACTGAGAATAGTAGCTAAAAGCTGGCAGAGAAGATTCTGGAGAGCAAGACCATGGCTAAGCAGTAACAGAGCTAATGACTCAGTCACCTTGAGTTGCAGCTTGAGGAATGAAGACACTTGACACCTTACCCTCATTGTCAGGACTGTAACAAGAATAGGAAATTCCATATGCATATGTTACTACCTCCTAACTGTGCTGGAGTGGCCAGCAGCTCGTTAGCTAATTTTGGCTGCTCTTTCTGGTATAGAGCTTCAGCTGCTAAATCCTTTTCCTGTTGTCTGTCAGAGCCTACGAGGAATGAAGTTGCAGTCCATCAGTACATTCCTCATCTTTCTTGTCCGTATCCTACATTAGGGTTTTCAGGGGCCGGTAAATAACACTCCTCTATTCTCACTCCACAATTCTGAGGAGTCAGAAAGATGAAGAACACATGCTAGCTTTACTGACAAAACTATACTGAAGGATGCAGCTTGGACCACTGGCTGATAGGCTTTCCAGAACTTCATTTCTGGTCCCAGTCTGGCTGTAGGCCCCTGCCAACAAGGGGCAGCACCTGCTGCACACTATGTGTGTGTAAGCCTGAAAAGATAAGAGAGATGCAGTCAGTGTGATTCTGAGCTGAATTATGTTAGGGTTTTCTGTTCTGTAGTTTTCCATGACAAGCCAAATAACTTCTTTTCCTCCTTTCAATCCTGCCCCCCTTTCAGTATTAAATTGAACTGTTTGCTTCCTGAACAATTTCTTCATACTTCCATTGACCTGAATCTTCTTTGCTTTACCGCCATATTTAGGGTCCAAGGACATGAAACAAGAATCTACCTTGAATATAATGTTCCTAGAATTCCTAACTTCAGTGAAACATGGTCAGCCTGAATGCTGAGGCCTTATCAAGCCACTTTGTGCAATAGGGCCAACTGTGAACCATTTGCTGAGGAAGGATTTTGACTCTGCCCAGCAGGTGCTTCCTTGGCAGAAGTGGGGAGACCCTCTTTTTCAGGTGCTGTGCTACTCAGGCACTTTGATTTTCATAAGAGAATGTCTCTTATGGAAGAGATGTATGAAGAGAATGTTCCTCCTCAGTAGATTGTTAAAGGATACAGACCTGCCCTGGGATGTCTGCACTCCAGGTTTCTGCTAGAGACCATGACCTTGAACTCTGTTGTTCATTTCTTATCAAGAGCTCAATTATGAGAAATAAAACTTTCAGTGGATTGTTGGAAGGCTATCAGTTTTTCCAGGCAGCCCAAAATCCATCCCTAGGTCCAACTAGACCATCAAAGAACAGCATACTTGGATGACATTGTTTTTGGTTTCTTCTAAACTGGACTTTACTGAGCTGGACTTTGGGGTTAAGCAAGTCATATGAAAGTTGCTTATTGTACTTTTTGAAGGAGTATTGGTGAGGGTATTGTCAACTATATCTCACCATGCCTTGTAATGAGGACCATAGGAGAAACTTTTTTTCAGACATAAATACTAGGAAAATCTACCATTCTCCTGAACAAATGGAGTTGGAAAATTTTATGTTCTTTGTATTTCCTGTCAATACATTTTTTAAAGCTGTGACTGCCTTGACACTTAGAAGTAAATTTGGGACACTTAACATTTGTATATGACAATCTGATATCATTTTTTAAATATATTCAGTTTGCTTATACATGTGCTCCTTGACTTATGATGGGGTTGTATCCAGATGAACCCATCATAATTTGGAAACGTTGCAAGTAAAAAGTGCATGTAATACACCTAACCTACCAAACATCATAGCTTAGCCTAGCCTACCTTAAAAGTGCCCAAAACACTTACATTAGCCTACAGTTGGGCAAAATCATCTAACACAAAGCCTATTTTATAATAAAGTATTAAATATCTCATGTAATTTATTGACTAGTATATAGAAAGTAAAAAACAGAATGGTTGTATGGGTACTCAAAGTATGGTTTCTACCGAATGTGTATTTCTTTCACACTTAAAAGTTGAAAAAGGGATAAGTTGAATTATTGTCAGTCAGGGACCATCTGTAATTTCAAATACTATTCTACTGTTGTTTTCTTCTTTGCTCTGATCTCTTTATCAATTGTCTTTACCAATTTGTCTTACATGTTGTAAACTGCTTTAAACCCTCTTTATAAGGATGAGAGAGAGTATAAGTAAATTAATTAATTTGAAAAGTAAGTATGAGGGTGGTCAAGATGGGTGACTAGAAACTGCTAGTGTGAGCCACTTTAATGGAGAGGAATGGAAGGGGCAAGTAAATAGAGCACCTTCAACTGAAACATCCAGGTACATGCACTGGGACTAATCAAGGAAACAAGTCGACCCACAGAGAACAGAGAAAAGCCGGGCAGGATGATGACCCACCAGGAGCAACATGGAGCTAGGGGACCCTTCCGCACCCAGGAAAGTGGTGAATAAACGTGCAACCCTGGGAACCCATGCTTCTCCCACAGATCCTTGCAACCCCTCAGGTCAGGAGATTCCCCTGGTGAACCCACTCCACCAGGGCCTTCAGCTGACATACAGAGCTACTTAGAGTCTTGGAAGAGCAGCTGCTCAGGCACATGCAGAGACCCGGGAGCCTTAGATACCTGGGTTTTCTGGGCTTCCTGACAAAAGCAGCTGCAAATCTGGCAAAGCAGGAGGTTAGACTCTCCCATATATATCCCTAGGAAAAGGGCTGAATGCAAGGGGCTGAGCAGCGACAGTCTGCAGGCGCAACTTGCATGACACCTCACAGGATAAGACCCACTGGCTTGGAACTCCAGCCAGCCACCGGTAGCAGTGTTATACCTCCCTGAGGCGGAGCTCCCAGGGGAAGGGGTGGGCTGCCATCTTTGCCGTTTGGCCAACTTAGCTGTGTCAGCCTTTGGGCTTTGGGCATTTCGGAACAATTAGGGGCTGAAGCAGACCCCCAGCACAGCACAGCTCAAAATGTGTGGCCAGACTGCTTTTTAAAGCAGGTCCCCAATCCCATTCCTCCTTGCTGGGCAGAACCTCCTAATTGGGGTCTCCAGCTACCCCTGCTGGTGATCTCTAGCTGACAGAGGTTTAGAGTCTCCCTGGAGTGGGGTTCCCAGAGGGAGGGGTTGGCTGCTATCTTTACTGTTTGGCTGATTTAGCCATTCTGGCCTTTGGACTTTGGAGAGTTCAGGGTGTCTGGGAGCTGGAGTAGACCTCCAGCACAGCACAGCTGCTCTACGAAAACGTGGCCAGACTGCCTTTTAAAACGGGTTCCTGTTCCAGTTCCTCAGTGGGCAGGACCTCCCAACTGGGGTCTCCAGCCACCCCTGCCAGAGTTCTGCCACTGAAAGAGGTTTCAAACCTCCCTGGGATGGAGCTCCTAGCGGGAGGGGCCTGCTGCCATCTTTGCTATTTAGGTGACCTAACCTTTCCAGCCTTTGGGTTTTGGAGAGTCCAAGGTGACTGGGGGAAGCAGACCCCCAGTTGCTCTATGAAAATGTGGCCAGACTGCTTTTTTAAGCAGGTTGCTGATCCTGTTCCTCCTCACTGGGTGGGACCTCCCAACCAGGATTTCCAGCCACCTCCTACAGGTGAATTCAGGCTGGCAACAGGTCAGTACCTCCCTGGGATAGAACTCCCAGAGGGAGGGACAGGCCACTATATTTGTGTTTTGCAGCCTTCACTGCCGATACCTCCAGGAACTAGAAAATTTGAGGTGACTAGGGTCTGGAGGGGATCCCCAGCATACTGCATCAACCTACAGAAAAGTGGCCAAAATGTTATGTGGGTGCCTATTCCCATATCTCCTCACCTGCAGGTTCTCCAGGTCTGAGTACGCAGCCAGCCACCACTGGGGCTATTGAGCCAGTAGCAACTCTGTAACTCACTAGACAGAGTCCCCAGGGGCAACCAAAAGCCTCTCTACCACTGCCTCTGCAGTGGAACTGCCCTTGCTGCCCTCGGACTAATGAAGGAGGAAAGATACTAAGTGCCTTATCCACACCTCCAACAAGGTGCATTTGACCCAAAGAAAGGAGGCCAGTTCATCTCCCACAGGTCCCGCCCACTCCCTCTGCTCATCAGTAGACAGGGAATCCTGACTTGGGCCCACAGCACAGACCTTCCATCCTGAGGTGATTGCACTGAGCAATTGCTGATCTTATCTCTTTGGTATGGAGCCCCCAGGAGACAAGAAAAATACCATTGGCCACCAGGTCCCTTCCTCTGCTGCTGTAAGTTTGGGGAGGAACATAAACCCTGAGATCATCCCAGAGCTGCAATGGGCAGCATAGAAGTGCCAAGCCATGATCTACGGCCGGCACTCAAGAGGCAGAAGAGCCCACACTTTCAGAGTCTTGAGAGGGAACATGGCTGCAATGTGAGGAAACATAGGGGAGCCACACAACTGAGAACAAGTCTACCAACTGACCAGTACACTTAAGCACCAGCTACTGGATCACACCCCAAAGCTTCAACACCAAAAATACTTTGTTAACAAAACCCTCTGTGAAACCAAAGACAAGAAGTCAGCTTCAAATAAAGACCACGCACAAAGCCTCAGACCTGTGAAAACATTCAGAAAAGAAGTCTATTGACTGTATTCAATCTACACTTCAGTTAAAGGAATACTCAAACACAGAGATGAGAAAGAACCAACACAAGAACTCCGGCAACTCAAATGGCCAGTGTGTCTTATATCCTCCAAATGACCATACCAGTTGTTCAGCAAGAGTTCTTAACCAGGTTGAGCTGAGTGAAATGACAGAAATAGAATTCAGAATATGGATAGGAATAAAGATTATCAACATTTGGGAAAATAGCAAAACCCAATCCAAGGAAACTAAGGATCACAACAAAACAATATAGGAGCTGAAGGATGAAATAGCTGGTATAAAAAGGAACCTAATGGATCTAAAAGAGCTGAAAAACACAATTTTGCAAAGCAGTCACAAATATTAACAGAAGAATAGACTGAGATGAGGAAATAATCTGAGAACTTGAAGCCTGGCTCTCTGAAATAACACAGTCAGACAAAAATAAAGAGAAAAGAATGAAGAGGAATGAGCAAAACCTCTGAGAAGTATGGGGTTATGTAAAGAGGCCAAGGCTGTGAATCACTGGCATCCCTGAAAGGGAGGGAGAGAAAGCAAACAACTTAGAAAACACATGTCAGGATATCATCCCTGAAAACTTCCCCAACTTTGCTAGACAGGTCAACAGTCAAATGCAGGAAATGCAGAGAACTTCTGCATGATTCTACACAAGAAGATCATCCCTAAGACATATAATCATTAAAATTTCCAAGGTCAAAATGAAATAATTTTAAAGGCAGCTAGAGAGAAAGCCCAGGTCACCTACAAAGGAAGCCTCATCAGGCTAACAGCAGCTATCTCAGCTGAAACCCTACAAGCCAGAAGACATTGTGGACCTACCTATATTCAACATTGGTAAAGAAAAAAAAATCTTTAACCAAAAATTTCATATCCAGCCAAACTAAGCTTCCTAAGTGAAGCAGAAATAAGATACTTCTCAGATAAGCAAATGTTGAATAAGTTCATTACCACCAGACTGCCTCACAAGAGATCTTGAAAGGAGCACTAAATATAGAAAGGAAAGACTGCTACCAGCTAATACAAAACCACACTGAAATACACAGCAGTGACACTCTAAAGCAACCACACCAACAAGCCAGCATAAGGAGATGCCATCTCACACCAGTCAGAATGGCTATTATTAAAAAGTCAAAAAATAACATGCTGGCAAGGTTGTGGAGGAAAGGTAAAGGTAGCTAACACCACCATGACAGGATCAAATCTACACATGTCAATACTAACCTTGAATATAAAAGTTTAAATGCCCCCACTTAAAAGGGACAGAGTAGCAAGCTGGATAAAAAAGCAAGACCTAATGGTATGCTGTCTTTAAGAGATCCATCTCACATGTAATTACACCCACAGGCTCAAAATAAAGGAACGGAGGAAAATATACCACACAAAATGGAAAACAGAAAAAAGCAGGGGTTGCAATCCTAATTTCAGAATTAAACTTTAAACCAACAAAGGTCAAAAAAGACAAAGAAGGGCATTACATAATGATGAAGGAGTCAATTCAACAAGAAGACCTAACTATCTTAAATATATACGCACCCAACATAGGAGTACCCAGAGTCATAAAGCAAATACTTAGAGATTTACAAAGAGATGTAGACCTCCACATAATAATAGTGGGAGACTTCAACACTCAACTGACAGTATTAGACAGATCATCAAGGCAGAAAATTTACAAAGATACTCAGGACCTGAACTCAACATTAGATCAAATGTATCTGATAGACCTTTACAGGACTCTCTACTGAAAAACAACAGAATATACATTCTTCTCATCGCCATGTGGCACATACTCTGAAACTGACCACATAATTGAACATAAAATAATCCTCAGCAAATGAAAAATAACCAAGATCACACCAAACACACTCTTGCACCACAGTGCCATAAAAATAGACTAAAAAAATTGCTCAAAATCATGCAATTACATGGAAATCAAACATGTTCCTGCTGCATGACTTTTGGGTAAATAATGAAATTAAGGCAGAAATCAAAAAGTTCTTCGAAATTAATGAGAACAAAGATACAACATACCAGAATCTCTGGGACACAGCTAAGGGAGTGTTAAAAGGGGAATTCATAGCGCTAAATGCTCACATCAAAACATTAGAAAGATCTCAAATTAACAATCTAACATCACAATTGAAAGAATTCAAGAAGCAAGAACAAATCAACCCCAAAGCTAGCAGAAGAGAAGAAATAACCAAAATCAGAGCTGAATGGGAGGAAAGTGAGACATGAAAAGCCATTCAAAAGATCAGTGAATCCAGAAGTTTTTTTTTGTTTGTTTTCGTCTTTTCTTTTTTTTTTTTTTGAGATGGAGTCTCTCTCTTTCGCCCAGGCTGGAGTGCAGTGCCCCAATCTCGGCTCACTGCAAGCTCCGCCTCTCGGGTTCACGCCATTCTCCTGCCTCAGCCTCCCTGGTAGCTGGGACTATAGGCACCCGCCACCACACCCAGCTAACTTGTATTTTTAGTAGAGACGGGGTTTCATGTGTTAGCCAGGATGGTCTTGATCTCCTGACCTTGGGATTCGCCCACCTCAGCCTCCCAAAGTGCTGGGATTACAGGCATTTGTTTTTTGAAAATATTAATAAGATAGGCCACTAGCTAGAGTTACAAAGAAGAAAAGAGAGAAGATCTACATAAACACAATTAGAAATGATGATGGAGATTTTACCATTTACCCCACAGAAATAAAAATAACTATTAGAAACAACTATGAATGCCTTTGTGCACACAAACAAGAGAACCTAGAAAAGATGGATAAATTCCTGGACACATACATTCCCAAGACTGAACCAGGAAGAAATACATTCCCTGAACAGACCAATAATGAGCTGTAAAGTTGAATCAGTAACAAATAGCCTACCAACTGAAAAAGCCCAGAACCAGATGGATTCACAGCTGAATTCTACCAGATGTAGATCTGGTAAAATCATACTAGCTCTACAAAGAAGAGCTAGTACCATTCCTATTGGAACTATTCCTAAAAATTGAGGAGAAGGGACTCCTCCCCAACTCATTCTATGATGCCAGCATCATCCTGATACCAAAACCTGGCAGAGACACAACAGAGAAAGCAAGCTTCAGGCCAGTATCCATGATGAACATTGATGGAAAAATCCTAAACAAAATGCTTGCAAACTGAATCTAGCAGCACGTCAAACAGCTAATCCACTATGATCAAGTAGGCTTTATTTCTGGGATGCAAGGTTGGTTCAACATATGCAAATCAATAAATGTGATTCATCACAAAAACAGAACTAAAGACAAAAACCATGCGGTTGTCTCCGTAGATGCAGAAAAGGCCTTAGATATAATTCGACAATGCTTCATGTTAAAAACTCTCAGTCTCAGCCTCTGTTAACCATCCTTCTACTCTCTATCTCCATGAGTTCAGTTGTGTTAAGTTTTAGCTCCCACAAATAAATGAGAACCCATTGTTTGTCTTTCTGTGCCTGGCTTATTTCACTTAACAAAATCACCTCCAGTTCCATCCATGTTGTTGCAAATGACAGGATCTCATTCCTTTTATGGCCTAATAGTACTCAATTATGTGTATATACCACATTTTCTTTATCCATTCGTCTGTTGATGGACACTTAGTTTGCTTCCAAACTTGGCTACTGTGAGCAGTGCTGCAACAAACATGGTAATGCAGAGCTCTCCTTTTTTTTTTTTTTTTTGAGACACGGTCTCGCTCTGTTGCCCAGGCTGGAGTGCTGTGGCACAATCTCAGCTCATTGCAACCTCCGCCTCTCGAGTTCAAGCAATTCTCCTGCCTCAGCCTCCTGAGTAGCTGGGATTACAGGCATGCACCACCACGCCCAGCTAATTTTTTTGTATTTTTAGTAGAGATAGGATTTCACCATGTTGGTCAGGCTGGTCTCAAACTCCTGACCTCATGATCCGCCCTCCTTGGCCTCCCAAAGTGCTGGGATTACAGGCATGAGCCACCGCGCCTGGCCCAGATATGTCTTTAATATACTGAATTCAGCGTCCAGAGTGCTCACCATTACACCATGGAACCTCTCTTAGATATGATAATATCTTTTCTTTTGGTTATATACCTAGCAATGTGATTGCTAGTTCATGTGGTAGCTCTATTTTTAGTTTGTGTGTGTGTGTGACCTCCAAACTGTTCTGCATTGTCGTTGTACTAATTTACAATTCTCGCCAACAGTGTATGAGGGGTCCTTTTTCTCCACACCCTTGCTAGCATTCATTATTGCCTGTCTTTTAGATAAAAGCCATTTTAACTGGGGTGAGGTGATACCTCATTGTAGTTTCAATTTGCATTTCTCTGATGATCAGTGATGTCAAGCGCATTTTCATATGCCTGTTTGCCATTTGTATGTTATCTTTTGAGAAATGTCTATTCAGATCCTTTTTCCCATTTTGAAATTGGATTATTAGATATTTTTCATATAGAGTTGTTTGAGCTCCTTTTATATTCTGATTATTAATCCCTTGTGAAACGGGTAGTTTGAAAATATTTTCTTCCATTTTGTGGGTTTTCTTTTTACTTTGTTGATTGTCTTCAGTGATATGCAAAAGCTTTTTAGCTTGATGTGATCTTGTTTGTTCTTTTTTGCTTTGGTTGCCTGTGCTTTTGGGCTATTACTCAAGAAAATTTTGCCCAGACCATTGTCCTGGAAAGTTTTCTTGGTATTTTCTTGTGGTAGTTTCAGAGTTTGGGGTCTTAGATTTAAGCCTGTAATTCATTTGGATTTGATTTTTGCATATGGGAAAGATACGGGTCTAGTTTCATTCTTCTGCATGTGGATATTCAGTTTTCCCAGCACCGTTTATTGAAGAGACTGTCCTTTCTCCAATGTATGTTCCTTGGCACCTTTGTTAAAAATAAGTTCACTGTAGAAGTATGGATTTGTTTCTGTTTCTCTGTTTTATTTCATTGGTCTATGCATTTGTTTTTATACTCATACCATGCTGTTTTGGTTAGTATAGCTCTGTAACATAAATTGAAGTCTGGTAATATGTTTCCTCCTGTTTTTTTCTTTTTGCTTAGGATAGTGATGATTTGGCTGTGTCCCCATCCAAATCTCATTGTGAATTGTAGTTCCCATAATCCCCACATGTCATGTGAGGGACCCAGTGGGGGGTAATTGAATCATGGGTTCAGTTATCCCCATGCTGTTCTCATGATAGTTAATTCTCATGAAAACTGATGGTTTTATAAGGGGCTTTTCCCTGTTTGCTCAGCACTTTTCTCTTCTGCTGTCTTGTGAAGAAGGATGTGTTTACTTCCCCTTCCACCATGATTGTAAGTTTCCTGAGGCCTTCCCAGCCATGCAGAACTGTGAGTCAATTAAACCTCTTCCTTTATAAATTACCCAGTCTTGGATATTTCTTCATAGCAGCATAAGAATGGACTAATACAGAAATTGGTACCACAGGAAGTGGGGTGCTGCAGTAAAGATACCTGAGAATGTAGAAGTGACTTTGGAACTGGGTAATGGGTAGAGGTTGGAACAGTTTGGAGGGCTCAGAAGAAGACAGGAAAATGTGGAAAAGTTTGGAACTTCCTAGAGACTTGGCGGGTTCAGAAGACAGGAAGATGTGGGAAACTTTGGAATTTCCTAGAGACTCGTTGAATGGCTTTGACCAAAATGCTGATAGTGATATGGACAATAAAGTCCAGGCTGAGGTGGTCTCATATGGAGATGAGAAACTTGTTGGAAACTGGAATAAAGGTGATCCTTGCTATACTTTAGCAAAGAGACTGGTGGCATTTTGCCCCAGCCCTAGAGATCTGTGGAACTTATTACTTGAGAAAGATGATTTAGGGTATCTGGCAGGAGAAGTTTCTAAGCGGCAAAGCATTCAAGAGGAAGCAGAACATAAAAATTTGGAAAATTTGCAGCCTTATAATGTGATAGAAAAGAAAAATCCATTTTCTAAGGAGAAATTCAAGGCCACTGCATAAATTTGCATAAGTAACAAGGAGCCAAATGTTAATTGCCAAGACAATGGGGAAATGTCTCCAGGGCATGTCAGAGACCTTCATGGCAGCCCCTCCCGTTACAGGTCCAGAGGCCTAGGAGAGAAAACTGGTTTCATGGGCCAGGCCCAGGACACCCTGTTCTGTGCAGCCTTGGGACATAGTGCACAGCATCTCAGCTGCTTCAGCTCCAGCCATGGCTAAAAGGGGCCAAGGCACAGCTTGAGGCATTACTTCAGAGGGTGCAAGCCCCAAGCCTCAGCAGCTTACACGTGGTGTTGAGCCTGTGGGTGCACAGAAGTCAAGAATTGAGGTTTAGGAACCTCTGCCTAGATTTCAGAGCATGTATGGAAATGCCTGGATGTCCAGGCAGAAGTTTGCTTCAGGGGCATAGTCCTGTTGGAGAACTTCTGCTAGGGCAGTGTGGAAGGGAGATATGGAGTTGGAACCCCAACATGGAGTCCCCACTAGGGCACTGCCTAGTGGAGCTGTGAGAGGAAGGCCACTGTCCTTTAGACCCCAGAATGGTAGATCCACCAGCAGCTTGTACTATGTGCCTGGAAAGGCCACAGACACTCAATGCAAGCCTGTGAAAGCAACCAAGAGGAGGGTTGTACTCTGCAAAGCCACAGAAGTGCAGCTGCCCAAGGCCATGGGAGCCCACCTTTTGCATCAGCATGACCTGGATGTGAGACATGGAGTCAAAGGAGATCATTTTGGAACTTGAAGGTTTGGTGACTGCCCTGTTGGATTTCAGACTTGTGTGGGGCCTGTAGCCCCCTTGTTTTGGCCAATATCTCCCATTTGGAATGGGTGTATTTGCCCAGTGCCTGTATCCCCATTGTATTTGGGAATTAACTAACTTGCTTTTGATTTTGCAGGCTCATAGGTGGAAGGGACTTGCCTTCTCTTAGATGAAACTTCAGACTTGGATTTTTGGGTTAACACTAAAATGAGCTAAAACTTTGGGGGGCTTTTGGAAAGGCAAAATTGTGTTTTGAAATGTGAGGACATGAGATTTGAGAGGGGACAGGGTCAGAATGATATGGTTGGGCTGTGTCCCCACCCAAATCTCATGGTGAATTTTTAGTTCCGATAATCCCCATGTGTTGGAGGGATCCAGTAGGAGGTAATTGAATAATGGGAGCAGTTACCCCTATGCTGTTCTTGTGATAGTGAGTGAGTTCTCAGGAGATCTGATGGTTTTATAAGGGGCTTTTCCTCCTTTGCTCGGCACTTCTCTCCCCTGCTGCCTTGTGAAGGAAGATGTGTTTGCTTCCCCTTCTGCCATGATTGTAAGTTTCCTGAGGCCTTCCTAGCCATGCAGAACTGTGAGTCAATTAAACCTCTTTTCATTATAAATTACCCAGTCTTGGGTATTTCTTCATAGCAGCATTAGAATGGACTAATACAGACAGCTTTGGCTATTCTGGGTCTTTTGAGCTTCCATATACATTTTAGGATTGTTTTTCCTATTTCTGTGAAGCATGTTATTGACATTTTGATAGGGATTACATTGAATTTGTGGATTGCTTTGAGTAATATGGATATTTTGACAATATTGATTCAATATTGATTCTTCCACTTGATGAACATGGAATATATGTTCATTTTTTTGGTGTCCTTTTCAATTTCTTTCATGAGTGTTTTATAGTTTTCATTCCAGAGATCTTTTACTTCTTTGATTATGTTAATTCCTAGGTATTTAATTTTATTTGTTGTGATTGTAGATGGGATTAGCTTTTTATTTCTTTTTCAGATTGTTTGCTGTTGGCATACTAAAAGGCTTCTGATTTTTTTAAGTTGATATTGTATCCTGCAACTTTACTGAATTTGTTTATTAGTTCCAATAGTTTTTTGGTGGACTCTCTAGGTTTTTCCAAATATAAGATCATATCATCTGCAAACAAGGATAGTTTGATTTCTTCCTTTCCAATTTGGATGCCCATTATTTCTTTCTCTTTTATGATTGCTCTAGCTAGGACTGCCAGTACTATGTTGAATAACAGTGATGAAAGTGGACATTTTTGTTAGGTTCCAGATCTTAGCAGAAAGGCTTTCAGGTCTTCCCCATTCAGTATGATGCTAGCTGTGGGTCTGTCACATATGGTTTTTATTATGTTGAGGTATGTTTCTTCTATACCCGTTTTTTTTAGGGTTTATATCATGAAGGATGTTCAATTTTATCAAATGCTTTTTCAGCATTAGTTGAAGTGATCATATGGTTCATTTTGTTGATATGATGTATCCCATTGGTTGACTTGTGTATGTTGAATTATCCTTGCATCCCTGGGATAAATCCCACTTGGTTGTGATGAATTATCTTTTTAAATATATTGTTGAATTTGCCTTGCTGGTATTTTGTTGAAGATTTTTGCATTAAAATTTATCAGAGATATTGGCCCCACAGTTTTCTTTTTTTGAAATGTCTTTGTCTGCTTTTGGTATCAGGGTAATACTGGCCTTATAAAATGAGTTTGGAAGTATTCCCTTCTCTTCTATTTTTGGGGATAGTTGGAATAAGATTGGTATTAGTTTCTCTTTAAATGTTTGGTAGAATTCAATAGTGAAGCCATCAGGTTCTGGGCTTTTCTTTACTGGGGTACTTTTATTATGGCTTTGATCTTGTTAGTAGCTATTGGTCTGTTCAGGTTTTGGATTTCTTCCTGGTTCAATCTGGGTAGGTTGTGTATGTCTAGAAATTTATTCATTTTCTCTAGATTTTCCAGTTTATTGGCATGTAGTTGCTGATAATAGCCACTAATGATCCTTTGAAATTCTGTGGTATCAGTTGTAATGTCTCCTTTTTCATCTCTGATTTTATTTATTTGGGTCTTCTCTTTCTTTCTTAGCCTGGCTAAAGGCTTGTCAATTTTGTTTATCTTTTCAGAAAAACAGCTTTGCATTTCTTTGATGTTTTGTATTATTTTCTTCATTTCAATTTCATTTATTTGTGCTCTGATCTTTATCATTCATTTTTTTTCAACGAACTTTAGGTTTGGTTTGCTCTTGCTTTTCTAGTTCTTTAGGATGCATTGTTAGGTTATTTATTTGAAGTTTTTCTTCTTTTTTGATGTAGACACTTATAGCTGGAAAATTTCCTCTTAGTACTACTTTTGTTGTATCCCAAAGGTTTTGGTATATTGTGTCCATTCTCATTCGTTTCAAGACATTTTTCAGTTTCCTTCTTAATTTCTTCATTCATCTACTGGTCATTCCAAAGCATATTGTTTAATTTTTATGTGTTTGTAGTTTCTAAAATTCCACTTGCTATTAATTTCTAGTTTTATTCCATTGTTGTCAAAGAAGATGCTTGATATTATTTTAATTTTTTGAATGTTTTAAGATGTATTTTGTGATCTAACATATGACTTAACCTTAAGAATGATCCGTATGCTGGGGAGAAGAATGTATCCTGCAGCCACTGCATGAAATGTTCTGTAAATATCTACTAGGTCTGTTTGTTCTATAGTGTACGTTAAGTCTGATGTTTCTTCATTGATTTTCTGTGTGGAAGATCTGTCCAGTGCTGAAAGTGGGGTGATGAAGTCTCCAACTATTATTGTTTTGAGGTCTCTCTCTTTAGCTCTGATAATCTTTGCTTTGTATGGTTGAATGCTCCAGTGTTGGGTGCATATATATTTACAATTGTCATATTCTCTTTCTGAATTGATGTTTTGTCATGATATAATGACCTTCTTTGTCTCTTCTTACAGTTTTGTCTTGAAGTCTATTTTGTCTGATATAGGAATAGCTATTTCTGCTCTTTTTTGGTTTTCATTGGCTTGGAATATCTTTTTCCATTTCTTTATTTTCAGTTTATGTGTGTCTTTATAGATGAAGTGTGTTTCTTATAGGCAACAGATCACTGGGCCTTTTTTTGGTTTGTTTTGAATCCATTCAGCCACTCTGTGCCTTTTGATTGGAGAGTTTAGTCCACTTACATTCAATGATATTTTTGATAATTAAGGACTTACTTCTGCCATTTTGTTGTTTTCTGGTTGTTTTGTGATCTTCTCTTCTTTCTTTCCTTCCTTCCTGTCATCCTTTTAGTGAAGGTGATTTTCTCTAGTAGTATGATTTAATTTCTTGCTTTTTTGTTTATCAGTTGTATGTTTTTGATTTGAGGTTTCCATGAGGCTTACAAATACTATCTTATAACCTGTTATTTTAAACGGATGACAACTTAACACTGATTACATAAACAACAAGCAAAAAGGAAACTAATAAAAACTCTACATTGTAACTATTTCCCCTTGCTTTTTAACTTTTTGTTGTTTGTCTTTATGTCTTATTTTATGTCTATGTCTTCAAAAGTTGCTGTAGTTATTATTTTTGATTGTTTCATCATCTAGTCTATGTAAGATAAAAGTAGTTTATACACCACAATTACAGTGTTATAATACTCTGTATTTTTCTGTATGTTTACTATTACCAGTTAGTTTTGTACCTTCAGATGATTTCTTATTGCTCATTAATATCCTTTTTCTTTTAGATAAAAGAACTTCCTCTAGCTTTTCTTGTAGGACAGGTCTGGTGTTGTTGAAATCCCTCAGCTTTTGTTTGTCTGGGAAAGTCTATTTCTCTTTCATGCTTCAAGGATGTTTTCACCAGATATACTATTCTAGTGTAAAAGTTTTTTTTTCCCTCAACACTTTAAATATGTCATGCCACTCTCTCCTGGCCTATAAGGTTTCCAGTCTGCTGCCAGGCATATGGGAGCTACATCTTGTGTTATTTGTTTCTCTTCTTTTACTGATTTTAGGATCCTTTCTTTATCTTGATCTTTAGGAGTTTGATTATTAAATGCCTTGAGGTAGTCTTCTTTGGGTTAAATCTGCTTGGTGTTCTATAGCCTTCTTCTACTTGGATATTGATATCTTACTCTAAATTTGCGACGTCCTCTGATATTTTCCCTTTGAATCAACTTTTTACTCCTCTCTCTTTCTCTATTTTCTCTTCAAGACCAATAACTCTTAGATTTGCCCTTTTGAGACTATCTTCTGGATCTTGTAGGCATGTTTTATTCCTTTTTCTTTTGTTTCCTCTGACTGTGTATTTTCAAATAGCCTGTCTTTAAGCTTACTCATTCTTTCTTCTGCTTGATCAATTCTGCTATTAAGAGACTCGATGCATTCTTGAGTATGGTAGTTGCATTTTTCAACTCCAGAATTTCTACTTGATTCTTTTAAATTGTTTCAACCTCTTTGTTCAATTTATCTATTAGATAGGATTCTGAATTCCTTCTCTGTGTTATCTTGAATTTTATTAGGTTTCCTCAAAACAGCTTTTTCGAATTCTCTGTCTGAAAAGTCACATGTCTTTGTTTGAGATTGGTTCCTGGTGCCTTATTTAGTTCATTTGGTGAGGTCATGTCATGTTTTTCTGGATGTCTTGATTATTATGGATGTTCATTGGTGTTTGGGCATCAAAGAATTAGGTATTTATTGTAGTATTTGCAATCTGGGCTTTTTTGTACTCATCGTTTTTTGGGAAAGCTTCCTAGGTATTCTAAGGGACTTAGGTGTTGTGATCTAAGTTTTTGGTCACTGCAGCCATATCTGTGTTAAAGTGTACCCCAATCCCAGTAACACTGTGGCACTTGCAGACTGGTAGAGGTACTGCTTTGGTAGTCCTGGATAAGATCTGGAAGAATCCTCTGTATTATCTGGCAGACACTCTATTTCTTTTCCCTTATTTTCTCCCAAATAAACACAGTCTGTCTGTGCTATGCTGCCTGGAGTTGGGAGAGGGGTGACATAAGCACCTCTGTGTCCACTACTACAGAGACTGTACTGGGTCAGACCTGAAGCAAGCACCGCATTAGGTACTGCCCAAGGCCCATGGTAAATACAGTCTGGCTACCATCTATGTTTGTTTAAGAACCTAGGACTCTACAATCAGCAGGTGGTGAAACCATCAGGCTTGTGTTCTTTCCTTCAGGTCAGTGAGTTTCCTTCAGTCCTGGCTGGGTCCAGAGATGCCATCGGGAGCCAGGGCTTGGAGTCAGAAACCTTAGGAATTTACCTGGTGCTGTATTTCTACTGTGGCTGAGCTGGCACCCAAGCCAAAAGATAAAGTCCATCTCACTCATTCCTCTTCTTCCTATTAGCAGAGGAGTGTCTTTCCCCAGCCACCTTTATCCCAAGCCTGTGGTGAGTACTACCTGGCTACCACTAATGTTCACTCAAGGCCCAGTGGCTTTTCAGTCAGCTTGTTTTGAATGCTGCCAGACCTGGGACTCTCTCTTCAGGGCAGTTGGCTCCCCTCTGGTTCAGGGCAGTTCCAGAAATGCCATTTAAGATCCAAGTTCTGGAAGTGGCAACCCCAAGAAACTGCTTGGTGGTCTACTCCACTGTGGTCAAGCTGGTATCTAAGCTGCAATACAAAATCCCCTTTACTCTTCCCTCTACTTTTCTCAAACATAAGGAGTCCCCTCACTATAGCTACCACAGCTAGGAATGTGCTGGGTCTCCTCTGAACCTATCGCCTCTCTGAGTCTCACCGGGAGCCTATGGTGAGTACTCTGTGGGTACCATGGATGAGTATTGAGGGATCAAGGGCTCTTCAGTCAGCAGGTAAAGAATTTTGCCTTTCACTTCAAGGCAGCAGATTCCTTTCTGGCCCAGGGCATGCCTAGACATGTCATCTGGGAAGTAGGGCCTGGAATAGGGGCCTCAGGACTCTTCCTGGTGCTCTATCCTACTGTGGCTGAGCTGGTATTCAAGTTGCAAGATAAAGAGCACTTTACTCTTCCCTTTCCTTTTCTCAAGGGGAAGAAAGGAGTCTCTCCTGGAGCTGTGAGCTGCATTGCCTGGGGTTGGAGGAAGGGTGATGCAAGCCCTCCAGTGGCCACCATAGCTGGTATCTCACTGGGTCCTGTGCCCCAGAAGTCCACTGGCTCCAAGCCCAGCACAGCACCAGGACTTGCCTAGGAATTGCAGTCCTTGTGGCCTAGACTGCCTTTCAAGTTTGTTTGTTTGTTTATTTATTTGAGACAAAGTCTCACTCCATTGCCCAGGTTGGAGTGCCGTGGTATGATATTGGCTCACTGCAACCTCTGCCTCCTGGGTTTAAGTGATTCTCCTGCCTCAGCCTCTTGTGTAGCTGGGATTATAGGCATGCATCACCACGCCCAGCTATCAAGTTTATTTGGAATACCAGAGCACTTTAGTCCATGGTGGCAAGGCTTGCTGGAACTCATGTTCCAACTGCTGGGATGGGCCATTCCTCTCTGGCTGGGGCTAGTCTAAATGCTCCTTTCCGTGGGCACCAGCTGAGTTCGGTCCAGTGTTGCTTTCTGCTCTTATAGGGCAGCACTGAGTTCCAATGCAAAGTCTCACAATCACTGTACTCTTCCTCCCCAAAGTGTGCAGATTCTTTCTCTGTGCCACGTGGCTGCTGCTGGGGTGTAGGGGACGGTTGGTATTGGTGATTCAAGAGTGTCTTTTCTACCCTCTTCAGTGCCTCTTTCAGTTATATAAAGGTAAAACCAGGTACTGTGATTACTCACCTGATTTTTGGTTCTTATGAAGGTGCTTTTTTTGTATGGACAGTTGTTCAATTTGGTGTTCCTTGGGGAGGATGATTGGTAGAGGTTTCTATTCAGCCATCTTGCTCTGCCTGTCTGCTCTGAGACATTTTGTTAAGTGACAAAAAGCATGAAAAATATGTATAAAGACCCCATTAATGCAAAAAGTGTGTATGTGTTCATATATGATTGAAATATATAAGTAAGTAACTTAAAGGAAACCCTAAGTTGTCATGCCTTTGGAAAGTGGCACGTGTTTGGAGGTGTGGAAGCAAAGGATACAATGTTCCATTTTACACTATATATCTATATTTATAACTGTATCTGGATCTATGTCTATATCTATACCTATGTCTTGTCAATGTTGATACAGATTTCTATATCTGTATTGTTTTGGGCTTTGAGTTCATAGAGTACTCATGTAATACAAATAACCTTTTTAAAGAAAAAATGGCCCTTCAACCTAGTCCTGGATTCACTCAGAAAATTATCACTGTCAGTAGAATGAAGGGGATGGCGAGAAAAGTCTAGAAAGGAACAAATGGTCACTTCTTGGCTCTGGTTCCTTCTTTCATCTCCCATCTTTCCAGTATAACCTGTAGCGGTAGAGAGCATCTGGTGGCACCTATGTGTGCTTGCCCAACCTTTTCATGACTCCTAGTCAACAAACACCTGAGGTTATATCTCTCTAAGTGGATGGTGCCAATTTGCAATGTTTTTACAATGCCTTGTTTCTTGTGCTTGGCTGATGTCCCTGGTGCTGCTGAGTGTGCTTGCTTGCTTTCGGTAGGTGGAATAGCAATTTGTCTTACACTCTGCTTTGCACTTGCTTAGTGGAACCACAAAGGAGAGCTTCTCATGCTGGGACCAGGACTGCAGACCATGAACTCAAAGCCCGTACTTTATTTATCAAATGGAATAGCTCTGCCAAAGGGATCTGTTGGAAACCCTGGTGTTATTTCCCAGGAAAAAAAGATAAAGAGCCTGCATTGAGCATTTGGAGTGCTCTGCATTGGCTCATGCTAATTAGAGGTTGGTGCTGGCATGGCACCTATACCTCAGGGATGCAAATCACACCTTCCACACAGGGAATGTATAGAATAGAGAAGCCAGAAAGGCAGAAGCTTAGGATTGTCCCCTTAGCTTTTCCATTGATTATTCATTTATTCAGCAAACATTTATTAGCTTTATTGACTCTGGTCTGCTTATGGAATTAATCAGTAGGCACATATCAAAGCCCACCATTTCTATGATTTTTCTCACACTGCCCTCTCCCTTACCTATTTTGACTCATTGTTCCTGGCTTGCTTTAGTTTGTCCCTGGCTTGCTTTCTTTTGTCCCTGGCTATCTGCTCTGTTGGTTGCACCCTTGTTCCCCATAGTGAGTATTCCAGGACCCACTTGATTTGAAGGACTGCCTGGACACAATTTGCCTGCCCCAACCCACAGCTCTGTTCCTGGATTGTGATTTGCGCTTGGTTCTTTGGTTTGTTCCTGGCCCACAGAAACCAAATGAGCTTGGTCAATCCTTTGGGATCTTCTAGGCAGTGGAGAGGATCAGATAATTCCATAGCCAGGCATTGTACTGGGGACTAGTTGGGAGTGGGAGGAATTGGGGCTACAAAGACTCATTATTTATTCATTCAAAAGACAGAAAAGTTTAAAAATACATAAAATATGTAGTCTATCAGATGTTGAAAAGTGCTTTGAAGAAAAATAAAGTATGTAAGGGGAATAAAGGGCACTGGGGTAGGAGGAAGGATGGAAATGTAATAGGGGGTTCAGAAAAGGTCTCGCTCAAAAGGCACCAGTGAGAGAGTCTGCATTGTGGATTGCTTGGGAAGAAGATACTCCAGATAATGGGAAGAGTAAGACAAAAGGCTCTGAAGTGACAGCATGCCTGGAATGTTGAAGAGTGACAGGCCAATGTGAGTAGTGACAGGAGAGGAGTCGGGGGCCATAAGCTCAGTAATATAATGGGTAGCCAAAGTGTGTGGAGCTTTGTAGTCCCTTATGAGGACTTCAGCTTTCATTGCCAATGAGGTGAGGAAGACAGTCACTACTAGTGGAGTCTCGTGAATCAAGGTGAACATCCTACAAGTGCACTACATTTGGATCATCTCATTTGGGTTGATGAAACAGGTGTCTTTGCAAGGCTGATGGAGAATAGCCATCTCTGCCAGGGGTCACTGGGGAAGAGCTGAGCCTGGAAGTATCAAGTGTTTTTCAGGCAGAAGTACTAGCATGGACAAAGGCTAGGATGTGTGATGTCATGACATCTTCAAAGAATGCATAATATTAATAGTTTGCTCAAGATGGCAGAACAAGGGTGGAGCGGCAGGAAGGGAGCTAAGGGAAGCCTAGTAAGCCGGCAGGCAGCAGATTAGACAAGCCTTATATGATGTAATAATGTGGTTAGATTTAATCCTTCAGTCATGGAAAACCACAAGAGGTTCACAAATACAGAAATGTGACTTACTCATTGGGAAAAAGAACATAATTTTACTCTTATACCTCAGTTTTCACATAACAGTGGGCAGGCTCAGGATCTAGAAAAAGAAATGAGATTGAGTTCTCACTTCTCAAACAGTCCTAACTTTCCTGATTTGTGAAATGGAGTTTTTATCTGCTTTATATACCTCACCAGGCTGCCACAAGGAACAAAAGAGATAGTGTATATGAAAGGGCACTGCTATCTGCAGAGTGCTCATTATCCCCATTTTCTCATCCACATGACCCAAGAGTGGGATTGGTGGACTTGGCAAAAGAATTGGGCAGTGTGCTTAAGTGGAAAATACATGGCTCTTGAGTTGAACATTAGTTGGAATCTTGGCCCACCACATACTGACTTTGTGACCTTGGACCACGTGAAGGACCACTCTGAACCTCAATTTCCCAATTAATAAAATGGGTTTTTGCTTCCCAGGATTGGTGTAAAGATTGGAGACAAAGTGTGTGAAGTGCCTAGCCCTGTGTGTGGTCCAGAGGAGAAGCTCCGTGTTAGCTGTTATTTTCTGAGTGTCATCACGGTAAACACATGATCAGATGGATACAGTCGTCCTGTGGGCAAGATACTGTGTCTGGTGCCGTGAGGTGGAGCTATTAATGCTGGTAGGATGTGCCATTGTGCTGCTTCTTTAATAGTGAGGATGTGTTTGTGCTGGTCCTTCACCTCACCTGGATCTGTTTGTGCTTGTGGCATGCTGTACATCTGCGGTCAGGGTACATTTTGGATACATGGAAAAAGTGTAGCTAATGGACCCCCAGGGTACCAGGCTTTTGGCTGATATGATGAAAACTGCAGGCTCTGCATGTCTAAGCTAACTAGCTGCAGCCCAGCTTATGGCCTTTGATTCAGACAGGCCAAAGGGAAATGGAGGGTGAAACATGGGTTCATATAACTAGCTCATAATTTCCTGCTACTGAGGAGGAAAGTCTTATTTTGTCTGAATTTAACAGAACAATTGTCCACATTGATTGAATTTTCCAAAAATCTTCTCATCTCCCTCCTCTGTTTTGTTTCAGAGCACACAGCTTCACATTTAAAAGACAGAAAAAGAAAAATTACTGTACAGCTGCGATTTCTCATTTGGCAGGCACCCAGCCATTTTCTCAGAATTTGACAGAATATGATCTCTCACTTAACTCACTTCTTAATACTGCCCCTGGGCAAGACTGAATTGAATCAGACCCTGGTTCAATCGTTATCTTGGCTGAAGATTCACACCTACAGTTCTTCCTATAGATTGTTCAGTGCGGCCACAGTGGACTCTGAGAAAAACAATCAGAAAACAATGTACTTGCCAAGCTGAAACAGGGCTCACTGTTGTTTCCAGCAGGGCTGCTTTTTAACAATTCTCCACAGTCATTAGTTATTCATTCATTCAATAAATAATTAAGCACCTAGCATGGTGCATAATACAAATAGTATAATCTATGGTATCTTCCTTCAGGGAACTTACAATTTAGTAGAGAAGTTAAGACGTACACAATTAACTAGATTGTCATGTGGGAGCACTAAGTGGATGAGAAATAGTAAAAGTAGGATTTGAAAGCAGGGAAAGTGACCTTTGGCTAGGAATTATTTCATGGAGCAGGTGGAAGGGTTTTGGTGGGGAGTTGAAGGAGTGGGGTATGCAGAGGTCAAGATGAGTAGGGATTGGTTGGTATCCCAATCTTAAGTGATGTGAGGAATAAGAATGGTGTGCTCTATAATTACTTTTAAAATTAAATTGAAGTGGTATCATTTGGAGTAATGCAGTCCAACAGTCTGAAACTTTTAAAGAGCATGCATAGAGGGAGATGAATTAGGAAACTAAGGGTAACAATGGATGTGGTGAGAAAGGGTGTGATTCTAGGCATATTTTAGACTTTCCAGTATCATTTTAGCTTCTGTATGTGCTGCCTTCCCAGAAGATCCTTGTCTTTCAGTTTTCTAAAAAAATACTATTGAGGGTAATTGCTGCCTGTGTGTGACACAGACATCTTCCCTCACTCCACCTATGGCACTACTGCCCTTTGAGTTATGGCTCTGCACCATTTCCAGCTGAGTTTCCTTAGGGTCATAGAACAACAGAATGAGAGGGCTTGGGCCGAGGGAGCTTATAGTCCAATCTCTCATTTTACAGATGAGGAAAATGAGGTTCATGGAGAGGTAAACTGGCTGGTCTAAGGCCTGACAGGTAGTTAGTAGTAGAGTGGGATCAAAACCAGGTGTCCTGATTCTGAGTCCCATGGTCTTCTTAGATCATCACCCACTATCTTGAAAGGAAACCAAGATGTGCTTCTCCTTTGTGGCAAAGACCATGAACCAAACTCATTTCTTCTTGCTCAAGCTAGTCTTCCCAGTTTTCTTTGCAACTAGGTGTGGCCATGTGACTGAGTTCTAGCCAGTAGAACGTCTCGGGAAGTATGAATGCTCACTCTTAGGCCTGGCCCATTAAAAACTTCCCTGCACAAGCCTCAAGCTCTTCCCCCATTTACTAACTAGATATTGATGCTCAGGGCAACCTCGGAAGCAATGTGTTAAAGATGGAGGAGCATCCATTATCCTGGAACCTTGAATGACTTCATGGAGAAGATACTCCTATCCCACCTTCCCATCCCAATTATAAATTCTATTGTGTAAGCCACTGAGATTTGTGGGTGTGTTAAAGAAGCTATTACTGTCTTATTAATTAGATAGCTATTACTATCTAATTGCACCTTGTCACCTTAAATCTGTAGAGAGGGGATTCAGTAAGACCAACTGAAGAACTTAATATGTGCCCCCTGCAATTGGACTTGGGTTTGACTCTTCTCCAAGAAATCTAGAGGACAAGACTCTTACTCAGCAAAACTGGGATGGATGGGTTGAGATTGGCCTGCATTCCCAGTATATATCAGGGCCAAAAGGGTAAGGACCGTTTGGTCATGCAGGAGAAAAAATCTGCCTAGAGCTGTTTTGACTCCTGTCCAAGTGGACTTTAAGGGAAGGAGACACTGATAATGAAGAGAATCTCTGGGTGGTGGGAAAACCTGAGGTGGAAGAAGAAGCAACGGTAGAGGAACCAATGACAGTGACCCAGCATTGGAGCTGCAAGTCAGAAGGAGCCTCCAAAGAACCTTGAAATCACTCACAAAGAAAGAATCAAGTTTAAAAATTAGTTAGGCCAAGGGTAAGATGCCAATTTAAGACCCTATCAGTCAAGTAAGGGCTTTCTGAGTCCCTTTCTTCTTCTCCCTCCCTGGTGTTCCAATTCTGGAGAGGTCAAAGAGAGATGAAGCCAACCATATGCCTTTTCTCAAGGCAGGAAGCCTGTCTATCATAGGTTTCTA
The DNA here is from genome assembly GCF_000001405.40 of Homo sapiens. NCBI lineage: Eukaryota > Metazoa > Chordata > Mammalia > Primates > Hominidae > Homo > Homo sapiens. The sequence goes on from NC_000002.12 coordinate 48,848,051, forward strand.
ACTGGTAAAGAAACGCAAAAGAGTCTTAACCATGAATGAAGATGGAAATGTGGATTAATATATTGGAGTGGAAATTATATTTTCTCAATCGAGTCTGTGTTTTACCACAGACAAATTACATCAGAGACCAAATTACATCAGAGGGCCTGACAGAGTTTTTATCTAGTGGCAGGGGAAAAATTCCCCAGATGATAAGGTTTTCAGGGTCAGTGGGAAACAAAGAATAAAGATGATTAATTCATCAAGTGACACTTGTTTAAGGTGACACCACCAGTTCCAAGCAGCATGATAAGCTCTTGAATGGGAGTGTGGGCTGGATGTTAAGGAAGCACATGTGAAGAGTACTGAATCCAGACCTGCTGGAAATGACATCAAAACTGGAACCTAATGGAAGAAGCAGAGTAAAGGTGGAGAAGGGCTGTCCTGACCCATAGAACAGTGAGCAGTGAGCAAAGGGGACTTTAAGGAGCTGAAAAACAAAATGTACGATGACTAGAATGCAAGAAGCAGGTAGTCCAGAGTGCTGCAGAAGCCAGCTGGTAGTAAACATGTTGAGAAATTTGGATAAACTTGAGGGACCTTGGGAAGCCTTGGAAGGATTTTAAACAGAGGAATGACATGATCTGTGTTTTAGAAATATTTCTCTGGCTGCCATGAATTGATTGGAGGAGGTAGGAGTGGAGGCTGGGAGACAGATTAAGAGGCTTCACAGGTGTGTGATTTTTGCCAAGAGTGTTCATCTGCTACGTGTAAGATGTTTAGGTTTATTTAGGGTCACAGATTGGTCCAGGAGGTGTATCGGAAACACGAAGGACATAAAACCTTGTCAACCTCTACTGCTCTGCCTTCTGGAACTTCAGCTCTCTGACCACAAATTCCCCTATATCAGATATTGGCAAATGATGGCCCATAGGCCAAATCTAGTTTGTTGCCTGTTTTTGTATAGCTCACAAGAATAATTCCTACATCTTAAAGTGGTTAAAACATAAGTTTTCACTGCATGAAAATTGTGACAGAGACTTGTGGCCCACAAAGCCTAAAATATTTATTATCTGGACCTTTAACAGAAAGTTTGCTCACCCCTGCCATGTATCCTCAATCTATACTTAAAATATTTCTTTTTTCACTTTCTCATCTTAACTTATTAGAATCAACTTTGGCTTCGTATTGTACTTACCTGGGGATCCTAAAAAGTTCTTATATGGGCTGGGCGGGGTGGCTTACGCCTGTAATCCCAGCACTCTGGGAGGCCGAGGCAGGCGGATTGCCTGAATTCAGGAGTTCGAGACCAGTATGGCCAACATGGTGAAACTCCATCTCTACAAAAATACAAAAAAGTTAGCTGGGCATGTTGGCATGCACCTGTAATCCCAACTACTCGGGAGGCTGAGTCAGGGGTATTACTTGAACCAGGGAGGTGGAGGTTTCAGTGAGCTGAGATCACACCACTGCACTCCAGCCTGGGTGACAGAGCAAGACTCTGTCTCAAAAAAAAAAAAAAGTTCTAATACATAGGATTCATTCTGAGAGATTCTGATTTAATCAGCCTGGGGATATGGCCTGAGCATTGGATTTTTAAATATTTATCACGTGGTCCTAATGTGTATCTAAGCTTGGAACCCCTGCATAATAAAAACCTGCCTGCCCCCAAGGGCATCTCTTAAGTGGACACTGTGTTCCACATTTCACATACCTTAGGGCAGGATATGGGTTAGTATCTATCCTGCTTCCAGGCCATGAACTCCTTTCTGCGTTTCAAAATTATTAGGTTTGAGGGTTAGCCACTCAGCTCTGAATACCCTTGCCCTATACTGGTTTATCATGGAGATTTCTTTACCGCTTTTATTCATTATTTTACCATCTGACTCATAGTCTAATTCTTCATATAATTCTTGGTGACTTCATCATCAACATGAACCATCCGGTGCTTGAGAACTTGAGTAGTTAAAACTACTCATCTTTTTTTTTTTTTTTTGAGACAAGGTCTGGCTCTGTTGCCCAGGCTGGAGTGTAGTGACGCAATCTTGGCTCACTACAATCTCTGCCTCCTGGACTCAAGCCATCCTCCCACCTCAGCCTCCTGAGTAGCTGTGACTATAGGTGCACACCGCCATGCTCTGCTAATTTTTGTATTTTTAGCAGAGATGGGGTTTTCATCATGTTGCCCAGTCTGGTGTTGAACTCCTGAGCACAAGCGATCTGCCTGCCTTGGCCACCCAAAGTGCTGGGATTACAGGCATGAACCACTGCACCTAGCTAAACCTACTCATCTTTAATGACCATTCTGTTGCCTCCTCCTCAACCACAAAATCTCATGGCCACACCTTGGACCCCAGGACTGCCATCACATATAAAATCTCAATTTTAAACATGTTACTTTCCAACCTTAACTTCCCACCCTTCTAGCTTACTTGTGGAAGTGTGCCCATTGCTTCCCATTTTCAACCTTACTTAAATCTTCAATCCAGTCATCCTCCCTCTTCCTCCTTACCAATTTCTTTTTTTTTTTTTTTTTTGAGACGGAGTCTCACTCTGCCACCCAGGCTGGAGTGCAGTGGCGCGATCTCAGCTCACTGCAAGCTCCGCCTCCCAGGTTCACGCCATTCTCCTGCCTCAGCCTGCCTAGTAGCTGAGACTACAGGTGCCTGACACCATACCTGGCTAATTTTTTTTGTATTTTTAGTAGAGACGGGGTTTCACTGTGTTAGCCAGGATGGTCTCGATCTCCTGACCTCGTGATCCTCCCGCCTCGGCCTCCCAAAGTGCTGGGATTACAGGCGTGAGCCACAGCGCCCGCCTCTTCCACCAGTTTCTCACTCTTCATCAATGTACTGGCTTTTCATCCTTCTTTGACTTGCCTAGATGCCATGTTTATGTTTATAATCACTCATCTGTAACTTAGAGAAGATAATGACAGGGCACCCACCTGGTAGAGTTGTGACGAGGATTAAGAGAGTTAATTTTTTTAGAGTACTTATGACAGTCCTTGACATACATTAAGAAGCTCAATAAATGTTAGCTGAATGTCACTGGAGAAAACATACCCACAAGCTGACTGTTTTCATTCAAAACTTGTGATCATGAACCTTAAGTGAATATTCCACTCTGCTACTGAACCTACTGTGTTTCATTGGTAAATTAGCCTTCCTACTCCTTAAGAGGACTCTTTCACACCACCTGTTTTCTCAAAACTCTTATGTATCTATCCTCACTTCTAGCTGATGGCCTTACCTCGTACTTTAGAATACATCTAGAATAAAATCCAGATTCCTTAGTATGACTCATGTGATCTGTCTGCAGAATCTTGCTCTGACTTGCTATAACTTCCTATATGTGGCTTTCCCCCTCAGTCTCCGGTCACCTCTGTAATACACCAAGCTCTCTCCCATTTCAGGGCTCTTGCACATGCCCTTCCCCTTGCCTGGAACGCTTTTCCTCCACTCATCTCATGACATTTATTAATGTTTTTGGGTCTATTTTAAATGCCATCCTTTTAGACAGGCCTTTCTATTTACTCTATATTAGTTTTCTATTGTTTCCATAACAAATCACTGTAAAATATAGAGGTTTAAATAATGCAGGTTTATTATCTTATGCTTCTGGAGGTAAGAAGTGTAATATCAAGGTGCTGGCAGGACTGAGTTCCTTCTGGAAGCTCTAGGGAGGAATGTGTTTCCTTTGCTTTACCAGCTTCTAGAAGTCACCTACATTCCTTAGCTTGTAGCTGCTTTTTTTCCACCTTCAAAATGTGCAACAGTGGGTCATGTGCTTCTCATGCTGCCATATTTTTGGTTCTTCCTTCCATTTCCCTCTTCCACCTTTAAAGACCCTTGTGATTACATTGGGCCAACCCAGTTACTCCAGAATAATCTCCCTATTTGAGGATTGGCTGATTAGAAACCTTAACTTCATCTGGAACCTTAGTCCTGTAACCTAACACATTCACAGGCTCCAGGGGTTAAGATGTAGACATTTTGGGGGTCATTATTCTGCCTATCACACTACCTAAAGTAGGCTTCCCTAATATTCTCTTGCTTAGCTCTTGTTTACTTTCATGAAACTAATCACAAATTTGAATTTATTTCATTCTTTTCTTGTTTTCTTTTTCTATTCCTTATCAGAATGTATTCTCTAGTAGGGCAGGAAACTCTCTGTCTTGTCTTTGTGTCTGTAACAAATGGTAAATTCTCAGTAAACATTGATTTAGTTGATGAATGAATAAAGGAAGAGTTGTGGATAGGATGGAGCTTGGAATTTAAATTGGAAAGAGATTAAGGTGAAACCTTGAAGAGGTAGTGAACATCCAGACATCAGAGGAGTAGCTAAGGAAAGCTGGAAGGTGGGAGGCTATGCACTGACAGTAGGACATTGGAATGTATAATGTCACAGGTGAAAAACACTTAGGGCAATTTTAATAGCCAGGGAAGTTATTTTTAATTATCCTTGGGGAGGTCATGGGGTCCTTTGACAATAAAATGGAAAGTATGGGCTCTCTAGGAAAGTACACAACATATGCATAAAATTTTGCATTTACTTCAGGAAGCCTACAGTTGTCCTCATCTTCAGTGAATGAGGGAGTGAGTTGGAGGTCAAAAATGACATTATAAGGAGGATAAAGTTATAGTGGTTAATGGTATGAGCCTTAAAAGACATTTCCTCCCAACACTGCATCATGGCACCTTAACTTATGCCAGAGTTGGTAATAGTGAGTGGGTTGCAAGTAAGAGATATATGGGCCACTTAGAATTGGTTACTGGGCCAAGATGGGGCAAAAGGAAATGAGATTTTCACCCCCTCCCCTTTATTTTAGGTTTGTAAGTATAATGTATGCTATAAAGTATAAAATAACTACTCAAGTTATCAACACTGTTCTTTTGGGACCGCATGCTCTTTGAAAATGAAGCTCTGGGGAAATGGGTAAGATAGCTGTAACCATAGACTCATGCAAAAGGGATGATAAATGTTGAATCTGGGGACAAGGGTCTTCTGACAACTGTTCTGAAAGGGTTATATTTCACAATTCTCACCACAAAGCATGGAATGAAATTTGAAGCTTTTATGTGATCATGTAGAAAGAATCTCTTATTGTTTATTAACTCTACAGGGTTGAGAATGCTGAAAATGAAACACAGAGATAGCATTTATAGTTGCTACATTACAGTATCAGTTAGATTTACATCTTCGCCAGGGCTGTGGCTAGTTAGAACATTGTTTGGGAAGCAGTGGAATCTAGACAACTGAGATGAGGGTTTCCAAGAGAATCCTGGGCATTTGGAGACTCTGGTTCTCCAAACTGCTGTAGGCACATCACACTACCCTTTCCTTAGGGGAGAAAACTGGCAGTTCTCCCTCATTCTCAGTGGCAGAGACCACTGGTTATCCCTTAATACTCTTTCTCCCTTTCTTCTAGAGAAATAGAATTTCTGATTTTTTGAGGGGTCCAAGGCATCTCAGAGTAAAGATTCCATTTTCGAGACCCCTTGTAGTTCAGTGGGATGATGTAGCTAAATTTTGGCAAGTGGGATAAGAGTGACTGGCGCAACTTCCAGGAATGGATTTTTCTCTTCTCTTTCTCTTTTTTCCTTCTTACTGGTTAGAATTCAGATATGATAGCTTAGATCAAATCAATCTATTGAATCATTAGGAGCCTATTGGACATAATGGAGCAATAAGATAATAGAATCTGGGTTCCTGGCACCATGGAATGCTATATTAGCTCTGGGCCACCTACCTGGACTTTTACGGGAGAGAAATATAATCCTGTCTTGCTTAAGCTATTGTTATTTGAGGTTTTTGTTACTCTCACCTGCCTAATTCTTATCCTTCTTGTCAGACACTCAGTGAGGTAGGGGAGGAATCTGATGATTTTATCAAGTAACCTGCTTTATGAATTATGGTTCGTGTTCCTGTGAATCTTGCTTCTGCTGATTTAGAGGTCTTGATATCTAAAGGGGAAATTCTTCCATCAGTGACAGGAATAGGTCCATTGAATCAGAAGCTGAGACTGCCACTTGGCCCATGTTAGGCTTCTCACACTATTTGCAAACAGAAAAAGGTGGTTATGAAGTTGACTGGATGACTCACCTTGATTACCAAGGAGAAGACAGGTGGCTACTATGTAAAAAATGGGTGCAATCTGAGGAAGCCTTTATGGTGCCAAGCCAAGTGGTCAAGGTTAATGTGTAATTGCTGTATCCCTCTACAGGAAAAACCATCAGGGGCTCAAACCCCCTGGAAGAGTCATTTCTCCTGTCTTGACAACCCAGCTGGTTCTTCAGAGGTTCTGGTTAAAGGTCAGAGGAACATAGAGTGGATATTAGAAGTCATGGAAAACTATAAACATCAGCTGTAGTATTATGGCCAGCTGGAGAAATGAAGTTACAGCCTCTACTTGCATCTTCTTTCATACTGTATAACATTTAAAAAAAGTTTTTCTTGCATTTTCGCTTTTCTACTCAGTTTACTTGGGGTTGCTTAACATTTATCATTTAACACTTAAGTGCAGACCATAGAGATATAATCATGAGAAGTTCGAGACCTAGAGAGTTCGAGACCTAAAGAACTCTGTGTATATGTGTGTGTGTGTGTGTGTGTGTGTGTGTGTGTGTGTGTGTGTGTGTGTGTGTGTCCTGGGCAGCTACCAGGCAATGGACCATGGTAGTTATTTATTTTTATCTGCCTATTATACTTTCCTGACCCCCTTCCCATTCCTTTTTCTGGTAACAGATGCTGTTACCCCTGATACTGTTCCAGGCTGGGCCTTCAAATAGTATCCCACGCCCTGGTTCCAGGGATAAGTTGGGCCAATTGCAGTCTTTATTCCAGAACTTCTAAACTTGAGCCAAGGCATGGGTGGATGGCAGGCTGTTGGAGCTGAATCACCTATGGCAATGCCTTTGAATGAAGCACTGCAGGTTTCTGCTCTTTGGATTTCCAACACTTTGATTTGTATCTTCCCTATGCCTGACAGTTCAGTTCTTCCTGCAATTTTGTAAATGATCTCAAGCTGCTCTCAATTTTATATTTATGTTAGGCAGAGTAATTTTCTGTTGCCTGCAACCAAAAGACATTAACACAGGATCCATGAATTCCAAAGTTAACATCGGCTTCACGCCTTGTCTAGTGAAGTTCAGATACTCCCACTTTACAGATAAGAGAAGGCAAGTGACTTTTTACAGCCAGCCAGAAAATTGGTGGAGCTAGCACTAGCACCAGCTCATTTGACTCTTTGTTCAGTACATTTTGAACTAGTTTATATTATGCTCAAACTGCTTCCTCTAATGAAAACACAAATGGGTTGCCTTTTTCTTCAAAGCAAAGTGGATATAAACATGATGGTACAGGCTGTGAAACAAGGGAAAATGTGAATCATCTTTGTCCATACTGGGCTTGGAAGCAAAATAGCAAAACATTAAAAGAAACACAACAAAACCTGCAAGTGTTGATTAAAGACAGAACAAATTGTCCCCAAAGTTACAATGTAAAACAAGGCAAATCCTGAAAATTAAGTTGACAAGCATATACAGCAATGTGATTTTTTTCTTAATTAAACTGACAAAGATCCCCAGTTCCACACAAATCAACAAAAAGCAACAAAACTACAGCACTAAAAGGAATGATATTAAGAGCTGCTGAAAGGAGAGTGCAAGAAAAAAAAATGTAATGAAATCCACACTTTGCTGACTTGATATCCCTGGGGTAGGTGGTTGGCTGGGGTGGGAAGGTGAAGTGAAGTGACAGATAAGTAGTGGGATCTACAAGTTAATTTCTAGTGTCATCCCAAGCAGAAGGTACATGATGCAGGCACAGTGGCTATCTTTTTCTGCCTTTGAATAAAAGAAATATGAAATAAAAATAAAGATGAAGAGAAGTGCCACAAGAACAAAGGAGAGCTGACCCAACAGAAAAACCTGCTTGGAGATGAAAGGGTGGGCTGTAAAAGGGTGTGGCATTGTGTCCATCTGTGTCCTCCTGGCACCACTCTGGGTGGGGGATTCCGTGTGTGCATAAGCTCCTCTTCTTCCTCCACTCCCTCAGTGCTTGATTCTTAGGAGATCCTCTTGATGGATTCTCTTTATGGCTCTATTGATACATTGCACAAATTCAAACCATCTTTTTCAATTCATTTTATTATATATAAGAAATGGCTTAACTTTCAGTAAACAGATGCAAAATACACATGCCTCCTGCACTCACCAAGTCCTCGCCAACTAATAATGGCACTGTTTCTCAATGAGTTTTTTATTGCATCAGAATTCTTCTTAACACAGCTTCTAGCTAGCCATACCGGCCACTCCGAACTGGTCTATGTTGTAAAACCTGTTTGCCACTTCTGGAAAATTAGAAGAGTAGGCTTTAGAGGCAGATGGGTGAGAATTTACCTGCTATGTAGCCTTGGGAAAGTAACTGAACTACTCTGAGCGTCATTGGTAAAAATGGTGCATATGTTGTACTAAATCTTACCCTGGATTTGTTTTACTCAGGTATGGTAAGATACACAGATATGGAAATGATTGTCATGAATAAGACTTTTATGTTCAACAGATCCCTAGAAACAGGAGGTATATAGCACACTATGCAGGGCCACATGGGGGAAGCACCAGACTGGGACAGGAGGCAGAAGGAGGGTGAAGGGAAAGAAAGAAAGGGCAGGACAGGGTCTTTTTGTGGTTTTTGTGGGAAGGAATGGGTGGTTATGTTGACCAGGTTTGGTACTGGCTAGTTTGAAAAATTTTAGCCGGCTCCAGGGTGTAGGGGCTGTCCTAGTTGTCTGATGCCTTATCCTGGGATAATTTGGGTAGAGGAATGTTGCCTCCTGGCATATCAAAGCCAGATAGAGGAGCTAGTTCAGAGTATGGGCTTTGGATTTGTTGGTTTGTGTATTACAGGCATGCTCCTGATGAACAAGTCCTTTACCGGCTTTAGGAATTAGCTAGCCCTGGGAGGGGCAGTCTCTCAGGATTAGCGAGTTCCCAAGATGTGAAACCATTATAAATTACAAAATTTTTTTAAAAAACCAACATGATTAATACAGTTGTCCTAAAGTTCAAAGAAATACGTTCAGCTGCATTGTATTTGTAGGTATTAATTGTTTTTTCCTGCCTGTATTTCTCCTTCACCTCCCTGCTTCCCACACGTTGTGCAGAATGCAATGTCCAAGAAGAGCTAAGTGAGGGGAAAAGAAGCAGAAGTAGCCTGCAGATGGTTTCCAGCTTTTGTTTTTAAATGCACAAGGCTATCAGACAATGTAGAGGTTTTCCAGAGGAAGTAGAAGAGAGAATTGTGGAAGAAACAGAGTGGTTAGAAAAAGCAAGAGGAAGGGAGGGGCTTTCCTCAGACGGAAAAAAAAAGGTTCCCTAGTTCCTCTAGAGGTTCTGCATTTCTTTGAGAAGCAGGGATCCAGGACCTACTTCCTGACAGGACCCCAGACAAGAATGGCTGCAGGTACATGCATCTCTAGGTGGGGTTCCCTGCATTGGCCCCATTTAGGGAGCATTGGAAGATGGAGTGAGCCACTGGATGAGAAATGCCATGTTGGCTGGGACAATGGATACACCTGAGAGAGGCTGTGTGCACACACGACCCAGGCTGGAGGGCTCTAGTACCTTGACACTGTGTATTGCCTCTTGGATTGCTAACACCCAAAAGATGACTGAGGTGAAATGCCATGCCAGCCTGGTAGGATGGGATCTCAAAATAAATATTAATTTATAGAAAATAGAAAGGTCCACTATTTCATGCACCCCTGAGTCTGGACTGAGATTTATATCTGCTACATCTGTGAAGCACCTAGAACAGTGCCAGGCATACAGTGAACACCTTTAACCACAGACACTGTTATTAGGAAAATTACTTGAATTCTTTGGTAAAAAAAAAAAATCCATTACAATGTGCATAACTGTCCCAGTAAAACTACATTTTTCTCTTCATGCTCATTCCCTACTTGCTCCCACCCCAGACTCATTTATTCCCATTTTTCTGCTGCATTCTGCCCCAGAAGGCTGATTTTTATGGACTGCCTGGCCCAGGTTCCTTTGCTATTGGGCTCCGGGATTGGGCTGGCCAGGGGGAGTCACCAGCAGGAGCTGGGAGTGTGGGAGAGACAGAATTGGGGACTTTCTTCCCAGCTTCCTCCTTGCTCATCACCAAGGGTCTGGTTGCATCCCTGGGTGACCACAGCTCCTGCGGGTGGCTCCCCCTTTACCTGTAATTACAATGATTTCTCCCTTGCTTGTTCAGGCCCCAGAGTGGGGATGGGATGGCTTTCTCCTGTGATTAGTTCCTTAAGCTCAGCACTCTGTTGGTTCTCTAGTGCTGCCCATTCCTCTCAGGGCAGTCCCTTCATTACGTTCTCTTCATTTGAAACATCTAAGTAGAATTGTTTTTTGCTAAGACCTTGACCAATAACATAAGCAAGATTATTCTTTTGGTTGTTTTTCTGGCAATGGGAATGGTTATAGTGATCTGGTCACTTTGTCCAACTCAGATTCCATTAAGACCCATGGCTCCTATCAGTAAGCATGAAGGCTGATTGAGACTCTGAGTCAGCCGGCACTGTGGGGCAATGTTTGGTGGAACATGGGAAGATGTATAGCCAGGGCCTTAAAAAGGCTTAGTAGCAATTTGACCTGGGTTCAAATTTCATTCCTCCCTGCGATTTACTTGCACTTAGGTAATTTAAATAGCCTAACTGTTCATTTCTTTATCTATATTGTGTGCTTCATATTAGTATTCATCTCCTAGGGCTATGGTAAAGATAAGTAAGATAATGATGAAAAGAACTGAGCACGTATGTATTAGCTTCAAGTATGTGAATGTGGTTAGAGGTGTTGCTCTTTGGCATCAGCAATTGGTTTCCATAAAGCCAAACCCTTGTCTTAGCTGCCTTAACATCTTGCTCTAAGCTAAAAAGGTGCAGGTTCTCCCATCCTGGGAATGCCTACTGTAGAGTGAGACTAACAGTTCAAAGCCCTTGCCTTATCTGTACAGGACAAAAACTTCCAGAAACAGAGAATGTATTCAGTTCTTGATAATCACTTCCTGGGTGTGACTTTTGAGGCAAAATGAAAGTCTGCTCCAAGCTTGATGGCTTCATTGAATCTCTGATGCCTCAAAAGCCCTTTCATAGATTGCATAGTGAGACTCCAGGCCCAAGGTGACTCGTGGTTGAAGAAACAACCCAGCTTCTAATTCTCACTACTATACAAATGACCTGCAACTGAGCCTCTCCCAAACACATGCTGTGATGAAGTCCTGGAGGAGAGGTTTGGGGTGCTGGGTGCTCAGAGGGGTGGGAGATCATGGAAGGAATAGGCAGCTTCTCTAGGGATTTTTCTAGGAGTAAAATCCTTGAGGAAGGTTAACTTGAGGCTCATTTGGGTTAACCATGTGGCACTGGCAGAGTCTTTTCTATGCAGGAAAAGGAGTCTGGGTAGTGATTCTCAGCACTGGCTGCATCTGGGAATCATCTGGGGAGCTATAAGAAATTGATTCTTGGGTTCCACCCCAATTCATAGAGGGCAGAGGCTACCTCATATTACTAAATAATACCCCTCTCTTTAGGACCCTTTATGTACAAATATCTGTTTGCCTTTCAGGTTTGTATCTCTGTTCACTTCACAGGAGGAAGTTAGTCTTGTTTTGAGGACTTATTAATTCTAGCCAAGATCACTTGTTAGTAACATACTGACATAGGTTGGATATTTGTCCCCTCCAAATCTCATGTTGAAACGTTGTCACAGTGTTGGAGGTGGATCCCTCATGAATGGCTTGGTGCCATTCTCATCCTCTCAGTAATGAGTGAGTTTTCACTCTATTAGTTACCATGAGATCTGGTTGTTAAAAAAAGCCTGACACCTCTTCTCTTTTCTCTTGCTTTCTCTCTCACTTTGTGATACACTGACTCCCCTGTTGCCCTCTGCCATGTTTGTAAGCATCTTGAGGCCTCATCAGAAGCAGATGCTGGCACCATGCTTCTTGTACAGCCTGCAGAACCATGAGCCAAATAAACCTCTTTTCTTTATAAATTACCAAGTCTCAGGTATTCCTTTATAGCAACACAAAATGGACTAACACAAATACTAAGGGAAACAACTCATACCTTTGGTGTCTCTTGCTGTAACCTGCCATGCTCCTCTGACTTTGGGACAAGTAAATGAGTAGGGGAGAATAGGGAGGAGGAAGAGCTTTATCATCTGATAATCAACAGTTATTCCATTCTCCTCCCCTCCTTGATGAGGATTTTCAAGCACAGAGGTCATCTGAGCTGATGCATCTGTGTTAGCACTCTTGTCTCTTGGTTACTCCTAGTGTTGAATTGGTTTCTGGTTTATTAGCTGGAGTTTTGCCTCCTTCCCTTCCTCTCATGTCCCCTTTCCTTTCCATCTATCTCCCTCCTTAGATTTACCAGCCCTCAACACAGTCCCTGATACTCAGCAGAGAATGAATGTATTCATGAGTGAATACATGAATGCATATGCCTGTCCTCCTTGCTGTGGGACTCTCAGGGGACTGTGCTCCAGTGAGTCACTGCCCTCGAGTGCGGGGCTCATCATCACCAGCAGGAGCTCAGCCCCCAGTGGGAGTTTCCTTAGCTGAGGTCCCTGTTAACTGATCCTCTTTCTGCCCTGGCTAATATTCTCTGCCACAGTCTGTCACAGTGGCCAGCCTGTCAAGCCCTGCCAGGTGGAGACCCTTGGTCCTGCTGAGAGATGTCAAAATGACCATTTTGACATTTCCTACTACAGGGACGCAGGAGCCTGTAGTAGGAAAAATGCCTAAAGTGTTCTGTGGGAAGACATTCCCAGCTTGAGTACAATCTCTGTCCTGTGATGGAGGCCATGGAGTCCCTGGGTCATGCCCCTTGCTTCTGGGGCTAAATGTTCTTGAAAGGGAATCTTTTAGAAGCAGGGGCTTAGCTGAGCTGAGGAAGGTGACTGGGCTTATAAAACAGAGCTGGATTTGGAAGAGATTTAGAGCTTCCCTCACCCTGAGTCCTTCATCCGTGTCTTTCCTACAATACAGGTAGGCCAGTGGAGACCAAACTCCAGGTCTCATTTATCTTTTTTCTCTCTAGATGCCCTGGCAAAGACCAGGCTACAACCCAAGGATACATTTGAATTGAGATAGCATTTGGCAGCAAATCTTTAATAAATGATGGCATTGATATTATATCTCTGTTAGAGTAATTTACTCCTTACAGTAATTTTGACTCAGTTTGTTCTACACAGAGTGTTATTTTAATCATCTTTTCAGTTATTATTAATGAGGTCTCTTGGAGAAAAAATTAGAAGATTTATTTAAAGATTTCCCCCGTGAATTTAAAACAAGAATAGGGATGTGAATACAGACTAAAACAAATCAAGGGCTACCATAGATATATTCAAAGACTATTGTTTGCTACCATAGATGTATTAAAAGACTACTGTTTGATAAATTGGCAACATAATGGTAGCACTGATGGCAAGGTTCAGGCACACTCTTTCTTATTCAACTTGTCCTGAGATTACCCCTTCCTCTCTCCTGGCTCCTGCCTCTTCCCTCATCACTGCCGTTGTGCCTTTGCTCATGCTCTTTCTTTGTTCTGTTGTGCTGGACCCATCTAAAGCTCTCTAGTCCAAAGGATCCTTTTGATTCTCACCTTTCCCAACTTTCTTTAAAACTGATGTCTCCATCTTCAATGGCCAGGGCAATATTGTCTGTAAACATGCCCATAATGTTAAGAGGGGTTTCTATTAGTTTCCCAACAAACTAATAGTTACTCTGAGAAGGGCATGGAGTTTTATGAACAAAGATCTTTGGGGAATGCTGAGCTAAAGGTAAAAAGGTGTTTTTTTTTTTTTTTTTTGCAGCATTTACCAGAGCCTTTAATATACTGTTGTGCTTTGTTGTGAACCTCCCAATAGGAAGACAGAGTATGCAGCTTTTTCCAAAGCCCCTTGGTTTACCTCCAGTAATGGGGATACTTAATGTAAGATTTGTGGAATAATATGGAAAACATAAGTCTTTCTAAAAATTATATAGTTACACTGCTGGAGGTTATGGAGATTGAGATATCGTTTAAGATCTGGAAGGCTCCAGAGCATGAGGTTTCAAGTTGTTTATATCCAGAGTTTAGGGACTCTGGTATCCTCTTAGAAACAGAACTCACATACTCACTGGGATATACTCCTGTGCCACTACCATGTTTCATTCTCTATCTCCAATTCAACTCAATTTTCATGAGAAAGTTAATGTATCTGAATCAGCTAATAACTTCTCCCTCCGGTTGGACATAGTCTTGTGCCAGGCCGTGACAAAGAGCACTAAAAAAATGTGAGTGTGCTCCCGTTTGGTCTTTAGTACAATCAGTGGCCCCTTCTGCACAAAGTCAGCTTTAGCACCACTTCCGCAAAAAGGGGCTGTCTTCCAGGCAGCTTTAGTTAAGGGAAAGACTGGGAGAGGCCATCTCACAAGTGAACTAGGATAGTTCACTCCTTGAGAACAACACACACACACACACACACACACACACACACACACCACTTTTTTCCCTTTATATTTATTTCCAAAGAGACCACAGCTAATATGACCTAACTATCAAGCCTACAACTGCAAAGGCACTGTCATCCCCAGGTGGGAAGCAGCACAAAGTCATGGCAAATAGTGTATGTCAAGTTTCAGTTGTCATGAAGCCTCAGGTGATCAAGTCCACAGTCTCCCAGTGATTTGCTTAAAGCAAAGGATCTCTCAGCCCAGGAGGGGTCTGTGAATTACAGTCGTAGTGTTGAAATGCATCTTGTGTCTTTCAGATAGTGAATGCATTGATTGCTTTGCATCTGGATTAATGGATATCTAGATAGTACTTGCAAGTGTGTAGCAAATTGTTATGATAAAACACACCTTTTCAGTCAAGGCAAAAAAATCTCTTTTTAGGTTTGAAGAAAGGAAAGATTAATTGTATTGTAGCTTCTCTTGTAGATGAGTGCTTCACTTTGGAGCTTGCCAACAGGCGTTCAGATGGGTCAAATGCATCTTTGCTTCTTTACTTCCATGTGGCGTCGGCTGACTCTCTAGGAAACATACTGCCAGAGATGCGCACCATGGGCTGTCTTTTTCAAGACAGTCAACCAACCCAGCCTTCAGGCTTTGTAAAAGCAAATTTTCTAGTAGTCTTAGTTTTAGAGCAGTTGGAGAATGTGATCATATATGTGAGTTTTAATTCATCGAGGAGCTTCAAGCTCTGTTGTGGGAGAAACTATCTTATGTATCATAAATTGCATGTCCCTGGCTTCTAAGCATGATATTCAGTGGGAATGATGGGTGAATTTGTACTAAGTGCTGATAAATAGAGTGGGATGAGGAAAGCTGAGCAGGGCAGCAGAAGTTAGCACTCCAGGCCAGGGGATCCAAGACATTTTGACCATTGCCTATGCGGTCTGGCTGGTGTCAGTGTCCAGAGGGTCTGATTTATGGATGCAGATGTGGGAAAATACAACTTTGAAGTTTTATTATGCAGTGGTGATTCTGATTGATTCTCTGTGTTAAGTTTAAGTATGCTTCTGGTGGAAGCCATATAGCATGGCTGAAAGTGAACACATTTGGGAACCAGACAGACCTGGAATGGTACTTGGATCTTACTACTTGCTAGATATTTACCCTGTATTAGTCAGTCCTCGCATTGCTCTAAAGAGATACCTATGACTGGGTAGTTTATAAAGAAAAGAGGTTTAATTGGCTCACGGTTCCAAAGGTTGTAAAGGAAGTATGATGCTGACATCTTCTCAGCTTCTGGGAAGGCCTCAGGGAAACTTTCAATCATGGCAGAAGGCAAAAAGGAAGCAGGCACGTCTTACATGGCCAGAGCAAGAGCAGGTGGGTAGAGGTGCCACACACTTTTAAACAACCAGATCTCATGAGAACTCACTATTGCCTTGATAGCACCAAGGGATATGGTGCTAAAACATAAGAAACTGCCTCATGATCTAATCAACTTCCACCAGGCCATACCTGGTGATCATGATTTGACATGAGATTTGGGTGGGGACATAGATCCAAACCATATCAGGCCCTTAGATTTATTTTTGCAAAAATCTCTATGATGCTCAATATTCTCATCTGCAAAAAGAATATAATAATACCAACTTCACATTTTTTCTTGTTTACATTGCAGGATGCTGTTTATGCAAAGGTTTAGAAAAATATTGGAAACTTCACTGGCTTTCAGTAAACTTTTCTCTTTTTTCTAATCAGCGTGTAGGGGGTTTTGCCTTTTAGTTTACAAAACCAGTGGACTTATGTTGGTACACACATCTCCTCCCACTCCTCCCTCTCCACCTCATTCCTTGTCCCCTTTTATTAAACAAAGAAAAATAACGGGAAGACAGTTGTGGCAAGAAGCTCAAATCTTGCTTGACATGTTGCATTTTTTTTTGAGTTCTTATAATTCAGTTATTGTTAGGATTATCCTGCTTATTTTAGGAGTATATCCTCCTCACCACCATTCCCTGACTTTAAATTGCCTCATCCAAGGCATGGATATACTCAAAACTCAACTTGGAAGTTTTACTTATACATGACCTAAGAAGACATTCTATGAGAAGACATCTTCCCTAAGAAAATAAAAATCATTTCTGTTGATTCTCTTAGCACAGCTGAAGCAGCTGGAATTTTTAAGTACTACTAAATGTTAGAGGACAACAAATAGGAAATAAAAACAAGGATAAAGAAAGTTGGTTTACATACTTCAGATTTCTGATCCTGCCACAAGTAGTTTGCACTCAAGGTTTTCAGGCCTTGTTCTTTGATTCTTCCTGATAATCAACACAATGCTGTGTGCGTGTGTGGGCAGGGTGTGGGGAGGACAGAAGGATGGGGAATAGTGTGTGTGTGTGGTGGAGGGATTGGCACAACTTTACAGGCTGTGAGCTCCTCATTCTCGCATCTTAGTTTCTCTTCATTTGGAGATGACAACTAACATAGGCCACCAACATATATCACAGCCACTTTTTCACTTTGTTTGTAGTCCCCGGAGGGTTCAGACTTCCAGTTTAACAGGCAATAGCTTACATTCCCAACTAGTTAAAGCCAAGAGTGATTTAGCCTGTAGGTGAGCTCCTTCCTTTTTCACACAGGGAAAGGTCTTCCTTTTGCAAGCTCTAATGATAATGGTCATAGCATCTGTATAATTACAATATTCACACACAGCAACTAATGTCTTTCCCAAGATCTCTCAAGTGGCTGGCAAAGGATGATATAGAGGAGTCCAACTTTGGAGTGCAGTCAAAGGAGAGGCTGGAGGGATTAGGCCAGAAGGTCAGAGTTTCCCTGTGGGAAAGCTGGGGTTAAAGGAGAACTGGACTTACAGCTCCAGAGACAGGACACCCCCTGGGAGTGTTGGTTTCATACAGGTGTGTCATACAGGAGCTAAAAAATCATCATCTCCAAGTTAGAGACCAGGTGCTTGGGGGCCAGGTGCATGCCTGGGCCTTACTTGATGGTGGGGTAGGGATCTGTATAGGATCAGTAAGTCTGGACTTTGTGGACACAGGCCTTGGCAGTGCTGACCTTGAACTTTCAAGGGGCAGAGGTTGTTAATGGCAGCTGGGGAGACAGGGCTGGGGTAATAACTGGACCTCTCTCTTTTGGTATTGCTCTTAGCTCTCTGGGATTCTTTCTAGAAAAGGTTCTAATCTTTTCTCTACTTTCCCAGCTCTTCCTTAGGCCTAGATGCATAACATTCCCTTGAGTGCCTGTTAAAATTGCAGTTTCCTGGGACCCATTCTAGTGATTCTCATTCTTTAGGTCTGAGCAAGTGCCAAATAGTCTGAAATTTTAACAGCCACGACCAGCTGACTTTGAAACAAGAGTCTTTGAACCCCACTTGACAAAGGTTATCTTAGAGAGCTACAAAATCTAGACCTGGATTTTATTTGCCTTTATTTGAAGGAGTATTAAAATAATCTGTTCTTAAGAATGTCCACATGCCATTTATAACTGTTGGCCAAACACGAACTTGCAGTTGACTTTCTGACTATATCATGGGCATTAGTCAGGAGTTAAAACTGGTGTAAGGAAAAGCTATCATTTTAATTCACCAGATACATACGTGTATAGTTCATGGCACTACACTTATCTGTGTGCACACACAGAGTTCATTTATGTTGAGTCTGAGTAGCAGAGATTGTCACTCAGGAATTAAAGCCCATTTCTATAAATTGATAGTGGCTGCTGCTGCTCCTGACTGTGGATTGAAATGAACAATCAGAAATGTTAATGTTTCTCTGTTTGTGTCATTATTGCTGCAGTGTGATGTTTCCCAGCCCCCTCAGCTCCAAACTCTAAATGCCGTTGCAATGTTTTCATTTAATGAGGATATACATAGCAAATGTTTCCAAGGTATTAAGATATACAGGGCTTCAAAGTTTAATCATTGCTTCTTTCAGGGGTGGAGCAGAAGAAATGTTTAAGGAGACTAGGTTGACTCTCTTCAGGTATGCGATGGGCAGCCTCTGGCTTCCTTCCTTGTGACACTTGCTGAGGATGCTTCTGGAAAGTCCGGGCTTTTCTGGAAGGGCTTGGTGCTGCTACAGCCTGAGATGATGGTGCTGCTGGCTGATTGTGCTGATCCTAGGTTAGCCTTGGGATTTAATTTTATATTATTATTTTTTTCAGATCTCTCTTTACGTCATTACGTTTAGAGATAATTTGTTATGTGGTTGATGAAGGTCAATTCTACATACGTATTTAGTAGTAGTACTGATGTCTGAGATCTTGTTCCTGCCTGTCACTAGTCTGGTGTGTGACTTAAAACAAATCCCTGCGTCCTTAGTTTTCTCAGCTTATGACTGGGGATGGTACTTGTCTTATCTTCAAAGTCTTTGGGAGAGTCAAATGAGAGACTTGGTGGGGAACTTCTTGGGGCAACATTAACTTGACCCAAATCCAAAAAGTACTGTTATTTTAGGCCTGGTTTTAATAGAAAGCCATGGTGAAAAGATGTATCAGTCTTTATGTTGATGCCTAATGACCAGAACCCAGTTCAAAATAAATATCATTTTTATAAAGTTAAAAAATTCAAACCAGCAGCATTTGGAATCTCCTCTCTTCCTGATAATGATCTGTTTCTTGGTTTTCAAAATATGTGATTCCCAGGAATCTCTTATCTGAAGAACTCAATGTATGCCTGAGTCCATTTACCTGTACATCAATACAGGAAGTAACCAATAGAATCTAAAGAACATTAAAGAATCATAGCTCTAGAAAGAACAGTGGTTCCAATGGTGACAGCAGAGATTAAGAACTTGCTGTGATCTATAAGGAACTTAAACAAATTTATAAGAGCAAAGCGAAAAACTCCATTAAAAAGTGGGCAAAGGATATGAACAGACACTTTTCAAAAGACATACATGCGGCCAACGAACATATTTTAAAAAGTTCCATATTACTGATTATTAAAGAAATGCAAATCAAAACCATGTGAGATATTATCTCACACCAGTCAGAATGGCTATTATTAAAAAGTAAAAAAATAACAGATGCCGGCGAGGTTGCAGAGACAAGGGAACAATTATACACTGTTGGTAGGAGTGTAAATTAGTTCAACCGTTGTGGAAAGCAGTAGGGCGATTCCTGAAAGAGTTGAAAGCAGAACTACTGTTTGACCCAGCAATCCCATTACTGGGTGTGTACCCAGAGGAATATAAATCATTCTACCATAAAGACACACACATGCAAATGTTCATTGCAGACTATTCACAATAGCAGACATGGAATCAACCTAAATGCCCATCAATGACAGACTGGATAAAGACAATGTGGTACATTTACACAAGGAATACTATGCAGCCATAAAAAAGAATACAATCATATCTTTTGAGGGAATGTGGATGGAGCTAGAGGTTATTATCTATAGCAAACTAATGTAGGAACAGAAAACCAAATACCACATGTTTTCATTTACAGGTGGTAGCTAAATGATGAGAACTTATGAACACAAAGAAGGGAACAATAGACATGGGGCCTACTTGAGGGTGGAGGGTGGGAGGAGAGAGAGGAGCAGGAAAAATAACTATTGAGTACTAGGCTTAATACCTGAGTGATGAAATAATCTGTACAACGAACCCCCATGACACGAGTTTACCTATATAACAAACCTCCACGTGTACCCCCAAACCTAAAATAAAATTTTTTTAGAAATAACTTGCTGTAGAATGCCAATGTTGTCATTGGTTATTTGAAGTGTCCAGTATCATGGAATATTTAAAGCAGGAACCATAAAGCTGTTTATCAGCTGGGTCAGTGGTGGCTTCACACACACCCCTTAGGCAATTAAAAACATCTGCAATTTAGCGTATAGTAAGTATAAATCAGTAGATTAAATGTCACAACATCTGTCCCATCACTAGGAAATATCTGTCTCAAAAATAGGTGGTTGGCTGGGCGTGGTGGCTCATGCCTATAATCCCAGCACTTTGGAAGGCTGAGGGGGAGGATTGCTTGAGCTCAGGAGTTCGAGACAAGCTGGGCAACAAGGAGAAATCCTGTCGCTACAAAAAAATAAAAATAAAAAAATAAAAAAAATTACAAAAAATTAGCCGAGCATGGTAGCCAGCACCTATAGTTCTAGCTACTCAGGAGGCTGTGGTGGGAGGATCACTTGAGCCTGGAAGGTCCAGGCTGCAGTGAGCCAAAATCATGCTACTGCACTCCAGCCTGGGCAACAGAATGAGACCCTGTTTCAAATAAAAAGGAATAGGTTGTTTAATGTCTTTGTCAATATCTGCAGGGTTGAATTGCATTAACGTTAGGTTCATCCAGGTGGGAATAATTAAAATGCTGTTACTAGATTAGGAATTGGTGGAGACAAAGGTTTTGGTGCAGAATCTACCACTAACATCCCATGTAAGTTACCATTTCTCTGTTCTAAAAACAGCATGTTGGCAGCTCAATCTATCTCAAGATTTTTTTAGCTCACTGAATGTGGAATTGCCTAGAAAAGTTTAAAATATGGGACAAATATAAAGTATTACTTTGATTTTTCTAAGAATTCTAGGCATCTCTGAGTTCATTCTTTAAAACAATTGTCTTTTTGAGATATAACATGCATTTCATAAACAGCATACATCTTAAGTGTACATGAGCTCGTTAATTTTTAAAATTTTATTTAAAAATTTAAATTCTTTGAAAAATCTTCTCTGCTGTGCCTTATGTGCTTGACCAAGAAGGTGTTATTACAATAGGTTATGTGTTAAGATTGGATTCATACAGGCATTAAAGCTGATATAATAATATTACTGGAACAGAAACTAGCTTCATATTAGCTTCATGTGCACATGTCTCTAATCAGTATTGTATATGTGTATTTAAGTATTTACATTTGTAAGTAAAAGACCAAAATTATAAGTGTGTGTGAGACCGAAATTATGAGTTATGATAAGTTTGTGTGAGACCAAAATAGGTGTTATGATGAGAGAGACAGATTGTGTGTGTGTGTGCACACATGTGCGTATAGGGTTATTTCAACTACAAGGGGCAAAGACCCAGTGAATAAGTAAAAGGATAAGCTACATGTTTCTTGACCTCAGCTGGAATGGAAAACATCCCAGGATCTGGGGAGCAGATTCTTCAGCATCATAGGCTGCTGCCTGGTGTCTTTTTAAGACTTTTCAAGACGTGATATGACTGCTCCTCTATTCATTACTCATAGTTTCTTCTCTTTCATAAATATGTGCCTTGCTCATGAATTCAACATGCCTTGACTTTACTTTTCCATTAAGGCATCTTTTCAATTTTGGCTTTTACTAATAATGGACCAATCTTTTCCTATGTTTCTCAGTTCAAATTTCAGAGAGAAAAAATATTTTGTATGGGCTGCTAACCAGCCTACTGTTTGTCTTTGGGTTGAGAATTTCACCTCTGGCCCCATAAACTATGACCAAGGCATGGGTGGGGAAGTCACTTGTGGGACAAAACATGGCAATCTATGTCTGTCTCTTGAGCAGGGACCATAGGCTGCAAAGTGTCACTAGAATACGTGGAAATTAGCAGCTTTTTTTTTTTTTATTATTGAGACAGGGTGATCTTGCTCTGACACCCAGGCTGGGGTGCAGTGGCGTGAACATGGCTTACTGCAGACTCATCCTCCTGGGCTCAAATGATCCTCCCTCCTCAGCCTCCCAAGTCGCTGGGACTATCGGTGCATGCCACCATACCCAGCTAATTTTTGTATTTTTTTTGTAGAGACAGGGTTTTGCCATGTTGCTCAGACTGGTCTTGAACTTCTGGGCTCAAGTTGTCTGTCTACCTTGGCCTCCCAAATTGCTGAGATTATAGGTGTGAGCCATTGCACCTGGCCAACAGCTTTAATATTAGTGAAACTGGACTAGGGTACTGGGTACCTTAATGGTCCCAGTAGATAGCAGGACTCTCCGATAAAAGAAGGAAAGGATAGGAAAAAGAGAGAGTGCTACAATAAAGGGGATTACATTTTTCCCACTCATTCTATAGAAACAGGACTTGTTCAGTTATGAAAAATCATGAACCAAGATAAGTCAGCTGAACAGGTCACTATGGTGGCCTGGCTCACAGATTTACCATAGGTGCTAGCTGCAGCAGAGAGGAGCTCATATTGTGAGAAATGAGCCCTGGCAGATGTCGCTGCATAAGGAAAGCCCTGACTCATAAAGCAACATTCAGATGCAAGTGAGATGGATGGCTTCTCCAGGCTCAAGTATCCCACGAATTCCCATGTCTCTGTGTAGTTTATCCTTAGTGTTGAAAATACATGTGTGTCATACTGTATTTTCTAATTAATATAATTCTGTGAAATGAAGTCTTCTCCAGTATTTTAAATGTACCCAGGAGAAAAAGGAAAAGAGAGCAAGCTGGAGAGAGGGTATTATCCCTGGCATTATTCCAAGAAACAGAATGCCTGGAAGAATTCAGAAAGTTAACATGGAGGGAGGTGCCGCCTGGTTATATTTCTAAGAAAGTAATCTAGATTTGACATTGAGTATATGCATAAGATTAGAGGAAATTAACTAGAGGCGGTAGCAAGACATGCTTTGTATGTTTGCTTAGCCAGAGACAGGTCCCTCATGAGCCTTTTGTCACTGAAATCCCATTTGTGCATCAGGAAGTGGGAGGCCCCTTCTGTCCTATTATACATCTTTGGGAGACGAGGACAGTGCTGAGCAGTCCCAGCTCCTTGTTTCCAGCCATAGTGCTCAGCCTCTCCACTTCTTCCATTTTAGTTTGCCTTAGGCCTGCCTTCATTCTTGCTCAAGAGAAACAGGTTAACGCCTTGGTTTACAAATCTGTCTGTGCCAGAAGCAGCTCTGGATGCCACATGGCTGCACCAGGTCTCCCTCCCTGGCAGCATGTGTCTGGAGGATTACCTGTCTGGAAGCCTTACAGTTGCCTAGAGCTCTGGAAGATTCTCTTTTCTGGAGCATCAAGGAGGTTAGGAGACAGAGAAGAAAGAAGTGGTTAAAAACACTTTACCTATTGTCAAAAGGATATACCACTTGCAGATGTGAGTGATTTTCAACACATAAGGCCATCTGGGGGTGCTGCATTTACAAGAGATGCACGTTCCTTTCTTGAGCCTGTCTGCTGAAAGTCCATTGTAGGTCTGGGGGCTCACAAGCAATCAGACAGCCTTTAAGTGATAGCTCCTCCAAACCAGTAGATGTGGATGGCAAAGTCAGTCTGTCATTTTGAAGTCACTGGCCAAGCCTGTGTTTTTCTCAGCAAACCCCGGGAGCTCACTGGAAAAGCCTTCTACTGCTCTGTCTTCAGGTTGACCTTTGCTAAGGGAGGGTAAGGATGGGCTACTTGGCAAGCATTTTCCTTAGTAATTGCAGGAGTGGTTTTTAGAATTCATTAAATGTGAGCTGAGGAGACTGGCTGAGGTTTGCCCTGTGATGTTAAATTATGGGGCGAGGAGAATTTGGAGATAGGGCAAAGAGAATCTGAAATCAGGAGCATGAAGGGAGCAAGGGCTCTTTCTACCTGTGAACTGCAGTGAGCAATAACCTGTGGTTAGCGTTACTCCTCAATTTTGAAAAAATTCTATATAATCTATACTGATGTTTTGTCTGCATCCCTGCTTTCTCCTGCTTTGTGCTGCACTTGCTGCCTCTTTCACAGACCTTGCATGCCCACACAGCCTTTTCTTTTGTCCAATAGTTCAGCGACGAAATCAGTGTAAAATATTTGCAATCTGTCACTTAGTCACTATGTAACTGTCTATTTGTTCACAATCACTTTTGAAGGAGTTGAGTGGCTCTTTTACAGAGGCACCCAACTAACGTTTCTAAGATCCTGCTGTCCTCATGTAGCCCCTTGCTCCAGAAGCTACCATAGCCACCCATGACTAAATCGTAAAATCCACACTCCTCCATCAGTCTCTCAGTGTCTCCCATGATCTACCCATTCCCATGCCTCTGCAATCCTTTTTCCCACTTCTCCCCAAATAGCACTGTCCATTTCAGTCACACCATCCCCATATCTGTTCCTTTACAGGGGATGAGCTCTCATCCCCTTTAAAGACCACCTGGTAAAGGCTAATCCGGTCTGAAGTCTGCCTTAAATCTTACTTTTGACAAAGCTCCCATCTTCGTCTTCTCGTATTGTTTCTCCTTGCCCTGAGTATTCAAAGAGCCAGCTGCTTGAACAGAAAGTTACTGTTTTTAAATTTTAAAAGCTTTGAATATTAAGAAAAATATGTGAATGACTTAAAGCAAAAGTTTTTGTTGTTGTTGATGATGATGTTTTGTAAAAAACATTAACCACAAAATAGGACAGAATGCATGATGATTACTGGGGAGTTTTTGGAGGTAAGAATTTTTTTTCTGGGCTGTTGGTGGGGAGTTTTGAGAGAAGTAGGAGAGGAAAACAAAAGAGAGCTACTCTTGGGCCCTGCTCAAACCCTGGGTTGGGAGGATGGAAAGTAGACACGTCTGGATAGATTTGGGATCTAAGACCAGAGGCGGTACACACCTCACTTCCTGGGGGGCATTTTGGGAGGAGGAGGTTCAGCAGGGTGCCCTGCCCACAATGTGATGGCTTCTGAAGCATAGAAATGGCAGCACGCAGTTTTAGGCAGAAAGAGGGCCTGCGTTAGACACCCTCCTTCCCTTTCCACCATGGTCTCATTTGGCTTCTATAAGGCATGGAGAATATCTAATAAGTCTCTCAGATAATAATGATAGGTAAAACCTGTGATAAGGATTCACCTTGGGATAAGTCAGAGAGCCCAAAGCAGGTGCTGTAGGGTGGACATTTCAAGTCTGAGAATAAATTAGGGAGAAGTGGCTGGGGCTGAGGGCCAGCAGAGCCAGTAAAGGCCAAGGTGTAGGCTGATGAGAGAGGAATCTAAGTCTTTCCTGGGGCAATCCTAGGCTTTCTTATGTTAAGAGAAATGATGACAGGATATTCCTGAGGAAAGTGAACTTAGACCACTCAGCTATTAATTATGATGAGTGCTATGAAGGAAATGAATGAAGCGTGGCGATAGAGGATTACAGGTGTAATGAGCTGCATAGGTGGCATTGAAGTTGGGGGCAGGATGAGAAGAAAGCAGTCGTGCAGAAGAGGAAGGGTTCGAGGCAGAGTGAACGGTACATGAAGGCTCTGGGAGCAGAGGGAGCAGGGGAACAGGTTGAGTTTGGGGAATTAAAGGAACTCACCAGCAGCTGGGCTGCAGTGAAGAGATGGAGGCAGGTCAGGCAGACCTTGTGGCCCTAGAACTGAGTTTGGATTTTTGTCCTCAGTGCAATGGGAAGCTTTCAAAGCAGTTTGAACAAAGAAGTGACATGGTCTGCTGGGCTTTTGAAAGATTACTGTGGCTGTCCTGTAGAGGCCAGATTAGAGGGGCATTAAGAATGGAAGCCTGGAGACAAGATCCTCCCACTCACACAGGAAAGCCTGATGTATTTAATTTCTTTTCTTTTTTGGTTCCTTCCCCCTGAGCATCCTTTCTGACCTTGGGCTTGGCATGAGACTGAGGTGCCGTAAAAGACTTTCAGGACTTCAGTTCAACTCAGTACATATTTATTAAATATTTACATGTACTCGTCCCTGAGCAAGGCACTGTAGGGGATGCAAGAGACAAAGGTCTGATTTCTGTCCCCAAGGAGCTTTAAAATTATCTAAAGAGAAAAGGCATTTGTTTATTAATCTAACATACAGCCATACTCTACCATCTTGGTGCTGAACTTAGGGGAAGACTAAGATACGGTCTTTGCCCTAGAAGCGGTTGGGTTCTGGGGAGACAGAAGTTTCCAGAAAAGTTTGTTCGATGCAGTATAATAGAGGTCTATGCTGAGTGCTAAGGGATGGGTTTTGCTGTGTGAGGCCAGAAAACCACAGAGGAAGTGAAATTCATGTTGGATCTTAATCACAAGCAGAGATGGGTTGGGGAGAGAGGTGAGAAAGGGCATTTTAGGTTATGAATTAGTCCTATTCAAAAGTAGGCTGCTGGATGATATTGCTCAATATGGGTCAACAGTATGAGCTGGCTGCAAAGAAAGTGTCATTTAGGTTGCTTTTAATGAAAACATAGTTTGTAGAAGGAAGGAGGAGATGGTTGTGAGGTGCTCTTCTGACCACACAGAGTTGTTATGTGGAGATCAAGGTAGCTTTTTTTTTTTTTAGACCAGGTTCTACTGTCACTCACCCAGGCTGGAATGCAGTGGAATGATCCAGGCTCACTACAGCCTTGAAATTCTGGGCCCAAGCGATCCTCCCACCTGAGCTTACCAAGTAGCTAGGGCCACAGGCATGCACCACCACAACTGGTACCTCTTTTAAAGAGGGTTTTAGACATAGAATTGAATGGATGGTTAGTCTGGGACCTCTGAGAAGCAGACGACCATATGGGATTAAACATGTAAGGATTTTTTCAGGGAAATGCCTTGAGAGAATGTTAGGAAAAGAGCCAGGGAAGGCTGGGAGAGCCATCAGACCACAATACAAGTCTGACCCTGATTGCAAGAGTGGGGAAGGAAGTTGAGTGGAAGCATCCCAGACTACCATGCAGGCTAAGGAAGGGTTAGCAAGACTTTTAGGAAGTCCTTGAACCAAAGTTAGCTGGCAGAGGTGTTTTGTGTTTATCAGGATTTAATATCACGAATGCACTTAGGCACTGAGTGGAAGCAGCCCAGGGCAAGCATATCCTGTGTACAAACAAGGTGGTGGATTTCTGAGAAAGCAGCCATAGCCCTTGGCTGATTAAACTCTTTGTAGCTGGGAGATTGCGAGGCTCACACTTATGTCTGCCCCCATAGGGTGGCTGTGGTGATGAGAAAATTCAACACCAGACATGCTGTGTATAGTTCCCGAAGGCATCTCAGAAGTGGTTTATTATTCATTATTTCAAAAAGATTTTTAAAATTTGACATGTATTTATTGATATGCCATATGCCAGCGATACCAATAGGAAAGAAACCGACCCTACCCTCAAGGAGCTCATAGTCTAGAGGAGCACAGCAGTTTTTAATGGAGGCTGATATGTACCAAGATGTCTATATGAACAAAGAGCACCAGGAACACAGCTTGGTGGTGATACTGGTGGTTAACAGGGTCACCAGATTCCTGGAGGGGCTTGAGCTGGGTTTTAAGGACAAATTGCAAGTCTTTAGGTAGAGATGGGGGAAGGGATTCCACTAATATGCAAAGAGGCATTGTATGTGGAATGACATTTAATTTTTATGTCAATAATATAACTGGGTTATTTGGGCCCAAATTTTTAGAAACTATGGGAAGATAGATTTGGGATCGATATAAGCAAGAACTTTCTGAAGGACAGAGAAAGGTGAGATAGTGATGTCTTGGTGAGTTTCTAGTGCTGCTAATATCTAGCTGGGAGGCTGTTTGCAAAAGTGAAGTCAAGTCAGGAAAGGGTAGTTTTGGTTTTGGAGAGGACTTGAATCCTTAAGCTTCTGTGATTTAAAGGAGCCTTTTCTGCCCTATCATATCCAGAAGGAGGGTACCACGACCCCTGGGAAAGTGCACCACTTCTGTCTATGACTGTCTTCTCCCAGCCTCAGGCTGCACACTGGCCTGCAATTTTCTTTTGGCCAGTAGTGGGGACAAACGGGCCTATTTCTTGGAAAGGCCAATGTTAATGCCCACCTTGTGCCGTAGAACAAAGGCCAGGAGTCCCAGGCCATGACTCTTTCTCTGGCTGATCAGAAGAGAGATTTCCATCAACACTTGCCTGATTGCCGTCTCCAAAGAAAAGAGTGAGGTCATGAACATGCACGATGAAGTATGATTACAGCAAATACCTCCCAAAGACTCTATCCTTCCTGGAGAAGGCTTCCCTGAAGGCTTAGTAAGTATGAGAGGCAATAGACTGCTAATCAGCAAGGAAATTAGCTCACATATGCTCCTGACAGCGTTCATTTTTAATAGAGTCAGATACTAGTTTAAAACTGTCGGAAGAACCCATAACCAAAAAGATGTTCATTTTTCAGAAGAAAAATCAGAGAAGTCACTAAGGGGACAATTTCACATACTATTCAAAAAACATTGCTGGTAATTCTAGAAACTGCATGTCTTGGAAAAAACACTGATCTTAGTCCCAGCACAGCCATATGCTGGTTGTGGGGCCTTGAAAAATGTCAGTCTTTCTGGGACCCATTTTCCTGATCTGTAAAACAGGTATTAGATACCTCCTTACTCCACTGCTGCCCCTGAATCATTGTTAATTGCTTCTGTGTCTGTGGGTCCCTCCCTGCAGATGCAAAGCTCCAGGAAGGAGCATCTGATTGTGCATCCAGGCTCCATGCTGAGCCTATGTTGGTGAAGGCTGGAAGAAACGAGTCTGCCCTTTCGGTCTCTACAGTTCCTCCTGAGACTCCCAAAGAAAGGAATTCCCCCCAACAGGAAGATTTTGGGATTAATAGATGGCCAAACATAAGACAAAACAAAACAAACGGCCAGTGGCCACTATATTTTCTCTCCAGAATTTGTGAAATTGATGAATGTATATGAAAGTATTTCATGCCACTGAAGTACTCTGCTAATACCAGGATTTACTAAAGATATGATACTTGTCTTTCCCCATGTTTTATCCCACAGATAGATTTCATTTTCTGCTCTTCCATTTCTTGGCTTTAATTTACCTTTCCCGAAAAGCCCTTCTAGCCTGGCCATCTCAGCTTCCAGCTTTCCCTAAACTTCTTTGATACTCCAGTCTTCCCCAGTTTGATTTAGAGCATTGTTGTGTTCTGTTTGAAGTCTTGAAGAAATCAGTTGAAGATTTTCACACTGGGTTCCAGGAAGAACCAGTGTTTAGCCTAGCCAGGGGCTGTTGAGATATAGGTACAAGGGAGATTGAAGGGTGATGCAGCCCAACACCAGAGTCTGTCTACTGCACAGGAGTCTGGAGCTAGGATGGCCTTCCATAGCTGTCCTGGGTTGGGCCAGGTTGAGCCAAGTTGGCTGGACTGTTAATGCCAGATGCTTATATTTGATCAGTCTTTGAATGTGGGCCACCCAGAGAAGGGAGTATAATCTTCGTTGAGGGGCTCTTAGCAGCTGAGGCAATCTCTGGAGGGCTGGTGGCTGAAGGCTGTCTGCTGCCCTCAGCCCCAGCAGCTGTGGTAATAAGACATCCCTTAAAGGGGGAATCTGAGTAGCACATGGCAGTGTCCACCACAGCCTTCCTCTCTGCTTACCCACCCAGCCTCAGTAAGAGAGAAGCAGCTCTGCCTTGGTCCATTTTATAGATAGCATTTCTACATGAGTAAAAACATGTGTTCTCTTGCTTAAAAAGTTTGGACATCACTGCTCTTGTCCAGCTGTTTTATTTTTTAGGTGAGGAAATTGAGGACCAGCTTCTCTGGCTTCCAACAAGGTAACTTTTCCATTATACCATGACTGGCACCTCTTTATTTCCTGTCTTTATCTCTGACACCCCTGAGGACAGGCAAGCTGTGGCAGACACTGTCAGTTTCCCAGAAATATTCTTTCTTTCTTTCTTTCTTTCTTTCTTTCTTTCTTTCTTTCTTTCTTTCTTTCTTTCTTTCTTTCTCTTTCTCTCTTTCTCTTCCTTCCTTCCTTCCTTCCTTCCTTCCTTCCTTCCTTCCTTCCTTCCTTCCGTTTGTTGTCAGTGGCACATGTCTAGCTAAAGAACCTGATTTCCCAGCCTAGCTTGCAGCTAATAGTATCCTGTAACGAAGTTCTGGCTCATGGGAAATATGCTGAGGGTTTCTAGGAAAACTCTACTTTCTTAATTTAAGCACCATCCCATCCATCCCCTTTACTTTCTCCTGCCACCTGGAATGCAGACATCATGGATGGAGATCTTGCAGCCATTCTAAGAATGAGGACAAGGTTTGTATCCCAAGAATGGCAGGGCAGAAAGCTGGAAGTGCCCAGGTCCTAGATAACCTTTGTGGAGCTCCCATATATCTCCTCTGCCATTGTGTTACATGAAGAAAATAAAAATCCCTGTCTAGCGAAGGCACTGCTGTTTGGAATTTGGGCTGTTAAATGCAGTCCCAGATAGATAACACCCAGTTAAACAGAGAAAGCAGGATCTTGGAGCTGATACATTCAGATTAATATCTTTAATAGCCCTGGTCTCTGAGGCATCCTTGGCTTTCTGCATGAAGACTTGATGTAGGTAAAGGACAATGGATTGAGAATTTAGAAAATGGAGCTCCTACTCCAGTTCTACCATTCACTAATTGTGTAAATTTGGACAGGTCAGATAGCCTTTGGGGGCTCAATTTCACGTATTATAAAGACAGACTTAAAGTAGATCTCAAAGTTTCCTTTTATTGCTCTAAGCCACTGTTTCTCTCATCCTGTGACTCAGTCTACACTGGGAATGGATCATGTAGAGTCATACTTAGGCAATAGTTTCAGGTTAAGAAGTTGTGAGTGTGACAAAATGTGAGAAATAGCTTTGCTTTTAAAGGTTATTTCTTGCTAAGTATTGAATATAATCCAGTTTACTAAGGATTTTCTTCATAAGAATTCTTTGTATTTTTTGTGGGTTACTGACTTAATTAGTGTAATTAAGCACAATTACAAAATTATTGTGGATCTATATAATTGGGTACTAACAATGTGTAATTAGGTAACTACATCTTGTAATTAGAGACTTGAAAATGTAGTACCATTTTAGAGTTCTTATTCTACTTTGTCAAAAATTGTACCAAATATACATACAGATCATTTAAGAAGTCCACTTTACCTTACAGTTGAATGGGTTTTATTCCTGTAAATTGCTAACAGCACTTGCCTGCCCTCCCAAACCCCCCGCCACCGCCGACATTAGGTAGAAATAGCTTTGTATTGTTTTTTAAATCAAACTTTGGTCACAGAGTTAAAATAAATTTCTTTTATACTTTTTAAAAAAATGTATGACTAAAAGAATCAATTAGGGGGTTTGAAATGTAAAAGAAATCCTGGTTTCATTTCCGAGCATGTAAAATAGAATGTGGTGGGCTTAGAAACAGTGATTTGAATTCTGAAAAAGGAAATCCAGGTATAGCATTTTATGAGTAGAACTGAAGTCATATAATCAGTCTTTGGAATTATATTGACTAATTTTTGTGTACTTCAGATGTAAGTAATTTTTCTTTTTTGGAAAATTCATTGTAGGGGTTTCAAGATGATAGAAATGCTTCATATTTGTGAGGCCCCCAGTTATACAAATGGATTTGCAAGCATGGTCCTTAAGATAGCATCCAGAAAACTTCCAAGTCAATCTTTTGCTTCCTTTTCATTAGAAAAAAAGAGCATGTCTTACTGTTCTGTGAATATACTAAGAGTTGTGAGCAGCTGCCATATTGGTGGAGTAGAAAACCATGAGGAGGCCAGGCACTGTGGCTCACGCCTGTAATCCAAGCACTTTGGGAGGCCGAGGCAGGCGGATCACGAGGTCAGGAGATTGAGACCACCCTGGCTAACACAGTGAAACCCCGTCTCTATTAAAAATACAAAAAACTAGCCGGGTGCGGTGGTGGGCACCTGTAGTGCCAGCTACTTGGGAGGCTGAGGCAGGAGAATGGCGTGAACCCAGGAGGTGGAGCTTGCAGTGATCCGAGGTGATGCCACTGCACTCCAGCCTGGGTGACAGAGCAAGACTCTGTATCAAAAAAAAAAAAAAAAAAAAAGAAAACCATAAAGAATGGCTCATATTTGAGACACATTGAGGCAAAATGATATGGCCTCTACTGTTCCCCTTCCTTAGAACTTGAGAGCAGCCCCTATAAGGTAGAGGATATGTCCTCATCTGGGAGTTTGCATACTTAATTTTGGTGCCAGTTCTGCCATTGACAAGCATTGTGATTTTTCTGTTTTTTTTTTTTTCCACTTGGAATATGTGTACCTAAAGGGTGGTTCCCTTAGTTTGTTTAGTTGTGAGTATCAAATGGACAAAGGGTATGAGAAAGGGAAAAGAAAATTATAAAGTACTATATTTGTGTTAGGTTTAAAATTCTATTATTATTTGGGGACAGTGGGTATCTTTTTGATGCCTTTCCATTTTCTTTATGTAAGTCATTACTTACTCCTCTTATTCACACAAGCATAGCTTTTTAAAGCTGGCAGGAGTCTTGACAAAATATCCTTATTTTGCAGATGGAACTGAGGCCCAGAGAGGTCAAATGGCTTGCCAAAGGTTGAAAGTTAGTTGGTAATAGAGCCATTTTAGAATACAATTCTTTTGATTCCCAATCAAGTGCCCTTTCCAATCACCCTTATTACACATGGCTGGTGCTGTTCTTGGGAACTGAGTGAAGTTGGGAACACCATCTGCCCTCACTGGAATATCTCTAGGAGGATAGCAGACTTTTTCTCATATTGATATTTTCCCTACAGAAGATTTGAATGTGGATGCTTTTCAACAGTTCCCTTTCATAAAAGGCGGGAGGAGGCAGGCATTGCATTTGGTGAGCTAATACAAAGCTTTCCTGGGGAAATTATGAAAACTTGGGATGAAGATGAAAAGCATATGGTGAACTGGCTCTGCTTTCTGCAGTATGTGTAGGCTTATGCAGTGGGTGGTACTCTGAGGATCTGAGATGAGAATGGAGGGGTAGAGGTTATTAGGGTTGTGGAGAAGACTGTGTGTCAGGTAGTTTTTTATCCTATGGAGGGAGGTGACTTTGTGGCTTTGGATAGAGCAGGCTGAGTGGCAGATCCAGAATGATGGCCAATAAGTATAGTACCATGTTCTTGTAACACTATAGTTTCATGTGGTTTGTTCAGTGCTAACTCCTGAGATGGCTGGGGCTGCCAGTGTGCCTCAGGAACTTTTTCTTACAATAGGTAGAGAGTATTTTTCCCTCAGAATTTGAGGAGGATAATAAAAAGATTCATTTTGGATGACTAAGCTCATACTATGGAGTGGATATATAACTTACAGAGGAGTTAACTTAAATGTAACTTATAGGCAGAACTACAATCATTATATAGTATGATTTTTTATTACCTCATCTCTCCTTAATAAGAATTGGAAAAAATGCTAGCCATTTCTGGTTTCTATTCAGCTTCTCTTCTTTCAACATTTTGCTTTTTAATTTCTTGTCTGTGTTCACTGCAGTTCACATTCCACACTGAATTGCCTTAGAATGGTTTCTTTATTGAATGACGAACTTTAATATCAATTAAGGAAACTTGTCAGCATCTTCTCATAGAATTCTTTAAGACTACATTTCTAAATGGACTGCATCTCTGAAGCTCTTGTTATCTTAATGCCCATTCCCACTGTTCCATGTCATACTAAATCTTCTAATTCATACTTAAAAAAAATTCTTGCCACTTTTCTCATGCTGACAAAGTCTGTTGGGCTTATATCTCTGCACAGAGCTGGACTGCTTAGACTTGTGCTGTAGTAATAAGAAGTTTTTCAGTCTAGTTTTTTTTTCCAGTTGAGAACAAAGACCAGAGAGTTTAGTCATTGCCTGTAAAACAGCGTTAAATCTTTTCTTATTTGGTTTTGCTGAACAGTGGCATCATATGTTTTTTCTACTCTGGGTCAACAGCATTGTGTTTTTTTTTTAAATTATTTTAAGCCCACTGTATTGTTAAATCAGAAACTGTGAAGGGTCTGGGATTTTACTCTTCATGCAAACTAACAAGTTAGACAGCCACACTGTGTTGTGTGCACGCACGCACACACACACACACACACACACACACACACACACACACACTCTGCAGACGACCTCTGAGTTAGAGAAAAAGAGTCATATATACAGCAAAACTGTGGCCAAGGTAATTTCTTAGCACCAGTTCTCCAAGCCTCATATCTGCAGGTGACATGATGACCAGGTTGTACCTGTATATGCAGTGGGGTGCATTACAGGAGAGAAACCCCCAAATTAGGAAGTTCTGATCCTATATATGGGTGTTGGAAACCTGCCCATCCTTCACTTCTGAGTTGGCAACCTGCCCATCATTCATTTCTTAGTAAAGACATTATCTTTACTCTAAGAAGTATGCCAATCTTCTCCAGGTTGTGGTAGGAGAAGTCTTTATCTTTATTATTCTGGAATATCTCTGGGGAAGGGTTTTTAAGCTTTACTACATTGGTCAGGAGACAAATCCTTCCTCTGACCTGGAGGAATATACCATCTCTAGTTTCCAAGGTTGTTTGCTATTCTTGGAAGAGATAGTTTGAGATGTGCAGACATGCCAGTCTCTTGGAGGATTATCTTCCAACATACATGTAGGCAACACCTATTCCATAAACAAATAAATAATAGAAAACCAAAAGCATGTAAACATTTGAGGCCCCTCATGACTTACAGGATAAACTCTAAACTCCTGTGCTTGGCATTCAAGGCCCTTCACTACTTGTTTCTCTCTACAATTCTCCCTCTCTAATCCTCCACTTGGACATAACTGGCCTTCTTGTTGCTGGCTTTTTCTTTTTACATAGTTTCCCTTCATGGCCTTTGCTGCTCTTGGAGTGTCCTCCCTCACCTCCTTTCTGCCTTTCTGAATCTTCCTCATGTTTCAAGAACTATGGTTCATCATCAATCAGACATCCATTCTTTCCAGTTGTAGGCTAAGTACGTCTTCCTTTTTGAGTTCATGTTAAAATTTGAAATCCATCCTATGCCAATAAGAGAATGTGACCTGATTTATGTGCAAAGAGACTAGCATCCCTGAAGCCCAGAACTCACCTATTTTAAGGTCAGATTACAATTGAGAATAGAGTGGATCACACTGGTCTGGGTCCTGGTTAGCCTAGTGACTCAACTCCTCAAAGTCTCCTTAGATTAAAACAGGATGCTAAGAAGGTCAGGGCTATGGATACTATTCTGGTTCTCTAAGTCCAGGATTAAAACATGCCCCCAGACTCTTTACTTATGTCACACCTCTAGCTTTAATCAGACTTCTAGAGAAAGGCTTCTCTGGGACCCTGATTCAGTAGGTCTGAGAAGGAGACCTGAGAATTTGTATTACTAACAAGCTCCCAAGTGAAGCTTATGCTGCTGGCCCACAGATTACTCTTTAAGCAGGGATCTAGATAATTTTTCATGATCAAGTTGTGCGTGAATACGTGTGCATACATGTGAACCTCTGCAAATAGTTTCCTAGAATTAGAATCCGGAAAAGGAACGGATGTTTTCTGAGCATATTACCTTACTTAATCTTCACATGAGAGGTAGGATTTTTTTCTTTCTTGGTTTTGCGGCTGTAAAAACCGATTTTAGACAGGATAAATGACTTTCTCAAACAAGCAGGAGAGCGGGGATTCACATTCATTTCCCTTCATTCCAAAATCCCAAGTCTGCCCATCACACTAAGGTCAAGCCTGGTATTTCAGGTCTCTGACTAAGAACTGGAACTAATACCCTAGCAGACCACACACTCTAACTAACCAGGCAGTGCTTTCAGCAGAGGTACACTGTGGAGCAGGCAGTCGGGGGTAAGTATGATGTCAGTTTGGCTCTAGTTGCTGAGAGCCCCTTGGAAGGCAAGACATCTTATACATGGAAGCGTGCTTGAAAGTTCACAGAGCTTTTCACCTACTTTGTAATTTTCTCCGAATTAACCAGATAACTTAATCCTCTGCAATTTTCAGAACCTAATACCTTTTAAAGTCTTTTCTCAATATTTCATTCATTACTCTTTTGATTGGATCGTTTAACTTTTTTGTTTTGAGATGGAGTCTCGCTCTGTCACCCAGGCTGGAGTGCAGTGGCCCAATCTCAGCTCACTGCAACCTCTGCCTCCTGGGTTCAAGCGATTCTCCTGTCTCAACCTCCCCAGTAGCTGGGATTACAGGTGCCTGCCACCACGCCCAGCTAATTTTTATATTTTTAGTAGAGACAGGGTTTCACCATGTTGGCCAGGCTGGTCTTGAACTCCTGACCTCAAGTGATCTGCCTGCCTCAGCCTTGCAAAGTGCAGGGTTTACAGATGTGAGCCACTATGCCTGGCTGAGTTGTTTAGCTTTTAACCAAATGGCATATAAAGGTGGGCAGTGAATATCAGGAAATAGGATCCTCTTGGGGTTGGACAGAGGTGCCTCCCCTCTCCCTTGGCCTCCCCCAACCTCTGCTCCTTCTCCCAGTCCTACCTTCCCCCGACCACACCTGCAGCTTCTGTGTGATCTCAGCGGGATAGAGCCTGGCTAGTAAGCCATGGGGAGGAGGAAATTTCATGTGCTTATCTTCTGATACTGCCTTTCACACACCAGAGGATCCCTAAAAGGGCATCAACTCCATGGAGGCCCCACCAAGAACAGTGTGGCAGCCACTGACTCTACTTAGCAATGTATCAGAGCCACTTGGGAAGCTTTATAACAATGCAGATTCCCTGTGTCACCCAGATCTAGTGATTCAAAATTTCTGCAAATGGGGACCTATAGTGTTTATTTTTAGAAAAGCTTTCTAGGTGGTATTGATACAGCTTGTTCTTTGATCAAGGTTTGGGAACCTTGTGTATAGAAGGAAAAACACCCTCATACCAGGCTGGCAATCAAAGCTGAACCTGGTCACCACTTATTCCTGGGGCTCTGGGCAGATCATTTCCCCTATCTTAGGCCACTGTTCTCACACCTGTAACATGAGGAGTTGAGTTAGGTAATTTTTTTGGCTCCTCATAGTTTTAACTTCCTAAGACTCAGTTGGGTTTGCTTGGCCCTAGAAAAAGCTCATCCCAACCTCAGAATCACTTCCAGTGAAGATCCTGTGAGGTGTGGTTCCTCGTTTAGCCTTTGTGAATTTCATCCTCGGATGCAAGACAGAGATCTTCCTTTCAAGGGTGGAAGGTAAGAAGGACTTACCTTCTTCCTTACCAGTCATGTGGAGACACTAGATATTACCATTTTCAGAGTAGTAATGTTTTAACCGGCTTAATTCAATTTGGCCTCAATTCACTCCACATTACAACATGTCTAGCACTCTGCCAGAGTTTATGAGATATGGTTCCTGCAGATGAGTGGCTTGTCATCTGGCTGGAGAAAGACGATGTCAGTACATTGAACTTGGCAGTGACTACAAATGGGATTTTAGGTGCTCAGGGTTGGGAAGATTGGAGTGGGCTGGAGGAGTTGGGAGGCTTCACGGAGAAGCTCACCAGCTTGGTTTCAACCAAGTCTTTAGCACAGGTAGAGGTCAGGTGGGCGCAGAAGAAAGGAGAGGCTGATACAGGAAGGAGGATCATCTTGGACACACATCCGGGACTATTTGTGGAACAGATGGGAGACTAATTGGAAGGAATGTCCTAGGGAGTATGAGATGAGGTTGGGGAGGCAGGTTGGCATATTAAAGGACTCAGAAAAGAAACTATCAAGAGAGTAAACAGACTGCCTAAAGAATGGGAGAAAATATTTGCAAACTATGTATCTGACAAAAGTCAAATATCCAGCATCTTTAAGGAACTTAAATAAATTTACAAGAGAAAAAAAAACCCATTAAAAAGTGGGCAAAGGACAGGAACAGACACTTCTCAAAAGTGGACATACATGTGGCCAACAATCATATGAAAAAAAGCTCAATACCACTGATCATTAGAGGAATGCAAATCAAAACCACAATGAGATACCATTTCACAGCAGTCATAATGGCTATATGAAAAAGTCAAAAAAAAAAATGCTGGCAAGTTTGTGGAGAAAAAGGAACACTTATACACTATTGGTGGGAGTATAAATTAGTTTAAACATTGTGGAAAGCAGTATGGCGATTCCTCAAAGAGCTAAAAGCAGAACTTTCATTCAACCCAGCAATCCCATTACTGGTATATACCCAGAAGAATATAAAGCATTCTACGAAAAAGACACATGCCTGTGAATGTTCACTGCAGCACTGTTCACAATAGGAAAGACATGGAATCAATCTAAATGCCAATCAATGACAGACTGTGTAAAGAAAATATGGTACATATACATCATGGAGTACTATGCAGCCATAAAAAAGAATGAGATCATGTCTTTTGCAAGAACATGGATGAAGCTGGAGGCTATTATCCTTAGCCACAAGTCTCCTGGTGCAATACAAAGAAGAAAACAACAGACATTGGGGTCTACTTGAGTGGGGAGGGTAGGAGGAGGGAGAGGAGCAGAGAAGATATCTATTGGGTACTGAGTGATGAAAAAATATGTACAACAACCCCCCTGACATGTGTCTATCTATGTAACAAACCTTCATAAAATAAAAATTAAAATTAAAGTTAAAAAATAAATAAAAGTTAAAAAAAAATAAAGGACTCAGACACTGTTCCATGGCAAAAGGGATCTGTGGTAGATTCTTGAATGAGGCAAGGATGTGATCAGAGCATTATATTCTAGGAATATAGTTTCAGGTGGAGGCCTACACAATGGTCTAGAGAAGGGAGATAGCAATTGTAATATTAGTCAAAGAGCTAATCTGTGGCTGTGGCTGCTTCCCAGCAGGGAGCCCATTTCTAGGCCTGTTCTTGCTTCTTCGGCCTGAGGAAAACACCTTGTCTTGTCCCCTGGTGCAATAGGACCTCAGTCAATTTAGTACACACTCAAACACGTCTTTGTTTGCAGCACTCAGGCCCCATAGGGATATGAAGAAGTCAGGAGGGGGTCCCTCATTTCAAGAACACTGTAATCTTGTAGAGAGTTGTGATCCTGATCAGTAGGTCCTGGCACTGTGCCAGTGAGGTTCAAGAATTGTCTTTCACATCCATTCATCCACCCTTTTTCTGAGCACCTCACTGTGCACCAATAACTATCAAAAGTGCTAAGGGGAATTCAAGTCACCATAAAATACTCTCCCTGCTCTCGTGGGTCTATACAGAGAAACCTGTGGGGTTGGGATGACTAAAGTAACCATCACCTTCTAAATTGTGAGATTTCACTGTAAGTGAAATGGAAGCCAAAGGAGGAAGAAAACATTGTGATGAGAGAGGTCAGAGAAACCTTCTTGGAGAAAGTGAGTCTTCATGTAGCAAGGTGATAGGATGTAGCCAGAGCAGCACAGTCCAACAGTCTGTGATACAAGTCACAAATATCATTCTAAGTTTTCTAGTAGCCACATTAAAAAGTAAAAAGAAACAGGTGCAATTAATTTTAGCATGTCTTTTAACCAATTTTTTTAATCTAAATTATTATTATGTTGACATGTAATTGATATAAAAATCTTCACGAGCCAGGGCATATTTTGCACATATGGTACACCTCAATTTGAACTAGTCGCATTTTGAATGCTCAATAGCCACATGTATTGGGCAGCTCAAGGGGGTGGGTGGATGAGCAATTTCATGTGGCTGTTGATCCCTAAATGTCTGATCTGGAGGAGGGGACTCTGGGGATGGGCTAGGTGGGCACAGCTGTTGTAGGGGGGAAAAGGCTGGGACCAAGAAAGCAGAAGACTTTGGAAAAATGAGGAATAAAAATAACTGTAAGTTCTAGGGAGTTAAAAGACTTGGGGCAAGGAGGTACACACATTTTCTGCTGCAACAAACGAATTCTAAATGGCTCTGGCAGAAAAGAGGGCCCGAATAGGAACTGCATTTCTAGAGAAATGAGAGTCCTTAAAGCTGTCTGAATAGAAAATAAGGTTATCATTATGTCTTATCATTAGAAGAGAGAAGAATATTAAAAGGACTCAGTTCAGCTTGAAGAAAAAAGATAAATTTCAAGTAAACTGGCATACAGTTTATCCATGACTGGATTTGCTGTAATAAAGTCAGCGAGGGAATAAGCTGGGTGATTTACAGGGCTCCTGCTTCTGTAAAATTTACAAACTGCTGTGATAAAATGTCACCTTTTATGATGCATTTCACCCGGGTTGCATATATAAAGGGCACTGCAATGGAAAGAGTTGCAAAAACAAAGCAGCAGCCTAGCTCCCCAGCTGCCTTTGTCTGCTTTTCCAGCAGAATTGGGGATTTATAGAAAGATGACTTCCCCACTTGCCTTTTCTGGCTGTGGCTTGCAACCAGTGAAATGGCACCATTTCCTTTAGTTTTTATTTTGCGACCTGGGGTGAGGGGGACTGCTTACAATAACGTAGACTAGGAAAACTTGAGGTGGGATAGGGAAACATCAGATGAGGGAGGAGAAGAGTATTGATTCCAAGGGTTTCCAATCCAGTGGGGAAGGCAGACACACCCAGGAGTGATTGAACACCAATGTAGCAGGGTTGAATTTTTAATACAATCCATGTTGTCATTCTATACTTTAATAGATCAAAGTGTATCGCTATGAGTCTCCATCTACTTGTTTGATGAGAAATTAAATCTTAGTCATTATTGGGGTTTCCTCCCTGAATCTATGAGATCACAGCAGAGTATGGGGCTTACCTGGTTCCCCAAACTGGGGAGGAGCCAGGTCCTTGGTCCGTGGTGTTTTCATTTTCACATTTGCCCTTTTGTCTAGACAGTGGCAATGTAGAGAGTGATCCCGTTCCTCTGTCTCCCAGTCCTGATGCTCTGTGGGAAGTCACAGAGATGCCCCTCTTATGTCTCCCCCAGTGACTGCAGACTGCCATCCAAAAGCCCCCGATCTCCTATCCTGACCCATCCAGGGCATTGCCTCTGAGTGAGGGCACTAGCATCTTGCCCTAACCTCTCTCTCAAAAGAAACTTCAACTCCCCTCATGTCTGTTGGCTTCTCCCTTTCTCCTTACAGCACTCATGTCCATGCTTCTCCTGCAACCACCTGACCTCAGTCTTTTTTAATGGGCCTGAAACATAAATCCCTTCCTTCCTGAATCTCTGGGTGTGTGTGTGTTTGTGTGTGTGTGTGTGTGCACACATGTATGTGTTTGTAAAAATCAACTTGGATCTTGGAAAGAAAACATTGTTGGCTCCCTTATTCCAACAATGAATATAGGTGGATATAGGGAAAACAATGTTCATACCAGTTTCTTTCTCAGTAATTCTCCCATTTATACTAGGTGGACAAGGGTAAATGCTTTAATGGGACTAGAAACATGGTGCCTTGGCATACTATGGGTGAGAGATTACTTCAAACATGGTGGAACCAGGAACCAAGGAAGGCTGCATGGAAGGGGTGAGACTTGATCAAGGTTGTGAAGGCTGGCAGAAGTTTGCTTTGTGCAAGAGATAATTTCACGTAGAGGGAAAAGCTTGAATCAGGCCTGCAGTTGGGGAGATGGAGCCTGGAAAGAATATTTATTTGGTTTGTGTGTGTGGGTGAGGTATGGGGCGGGGGGATGTGGGAGTGGGGCTGGGGTTTGAATAAGTGGAAGGTAGGTTGGTGGCTATTGTGCGGGGGTGCTAAGCAGTATAAAAAAATAACGTGGCTCTATCAAGTCCTTAGATGATGTTTGGCAGTTTTCAAGTAGTGGAAATAATTTCACTTATAAAACTGGATATGTAGGTGGCACTGAAAACAAGAATGCTTTTCTGAGACACTACCACAAAAATGCTTCTCCACCAGATACCAGAGAAAATCCAGGCAATCATAGCCAAACGGGTACTTAGATAACTTTATCCAAAGTGCACTCCTTTACATTAACTTACCCAATACCTAATTCTTCGTTGCATTAAGGGCCCGGGGCAGCACGTGTACCTTCCAGTGCCCGGATCCCTGTCCATTAATAGTTCTGTGTGCAGCAGTTAATGTCTAGTCCCTGCTTATTGATCTGGGCGATCCTAGGAGGGGGAGGACTTGTCTTTCAGAAAACAGAGCCCAACAGAGGCCCCTGGGGTTGTACTGGCTTGGGAGGCTGGCAGCTGCAGGCAGGCTTGCTGGAAGAATAACCTGAGGACATGGTAGTGGAGAACCATGATGTAGTTAGTAGAAGTTGGGAACAGACTAAGCAAACAATCAATCCCTTTAGAAGCAAAGAGAATTGAGAGCAAATTAATCCATGGATTGGGTAAGGTAAGTGGTTCAGAACCAGTGCTGAACCAGCAAGGGCATGCTCCCATTCCTCAGTTACAGGCTGCTTGGTACATATAGTGCTGGGTTGGTGTGGAGACTTGCAAGGACTACAGTCCTAGTTTGCTAATGAGGGAGTAGAGCTGTCTCATTTGAACTTTACCTTCCTGTGAGATGTGAACTCCCTCTTAGCTGAAGGGAGAAAACATCAGCTTCCTTGTTCCACTCTGCCTTGGTCAGAAAGTGGCTGGGGAGTCTAAGAGAGTGGCCTGGACAGTCCCCTCTGTGCAGTCACAATCAGTCACATCTGGATAACATCCCAAACCCAAAATATTGGGCTCAGCGCTTCTACACCTCGGTTCTCTGTTTTCCTAAGTCAAGTCAGGCTTTGGGAACTGTCTATTAAGTCCCTGTCAATTGCAAATGATATATCTCCCAAATTAAGAGTTTAACTAGATTTCATTCTGGGAATTGAGCAAGAACTGGCAATAATTTAGCTTATAAAACTGTAGTTTAATGAAAGTATAAGACAATAGGCCTGGTAGAGGCTTTTTACTATCATAAGATGAGAGTTTCTATGGGCTGTTCTGACAGATTTACTGTTGTTTTAACTTAATAAGCTATTTCTGTTTTAGCGTTGTTATTGTTTCTGTGGTTATAGGACACTCTGTATTGCTTTATTATATTATCCCTCCCTCCCTGTCAATTTTTATGGTGGCATTTTTCTCTTTGCTTAGCTTGTAAATATAAGAATTTTTTCTGATCCTCCCAACTCTTCCAAGCACATATAGAAACAGAGCAGCTTGTTAGCACATGGGGTAGAATTTGCCTAGTCCTTCCTTCCTTCCTTCCTTCCTTCCTTCCTTCCTTCCTTCCTTCCTTCCTCCCTCCCTCCCTCCCTCCCTCCCTCCCTCCCTTCCTGCTTCCTTCTTTTCTTCCTTCTTCCTTCCCTCCTTTCTTTCCATTCTTTCAGTTCATAAGGGCAGGCTCTTCTTGAAGTTGGCACTCTCCTCTCAAACAGTTTCCATTTCTTCCTTGAAGCTATCCAGATACAAATAACATTAGTAAGTTCTTACACTTGTAAAGCATTTTAACTTTTAAATCTGTTGTGATCTTTATGACTACTTTCTGTGGGGGGTCAAGCATGTTTTTTATCCAAAGCATGTCTATGCATTGGAAAATGAAGTTCTAAGAGGATAAATTAGCTGCACATGATAATCTAGCAAGTAAATGTTAGAGTATAGGCAGAACTCAGGTTTCCTGGCCAGTGGTTGAGGTATGTCCAAGAATAGAGTGTCAGGTTGAGGGAAGAAGGACCTTCCAGCAGCAAGGACTAGTAACCAACGTGGTAGTCTGTTGGCTGCAGAATCCTCTATCACTAGTTCCATTATTAACTCAGGTGATACAGAGCCTCCCCGCCACCCCCTTAAAATTCCCCAAGAATTGTAGCTGGGAAGGAAAAGTAAATCCAAATCTATCTCCTTCACTGTCATTGGGCAGAGCTGGTCAACACTGATAGGCAAAGAGGTGGCCACAATTAAGTAGAGTAGGGGAGTTAGAATGTTGACTTAGAACTGGTTTAAGGAAAAATTCAAATCTAGTAGGGAAAGAAATGGAAAGAGAGGCAATACTTGTCCCAGGTACAATGTCTTAGTCGATCCTTTTCAAGTTCTGCAAGGTAGGTGAGTCCCAGCTTGCAAAAGAGAAATCCTGGGGTTCAGAGAGAGTTAGAGACATTTTTGGGATCAAGCAGGTAAGCATGTGGCCGAGTTGAGATTCAAATCTTCCTCTAAAGCCAATAGCATCGGGCACCTATCCACTTCTATTTCTGCCCATTCTCCTCCTCAGGTACTTAGAAGCCATATTCTTAGTGAGAGTCTTTATTCTCTCCAAAGACTAGGGGTTAAAAATTTAGCAGCATCTCATTGTCTCTTAAAGAGACACAGGGCCAACAAACCCAACCCTTTTGGCTATGTTTGAATTGTAAAGCCAGTGAAGTAAATTAATCTGTTAGATTAATCTCTTTTGAGACGACAATAAGGGGTGAGAAAAAGTGAAATGACTGTTCCTGGAGCTTCAGGCAGTCCGTCAGCCTCCAGTCCTTGTTCATCTGCATCTATCAGCTTCTGGTTCCTGAGATAGAATGTAAAGATTTTTTTTCTGGTTTTCACATTCTGGGTTTTTAATGACTGAAATCACCTACATTGATTCCTATCTGGGCCTGGCCTCTGTGCTCTGTTCAGGAAGGGCATGCACTCAGTGTGTGCTGCCCATCGGTAGATTTTCTATATGTTGGAGCCGGTTTCTACCTAGCTCACTTTCTGCTTTCTGTGGATAAATCACAGCCTTCAGAGAATCTCCTGCCCCAAAGTCCCTA
Organism: Homo sapiens; assembly: GCF_000001405.40. Classification (NCBI taxonomy): domain Eukaryota; kingdom Metazoa; phylum Chordata; class Mammalia; order Primates; family Hominidae; genus Homo; species Homo sapiens. Next base: position 48,892,708 of record NC_000002.12, read on the forward strand.
ACCCAGCTGAAAATCCAAAGTGTCGGGGGAAGAGAGCTTTAGCCTATCAGGTTCACACTCTCTTTTATGTCTCCTTTTTTTTCCCTTCCCCCTACAGCCCTCAGAGTGAAGATTTCTGGGATTTGAGCATCAGAATGACAGGGAGAGGGTGCTTTTTTTAGAGACAGAAATTCTTCTTAATCTGAAAAGACCCAATTTACCTCTGTAGTTGATTGAGCCTTCTTATAATGTTAACTTTTCCCTCGACTTCTTGCTTTTCTTTTTCTTCTTTTTGAAATTCATTAATATTGTTTTTATTGAGAATTTTCCTTTGGGGCCCCCATCAGAGGGAATGCTAAACAGGATAGATCATGGAGGTCCTCCTAGGAGCCATTCTGATATTTTTAGGGTCTGTTCCCAGTGTGGTTTAGAAGTGCCAGCACTGCTAACTTGGGGTTATGCTTCTTGATTTATTATATTCTAAGAGAGTGTTTTTACTATTATTATTGGTATTCTTTTTTATGCTCTTTCAGCGTCAGCATTCCTAGCTCCAGATGACTACCTTATTTATCACCAATATTTTAATTTTAGCCAATTCTGCTATTTCTTTGAGCCCCAAGTTAGCATCCCAAGTCTCAGCAGCATAACTCTGAGAAGAGAATATATAGGGCATGGACACAAATTCTGATATAGCTGGTTGCAACTCAAAGTAGTTATTCTATAAGCACTAAATTCAGTTTGCACCAAAACCCAGCCTTCAAGACCAAGAATACAATCAGTTTTTGGCAATGATTATAGACCTCAGACAATAAAGTACCTGCCAAAAATTTTGAGAAGGAGATAGACATAGTCAATGTATTATTTTATAAAGTATTTACTAAGATTTTAGGATACTTCAGGTCATCAACTGTGTTTTATTCATCTCTGAATCCCTGGTGTAGAGCTCAGCACCAAGCATATGGAGGCATGAATACTTTGAGTAGCATTAATGAATAAATGAATGAATAAGTGTGTGCATAGCACTGATTGTGAAGAGGAAAAATCACAGGTTGGAACATTTTCAAAAGGCTTTTGTAACAGTGAGATAAAATGACATAGTGACTGATCATGTATGGAGGGAAGAAAATAATAAAAACTGATTTTAGGTTTATTATTAAAACTTTGGAGAATGGAGATATTATGTCTTTAGAAATAGAGGAGTTAGATAAGGGACCAGGATTGACATGGGGAAGGGAAATGTCAACATTGTATAGGCATGTTGGGCTGGAAGTGATACTGGGGCCTCCAGATGAACACAAAGGAGACAGCAGGAGAGAAGATAGGAGGTCAGAATAGGAGGTCAGGACAGAGGTCAGAGCTGGGGGTAGGGATGCTGGAATTCTCTTCTAGTAGGTGTGATATTTGCTGTAGGAGAAAATTAGATATCTGAGGGATGGAGTGGAAAGAGAATCCAAGAATGGCTGAAAAATGTCGCTTGATGAGAAAGCAGTCTTTGTATGAGTTTGGTGGGTTTGACTAAATATACTTTAGTCACATAGAAAGCTAAATTAGTTATGGTACCATTTCCAATGCCATATGCCAACTCCTAATGACCACTGTTTAAAAATACTACTGTCTGAAAGCAAAGAATAAATTTTTCTTTGTGATATAGAGATCCATCCATTTATCCACCCATCTATCCATCCATTTATTCATCCACATCCATTTACCTGTTCATCTCTCTATCCATCCATCCATCTTTCTATTCATCCATCCATCCATCCATCCCTTAACCACCTATGCACCCACTCACCCATCCACCCACTCACCTATCCATAATCTCTGCAACATTTATGGTTATTCTAGAATAAGCTAAGGAATAGGGACTTTTTAGCACTACTGATAAATCTTTACACTCAAGTGAAATTTTCCTTGGAGCAAAAGTGTCAAACAGATCTAAACCCTAAAACTGATGTTTGGACCTTTTCCCTCTTACTTCTTCAGCACCTGGGGAAATAAACCTGAAAAAGGGATTGCAGAGCCTTCAGAGGTCAGATGTCAGTCTTAAAAATGTTTTATAAACCTCAAAAGTGAACTTTAGGCACTTCACTCTTCTTTCTCTCAGCAATTCCATCCTTCCTTCTTTGTCTCCAGGGTCTAGAGCTTGCTTATTTCCCTGCCTATGTGAAATATAGTGATTGATATTTGTTAATATGGGCAGGTGATCTATGAGCAGAGAGAGTCCCATTGTGGTGGTTGGTGGGAAGTGGGGTTGGGTGAGCTGTTTCACGGGTGGAATTTTCATTCCAGATTCTGGAAAGGGTAATATGAAAAATGTGTAGGGGTGGGGGCATCCAAAGGAACAGGAGAAGAAAACTCCACCTGGTCTGTTGCTTAGGTCTGGGATGGTGGGAGATCCCTCTCTATCTCTTCCTTCTTCCCCCCTTCGACCTCTATTTTCTCTTCTTTCTTTCTTCTCCTTTGGGGCTCTTCTGACCTCTCTATGCTGGAGTGAAATTACTGACCCATTCCAGTTCAGCCTTCTTAGAGGTTTGGGGTCAGCTGTGTTTCCTCTTCAGTGGGGATGACAGTGGGTTCAGCTCAGTCTCTATCTCTCCTGTGTGCTTGGTCCCTGTCCTGTGATACCAGATGAGGAAGATTAGAATGGTCTGTGCTTCAGGAAGGGGAACATCACACTCTGGGGACTGTTGTGGGGTGGGGGGAGGGGGGAGGGATAGCTTTAGGAGATATACCTAATGCTAAATGACGAATTAATGGGTGCAGCACACCAGCATGGCACATGTATACATATGTAACTAACCTGCACATTGTGCACATGTACCCTAAAACTTAAAGTGTAAAAAAAAAAAAAAGAATGGTCTGTGCTTATAGCAGGGTGGAAAACTTACCTTTTTCCTCCTTATCAGTCAGTTTAAGGAACCAACCGTAAGGGGCATTTCTGAAGGGCTGCATTTGCACTGAGTCTGCCCACATATGTGTCCCAGTGGCACCACCTTCTCACCGTGTCTACTTGCTTTTTCTTCTGTTCCAGATTGTACAAAAATATGATATCCCACAACCTGTTGTATCCTCATGGTAATTTTCCCTTCTGTAACCACTTCTCCTTTGGAGCCCTCCTATTACCAGCTCAGTGTAGCTCTGCCCAAGCCTAATCTTCCCAGATGATAGGTTGGTCTCCAGTCCAACCCCCTAAATAAAACAAAACCTAGAATAAAATCAGTAGCCTCAGAGTTTCATTCTCTTGGGATCCTTTTGCAGCTGGCCATCTGCACTGGTCAAAATTTATTTACTTTATAAAAGGAACTTGGAGTGATATGCTTTACCTTGAAAGACCAATAAACACTGTACTTGGCTAATAAGGATATATTTTGGGTGGAGGCTCTTCCCATAGTCCCTCTAGGCTCTTTATGATACTTACTGTGGCAATGCTGGTCTTTGTACAAGTCTTAGCAGTTAAGAGCATGGATTTTGGAACTGAACAGGCTTGGTTTGAATCTGGCCTTGTGAGTCCTCATTTGTATAACCGTAGATAACTTCTTTTACCTTTTAAAGCCTCAGTTTATGCATTACCAAAATGCTGATGTTATCTGTCTCATAGGGCTGATGTGAAGGTTAAATGGGATAGTAACAATAGCTATTTACCTATGGATGCTTAGTGTGTACCAGGAACCAGCCTAAATGGTCTCTACAGGAGCTGCATAATTTTGTGCTTATGATAACTGTATTATGCCCACTTGGCAGTGGAGGAAGTTGAGGCTAAGAGGGTTAGCTTGCCCAAAGATACATAGTTAGCAAGTGGCAGAACTGGGGATGACTCTAACAGTATGACTCTGCAGGCTTTCTCTCAAATGGTTCACCGTACAGCCTAGATTATGAGTCCAGACTTTGGCATGTGGTTAGGACTCAGTAATTGTCACCTATTATTGTATACTGCCCCCCCCGAAGCCCAAATTTAGTCAGCACTTTTACTCATTTATTTACTCATTAAATTTTTAGAATGTAAGCTTGATGAGGGCAGGAATGGGATTTTTGTCTGCTTTGTTTACTGTTGCATCTCCAGTGCTTATAACAGTGTTTGGTGTAGAATAGTCAAAACATTCACAAATGAATGCATCTGCTCACTCATTCATCCATTTATCATCAAAGATATTGAGCACCTACTATGTGCCAGACTCTGTGTCAGGTGCTAGGATAAGATAGCATCCCTTACCAAGAGGAGATCATAATCTGGTGAGGGAAACAGATTTATGAACCAGTAACTCAATTTAAATATATGTTTCAGGGTGTTACCAAATACTAGGGCAAGTTGAGGGGACAGTTCTCTTTTCTTTTAAGCTGCTGCCTAATTTTCATTTAGTGCTGTCAGCTGATATTCTTCTAGTCAGCAAATTCCTATCAGAGTTATCTTGCATTCAGCTGGATGAGGTGTAATTTCCTGCAAAGAGAAGGCAGGAGGCAGGGCTGTAATTGAGAGTGTTCTGCCATGCCAGTTGTCCACTGCACAACTCTAGGGGGTGTCATTAATGTAGACTATGATGGGAATGGTGCCATCATAGTTTTGCAATGTGGTGGACCTGTGAAAGCTGCCTTTAATTCAGAGCCTAGGAGATTGGAGATGATTTACATAAAACCTTTGAAGGTACTTACCAATGCACTTTCTGGATCACAGTGACCTGTCTAGAGGGCAGGACATGGTCAGACAGTAAGCAGTGTGAACAGACTGCATTGCTAAAAGAAATGAGCTCTACGGGGGTATCATTGCTGCTTAAGCCCAACTGGGTGTGGGCCACAGTGATGTCATCAGGGACATGAGTATGACTTCTAGGTTTTCTCTTATGCAAACTTGGGCCTCTTTTATTTGCCACATATCTCAGCACTATATTGGAGTCTGGCAAAGCGGGCTGCAAGCTCAGCCTTTGGCAACCTTTTGGGAAGGAAATTAGCAGGATTTTTTTAAACCAAGTCTTCTTATGCTTTCCCAGGTCTCTCTTACTGGGTGGGGAGGTGGAAGGGGTGAGGAACTTCTGATATTCATCACCCTGGGATGGCGGGGACTCAGTGCTAAGGGTACACTGAGATTTTAGCAGAAGACTGGAAAATAGCAATACTTGCTCCAAAAGGGAGGAGGATGCTTCAATAAGTGATTTAAGTCTTGCTGACTAGGCTATGTTCCTTACATTACATTAATTTGTCTAATGTAAGGTGTCCCTTACATTAGAACTTGTGGATCTGCCCTGTTTCTGGATATGGGGGCTCTTCATAAGCCCCATAAGGGGACCCCATAAGTGGTCAATTCTGAGCCTTTATATCTAGGATCTAATGCCACCATAAAGGCTTTTGAGGCACACCCCAAGCTTAGCCAATGTTTTTCACCTGGCTCACTCTCCTTTTCTTATATTTGGATCTTCTCCCATGGCAACTTAGTTCCTGTCTTTTGTCTTGGGGGCTCCAACAAATGGGTAAGAATTTCAGAGTATGGTGGAAAGAACTCTGCTTTGGAAAATTGGGAAAATTAGCGCACCATTCTGCAAAATTATTTCTAGATTTTGGCTCTGCCACTCATCGACCATGTAAGTTTTGGAATAGTTTTCTTTTGTGGGTTATCATTTCTCCATCTGTAAATGATATCGTATAACTTAGGAGGAGGTTCTCCTCCTAGACGTTTTATGAGGATGCAATGGTCTGAATTTTTGTGTCCCTCCAAATTTCATATGTTGAAATCTAATCCCCAAAGTAATAGTATTACAAGGTAAGGCCTTCAAGGCAACTATTAGTTCATGAGGACCCCACCCTCAAGAACAGGATTTAGTGCCTTTATGAAAGAGGCCCAACGTAGCTTGCTTGCCTCTTTCACCATGTGAGGACACAGTGAGAAGATGGCCATCTATGAATTAGAAAGTGAACCTTCACCAGACACTAAATCTGCTGGGACCTTAATCTTGGACTTTCCAGCCTCTGGAACTATAAGAAATAAATTTCTGTTGTGAGTTTATGATATTGTTATAGAAACCTGAATGGACTAAGACAGAGGATAAACCAATATAATAAACGAGAAGGTGTTTGAAGTAGTATTTGTGCTATATGTGAAATATGGTTGCTTGTTGGCTGTTTCAGCACAGTTTGGCTTGATCTCATGGATCTGTGGACACAGAAAGGTGCCTTTTAGTTCCCAGACATCAAGGATTGAGCCCCACCTATGGAAAGGAAATAGTGGCAGCAAAAAGCATTTTGAGTCTGTTTTGGAATAACAATGAAAATATTTCATTAGGTCTGGATTCCTAATGGACTACATTAGTTAGAATAATACTGGTTGCTGTAAGAACTACATTTCAAAAGTATCAGTAGCTTAAAATATTAGAAGTTTATTTCTCCCTGTCACAGTCAAATGTATTGTTGCGAGTGAGTTTTTTCCTTGAACTGTTTAGGGACCCAGGTTTCTTCCACTTTGCAACTTCACCATCCCCCCAGGGCAGTGGTTCCAGTCTTGGCTGATCATGTGAATCACCTGTGGAGCTTTAAAAACTGATGCCGGGATCCTAGTCCAGAGATTCTGGTTTAATTGGTTTTCGGTGTGGCGCTTGTAATGGGATTTTAAAAGGCTCAGGGGAGTCTAATGTGTAGTCAGCGTTGAGAACCACTAGCGTGTTTTGGAGTTCTTTTGGCTACAGAGAGGGAAAGAAACAGTGAAGATGGTGAATTTCCTTCTTAAAAACCTCAGCCCATGGTTGATGAGGACATCTGCTCACATTTCACTGGCGAGAGTAGCTGCATGGCTGCCCTGAGTGCAAGGTAGGCTGTGAAATGTAGTCTTAGGTTGGGTGATACTTTCTAGCAGTGGCTTTATACTATGGCGAGGGGACATGCATTTTGGTCATTTATTTATTTGTGTCCTGGGGCCAACAGGTTGACTTCCCCAGACCCTGTGAGACCTGACCTGTGGCACAGAAGCTTAGGGCTGTTGTTAATTCAAAGAGCCCGTATTGGGGTGGGGGTATGTGTGAGAGGAATGGGTATCACCTGTTTGCCCTGGATTTGGGAGCCATACCCACCCCACATTCTTGTCAATGTCCAGAGGGCAGTTTGTTGTAATAAAGAGTGTTGTTTTTGTAAGCAGGCAAACTTGGTTAAAATCTTCACTTACTGCTTACTAAGCTTGTGATTTTTGGGTGTGTTAGTTAACATCCTTAATCTTCATTTTTCCCAAAAGTAAAATATGTATAATTATGTCTATGTTGAAAGGCTTTATAATAACGATACAAAAATGCCTACCTTGTCTTTAAATAAGATAATGTCTGTTATGATGCTGGAAAGGACAGGCATAGAGCAGAGGTGGGATCTTTGCAGACTCTTCTCACTGAAGGGAGTTGGGAGGGGCTCTCTGTAGTGGCTGGGAAAGAGGGAGTGAGGAGAGAGGCTGTTTTACTGAGAGGCTGAGAAACAGCCTCAGGACCACACTTGTCCTATAAGATTGGTCAGGATGCTCCCAGCAGGCTGGAGCCTCCTCTAAAGTTGGGGATCAGGCTCCTCTTATCAGCCCAGGGACACCAGGTATGAGCTGCCATCCATTTTCTCTGGATCCTCCCAGTACTAACTGCCCCCAGTAAGGAGGAGACCTTCCTCCTGGAGCCCTGTGCAGCTTGGATGTGAGACTTCCTTCTAGGAACAAAACTGTCTGAACAGGGGAGGGGCCCATCCTGATTCAGGATGGAGGCACCTGCTGGGGCTGCTGGGGCTGCCGCCTGGGGCTGTAGATAGGGAGAGATGGCAGAGATAGTAGGAAGCCTTCCTGTTAGTGCCAACAAAAGAATAGCTGGGCACAGATAATGCAGCCTGTCATTTCCTAGCCTGGAGTGTGACAAGACTGGCTTTGTGTGGCTCAAATTAATTCTGTGTGTGTCTGTGTGTCTGGTATTCAGGGAGGGGTGGGGAAAGGCCATGGAAGGAGGGAGAGGCTGGGGCAGGACTGGGAATCTGACAGAGATAGTCTTTTGGGACTTTCCCATTTCCTCTTTCTACACCCCTTTCCTCTTCAGCTACCCAGCTCCTTTGGAATTCCTCCACATCCCTTCCCTTGGTTGACCTGCAGTAAGCTGGGGGTAGGATTATCCTAGGTTTTTCCTAGAATGATTTCCTCTTAAGAGCCCAAGACAGCAAAAGTGAAGCAGCATCTGCTCAGAGGCCACTGCTTACCAGCTGATGCTATCATTGTGTCTGACATTCCAGGCAGATGGCATCAATGCCCCTTGGGAAAAATCTTGCTCACATTGTTGTTTATCTTTTGCGGCCCTGAAACCCTCATCTTTTTGTTGTTCCTGGTATTCAGAGTCTGTAGGGAAAGCTTCTGTCATACAAGTTGCTGAAAATGATGTCAAACACCTACTGTGTGCAATGTACTGTGCTCAACATACTTTCTAGTGATGGTTCAAGCTTCACAGCAGATGTTCAGGATATCTATTTTTACCCCATTTTTACCACTGAGAAAAATAGTCTCAGAGAAAGTAAGGGATGTGCCCAGGGTCACGTGGCTTGTTAAAAGGTGCAAAACTGTCTGTTTTCAAAGTTGTCTCCTGCATGCTCTGATTCCCAGCTGGTTTTCTAAAACATCTTTGTAGATGAGCAATGAATTATTATATATAAGAAATGGGATGCTATTTATGAGACAGAGTTTTGCAGTCCTAAACTCAAACATACTGTTCTCTATCCTTTTGGAAAACATGATGGTTCTGTATCAGTGGTTAGAAAACCTAAACCCTAAGATCCCGACATGCCTACTGTGCCTCCTTGACCTAAGATGACACCCTATTATTCTGGTACCATCATCAGCAAGCCTGTTCCCTTTTCCCTGCTCCTTCTGACCATCCAGTATGGGTCAGTCTTACTTTTTTTATTTCTAAACTATGCTCTCTGACAGTTCTAAGCTGGTATTCCACCAAGAGGATGTGGCAGTGGTGGCATGAGTCCTCAGATATGGAATGATCAGAATTTCTGGAGCGATGTTTTTATTTTTTTAAAAAAAGCATATTCAGTATTATAATTTGATTTGTTTTAGTCATGATACTTAAATTGTGATAATGTGTATGAGTCCATTCTCACACTGCTAATAAAGACATACCCAAGACTGGGTAATTTATAAAGGAAAGAGATTTAATTGACTCACAGTTCTGCATGGCTGGGGAGGTGTCAGGAAACTTATAATCATGGTGGAAGGGGAAGCAAGCACATCCTTCTTCACATGGCAGCAGCAAGGAGAAGTGCACAGCAAAGGTGGGAAAAATCCCCTTATAAAACCATCAGATCTCGGGAGAACTCATCATCATCAGAACATTATGTAGGTAACCGCCCCTATGATTCAATTATCTCCAATCAGGTCCCTCCCATGACACTTGGGGATTATGGGAACTACAGTTCGAGATAAGATTTGGGTGGGGACACAGCCAAACCGTATCATAATGTTAAATAATATTAAAGGAATACATGAATACATGAAATACCAGTTTATCAAAAAGCACCACAGACTAAAATTTTAAGAAGTATAGTAATTTACAATAAGGTTTGAAAGATGAATATAAAGTGTCTCACCTTTCTCAGAATATTTTAACTTTAACATGTGGCTATGACAAAGGAATGATGGGATTTCTACGGTGGGTCAGGCCAATGAGAGAAATGGGGGAGAGACATTTTAGGAGTAGGAGGCTTTTCAGCGGCCCCAAATTGTACTCCATGGGGCCCAATGAAGGGGCTGAAAATGTTATGGGGAGATTCAAGTCCTTTCTGCTCTTTTTGACTCTCTCAGTGGTAACTTTGACTCCATGAAGGTTCTCTGCTCCTAGGGAAGCTGCTCTCAGGCCAGAGTGTTTGTGGTGGGGGATGAAGACGTGAAGGACAGAAGACCTTGTTTGGGGTGGAGAGAGAACCCATTGGATCATTTTGCTCTAATTGAGAGGACTTAACTTGACTGTGGTTGTAGCCATTTTGCTTATAACCAGTAGGGGGAAGAAACAGGACTTGTGAGGGAGAGAGAACACAACCTTCTCTAGATCTAGATTAACTCATTGCGGAGGTTCGTTCTGTGCCCCTGGAGGCAAATACTGGCAGGCTCATGGCCTTTGTGCTTATCTTTAGGAAATAGACAGTCGGGTGGACACCGTCATTCACACAGACTCAATTCAGAAATGAGAATAGCCAGTCTAAAATATATGTATATCAAAATTCTGAAGTGGACCAACTGAAATATTTCCCTGCTCCACCCTCAAGATTGCACCTCCTCACTGTGGGAGTTTTTGAGTGGGAATGGGGGATCTTGCTCTATGTTCCCCTCCACTCCCCCACTACCTTTTTTTTTTTTTTTTTGGCTGCTGTTTTGATACACCATGAATTGGTGTGAGAGGGAGGGACAGAAGAGGACAGTTTTTATTGGCTGGGTGGATATGTGCTTCGCTTCCGGGGACTGGAAAGTGGTTAAAGCGAAGTTTCTCTCTGTTGAGTGCTTTTGTAGGCTCTCTGGGGTTCTCCAGCTGGGCCTCTCTCCTTGTTCTCTTATTCCAGGTGTTCCCTTGGGACTCCTGCCTCAGCTTTTAGACACTGGATATACTGCCAGCCTCTTACTGGCATCCCTCCCAGGGCCCACGAAGACCTCATGTCTGTTTTCTTTCCTGGGTGGCTCACATGTCACTCATGGGCTTGTTCCTATGCAGCAGCCTCTTTCAGCTGTCACCACGCAGTTGCTTTTTACTCAAATTCTACATTTCCTGTGCCACAGTCAGACCTCAGTCTACAGTCCTTTTGATCTTCCTCAGACATGAGCCAGGCACCAGTCCCCAGTGTTCTCCTGTTGTAGAAGCCATAGTACAGAGCATCCTGAGTGGTTGCCTTGGAGGCCCTCTTTGGTGAGTTGTTAGAGGCAGCTCATCCTTATCCCTGAAAAGAGAGTGGAGTGGCGAATCACAGCCTAAAACCACTCCCTCCAAAGAAATTTTTAATTTTAACATGTGGCTATGACAAAGAATGATGGGATTTCTACAGTGGGTCAGGCCAATGAGAGAAATGGGGGAGAGACATTTTAGGAGTCTCTCTCAATCAATTTAAGATCCTTCTATGACTCAATTTTATATCCTTAATCTGGTTGAGGGGTTCATGCCTCAGGGAACAGATTTGTCTTCATTCTCTTTGTAAATTCTTACACTGTGCATGTCGGCCTGGGAGGTCTGCCTTCCATTTCCTTTGATATACTGATATCTATCATTTTGATGCCTAAATTAAAAACTGAAGACAAACGACCGATATTAGGACAGATGTGTTCTGTTCTAATACCCTGTGCATGATCCATCTGATGTTGGCTGTTATTCTTCAGGTACACTGTCTCTCTGAGTGGAGACACAGGAGTCTTAACAGTGATACGAGCATACCTACCACGCCACATACCTGCCATATCCACAGAGCAGTAGGGTTTTGGGATGGTGCAGCTGAAAAGGGCAGAGGATATCAGGGTGGGATTGGGGGATAAGTGGGTGGAGGAAAGGGGCCTCATATCTCCCATGGTGATAGAGTTCTTTAGATGAGACTTTGGATCCATATGAGCTGACTGCAGTATCCTAGGGAGGGGGTATAATCTTTGGATCACATTAGCCTAAATCCTAAGCCCACTGGCACTTAGCAAGGACAAGCTACCCACCTAGAAAGAGCAGGAGGTGTCTGTGATGCTAATGCCTTGGCTCACACTGAGGAACCTCCAAAGCCTATCTTTCTCCCTGGCCCTGATTCAGCCTTTTCTTAGCTCCTTGCTGAGTTACAGCTCTGTGTCCTGTTGAAGTAGAATATAAAGATGGGCTGAGCTGCCCGGGCTTATGAAGCTTTCAAAGGCAGAGCCCAGGCAAGAGCATAGGTTGCTTGATACCTGAATGCTGGAAGTTCCAGGGAATGTTCCCATTGCCAAGAAATGCCTCCCATAGTGTACACATTTTGCCTAGTGGAGAACTTCACTTACCCCTTAGGGTGAGAGCCTCAGTGCAGAGCTCTGAGGCTCATAAACTCCTTCAGAACCTCAGAGCTTTGGTCTGTTGACTCCTTGCCTTTGAAGCAGCATCACACAGGGGCTCGGAAGCCTGTCCCTGGAGTGAGGGGACCGACATTTGAATCTCTACGTTTAAATTGCAAGTTGTAACATGGTGAAAACCCGTCTCTACTAAAAATGTCAACATTAGCCTGGGTGTGGTGTCAGGTGCCTGTAATCCCAGCTACTCAGGAGGCTGAGGCAGGAGAATCCCTTGTACCTGTGAGGCAGAGGTTGCAGTGAATCGAGATCATACCACTGCACTCCAGCCTGGGTGACAGAGTGAGACCTTGTGTCAAAAAAATACAATATAATACATAAATTGCAAGTTGTACAACCTTCAGCAGGTGACTTGTTTCCTGGGCCTTAGTTTTCCCATCTGTAATTTGAGAATAATGGCAACATGATTATGAGATAATCCATGTAAACCCTAAGGCACATAATTATCTCTTTAACTGTTACTTTTATCAAATTACTTTGTAGCAACCCACAGAGAGATACACTTGGCACTTAACAAACACAAAGCAACCACAACCAAACACACATACACACACACATAGACACACACACACCATGCACATATACAAAACCTTCTACAAGTGATGGAGGTAGTGTAGGAGAATCTGTGTTGGGAACAGACCCTTAATTTGACAAACACAGAGTTAATAATATTCACGCTCATGTGATTTTAACACAATGAAGCACTGTCCCCTTCCAACGGAGTACACATTGTTCGTCTTGCTTGAAAGTGTATTTTCCTAAAAGTAGCTTGGATTAGCGAGCAGGGGTCAGTGATAAGCAATCTCACTTAACTGGATATCCTGTTTGGGAACCATGTCTGATGTCCAGTTTCCTTACTCCACACCTCCCAACCCCTGAACCCCTTCTACCATCTTGTTAATATTTACGGTTGCAGTTTGCTCTTCCAGTACAAAATGCCAGAAGTGTTCTCGAATTGCCTCATAAAATAAACTCAATTTAGAAAGCTTTATTCACTAAGGATTTATTAGCTCTTCACACTCTGGAAGCCTGAAGTTTTATTTTGAGCCAGTTAGTTGTGCACCCAAATCGGCTGAGTAGTTCTACCCTTGAGACAACAGGCCGGTTGGAGGCAAGAGTTTTTGAGCTGCCAACAACTTCCCCTTTGGCTTAAGGTCACGCGCGCGCGCGCGCGTGTGTGTGTGTGTGTTGTAGAGGTGGGTGCTACTTTTCCAGGGTGTAGCCATCCACATATACCCTGAAAGCCCAAAGGCTGACCCAGAAAGGCTGAAGTTTTAACCACTAGGTGTTGGGAATAGGGGTGGGACAGATGTTTCTACAGATTCATTGCCCACAGTGATTTCCAGTAAAATTTACAGATAGTACAAGCTCTATATGTGGTCAGAGGGATGATGGGAGTAATGAGGAAAGGTCACACATGAAGAGTTAAATCCCAGTGGGAGGCAACCTTGCCAATGTGGTCTCAAGGGGCTGGATGAATAACTGAGCCCAGAGCAGAGAAGGACATGTCAGAGTGGGTTGGTTAGGGAAGACTTCATGTCATAAAAAGACAAGATTTTAACTGGATCTGCAAGCTTGGGTTTATTTGGACAGGCAAAGAGGAAGAGGAAACACTTTGAGGATTATTAGAAAGACCTCCCTTTGGTTTGGATTTCAGCCAGGACTTGTCTGCCACTGTAAGGAGAAACTTATCAATTTCAGAACTATGTTCAGTTTTAGCTACATACACTCAGACCAACTATCTGGGAACGTCAGGAAAAAAAGGAATTATCAGAAAGCTATCTCTATCTCTTCCTACTTTTTACTCTCCCACCTAAGGCTTAAAAACTAAGTAACTAATGCGGGCTAAAGGAAAAATACATTTTGTAAGTTACATAAGTATTTAGTAGCAACCTATCTCCTGAATTTTTTGGGAGGCGGGGAGGTACTTCAACATCTGGAAAACATCATCAGATATGGAAGTCAGTGCCAAAGACCTCTGAGGACAAAGGAAAGGAGCTGTCACAAGGCCTGTCTGTGAAGTCACTCTGCAGGAAACAATAGCAGAGATGTCTTCTGGCCAGAATCTATTTTGAATTAGTTTTGTGAAAATTGAGGTTGCTGATGTGGCAAAGCCCAGGCAAGGGAGGAATGAGGGTGGAGGGAGGGAGGGCTGCTTGAAGCTGACACTCCAAAAAGTTCCCGAAAAGAGGAAGAACATAGCAGAATCTGTAGTCTGAAGCCACTCAATGTAGAAGCAGTCTTGTGTCTCGGTTATGACCCTGGACTATAAAGAAAAAGCTAAAAGATGTACATTTTGTTCTGTGTAGTAAGTTAGAAAAGAGTTTTAGAAAGATTTCTATAAAAGTTGGTCAACAATGTTGACATATCAAAGGGGAAGTCTCAGATGTCCACATCGGAGAGAAGGGAGTGGGCCCGTGCTGAGAGCTTACTCTGTTAGGTGCTCTCAACTATTGTATCATTCGGCCATCACAGCTCTGGTGAGGTATTCTTATTCCATTTTTCCTTTGGGGAAACTCAGGCTCAGAGATACTAGGTAACTTGCCTGTAGTCAAATAGTAGCTGAGGAAGGATTTGAACCTACTTCTTAGGACATTACAAATCATATCACCATTTATGTAGAAACTTTGTTTTTCAACGATGTGCAGGACAGGTTTTGTTGTTCCACTTTGTGGGTCCTCTTTCAGGCTGCTTGAAATAAAGCTGTCTGAGGACAGGCACTGGCTTGGTTTAATGTGAGTAATTAGTGCCTCGTGCCCCCTGATATTTAATGTTTTCCAAGGCTAGAAGGAGAATGAGAAGTGGTAATTCATCTACAATGACTTGCACATAATAAGAATTCAATAAATGTTATCTCTCATCATGATGATGATATGAAGATGACTAAATAATCTCTGCCTGAAAGGATTTCCTCTGACAGACTATTGATTTCTGCCAAAGGATAAAGATTGTCATCTCAGCATCATTAGTTATGAAGCATTTATAAAATGAAGGTGAGGAAACAGGCTCTGTAGCCCAGAGCTTAACTCCCTGTTCTGCTGTCTCCTAATAGTGCTACAGAGCTCACCTGTCATGTAATGGAAGGCAAAGTATATCTATTAGTAGTTTTTGTTATTTTAGGCAATGAGAAACATTAGAGGTTTTTCTCCTTTTAGAGCTATAATAACTTTCTAAATAGTCTTGTGGAGGTTTTCTTTGGGAATATACACAGCTTTTCAATTCTGCTGAGTGACAAATCTTCTCTTAGCTAGTAAGAAGCTGTCCTTTTGCATAGCCGAAGCTCATCCTCACTTGACCAACCCCTCCATTCCTTTTGTGAAGACAAAATACTATGCATAGTGAAGTTCCCATTTGGGGCTAAAGGCAGATGAGGGGACAGCATCTTTTAGCCTTGACTTCCACACTAGAACACCAGAAGGGGAGTTAATTACCCATTAGATTGTGCTGAAAGTAATTGCTAGAAGCCTTCAGAGTGGGGACAGAATTGATGCCTGGGATGAAGTGGTCAGGTAGGTTTCTTGGAGGACACAGTCCTGAACTAGTGGGGCCCAAAATAGTCCTCAAGGCAGATAAAAGCCAGACTTAAACGGTATGAATCTCAACTCTGCCACTTACTAGTGACCTTGGTGGCTTTCTGCATCTTTCTGTGCATCGGTTTCTTCATTTATAAAAATAGGAATAATAGTAACACCTACCTCATAGATTGTTTTGAGGATTAAATGAATTGGTATATCTCAAGTGCTGAAAACAGTGCCTGACACATAGTAAAAGCTGAATGAATATTAGGTAATTTTATTAAAGACTGGGGAGGTTTGGGTAGT
Organism: Homo sapiens; assembly: GCF_000001405.40. Classification (NCBI taxonomy): domain Eukaryota; kingdom Metazoa; phylum Chordata; class Mammalia; order Primates; family Hominidae; genus Homo; species Homo sapiens. Next base: position 48,908,557 of record NC_000002.12, read on the forward strand.
CAGAGAGGAGAAGCCAGATCTCAGAGGCAGGAAAGAGAATTCAGGTTAAATTTACCTTCCCTCCCAGCCAAGGCAGGAGACCTGACTCTTCCCATTCCCCAGTGACACAGCCGAGGGCAAAATGTTTTCCTATTGACACCCCTGAAGACATAAGTGAGTGACTCCCTTGGTGGCTGCAAGCTGGTAAGCAGTTTTTGGAAGAGCTTAGTTTGTTTTTTTTTGGAATGTATTTGGGCCTGGGGAAATGCTGGCCCTGAGGGGCATATTTATTTCTCTTAGAAAACATTGCTTGTTGGAAATTCAAGACTTGACTACTCAGCTTCACTCAAAGCCATGCTTGAGCCCAGCTATTGGTTTCCATATGAGACTTCAGGGAAGACCTGGGTCTCGCCTGAGGTTGGATCTGTTCTTAAAGACACCATACGGGTTCTTTTAAACATGAAATAGGCATTTATTGATCATCTTCAATATGCTATGTTTCTGCCTTTGTGGAGCTCACAATTTATTAGGTGACATAGTAAAGTAAAGAGGCAATTGCATTGTAATGTGACAAATTTTCTCATGGGAGAAGTGTAGGACACCATGGAAGCAAGTGGGAGACGCAGCTCGTCCAGTCCAGGATGGTGGAAGAAGAAACATGTAAATGAAGACCCAAAGGAGGGCCGGGTACGGTGGCTCATGCCTGTAAATCCAGCACTTTGGGAGGCCAAGGTGGGCAGATCACCTGAGGTCAGGAGTTTCAGACCAGCCTGGCCAACGTGGTGAAACCCCATCTCTACTAAAAATACAAAAAATTAGCTGGGCATGGTGACGCATGCCTGTAATCCTGGTTACTTGGGAGGCTGAGGCAGAAGAATTGCTTGAACCCAGGAGGCAGAGGTTGCAATGAGCTGAGATCGGGGCACTGCACTCCAGCCTGGGCAACAAGAGTGAAACTCCATCTCCAAAGACCCAGTGGAGGAGGGTTTAGCCTAAAGCTGTGGGGTTTGGGGAATGGGTGGGATTGTGGAAAGTAGAAGGAATGTCTATGAGGCTGTGAGTACTGACCTGCTGATGTGGGCTAAGGTTAATACTGTGTGTGCATATATGCATATGTGTTGTATATGTGTGTAAGGGGAAAGAAAGATGAGATGGGATGGTGCACTTTAGGATAGTCAGAAAGACCTGATCTGGATTAAGGAGGAAAAAGTCAGTTTTTGTAATGTCTTACTGGCCAACTTTGGGTAAGTCCCTTCACTTGTATGGAACTTGTAAAATGGAGAGAGTAATAATATAAATTTGGCCTATTTCCTAAGGCTATTTCATAATAGTACTCTGAAAGCACTTAAAACTTATAGTAGTACACATATTTAAAGAGAATCATTGTCATGTTACTATTTCATTTGGGAATCATGTTATGATTTCATTTAGACTATAAATCTGTAGTACTAGGAATATGTGAGTGTGAATGATTAGGAATCATCATTATGAATAGTATCTTTAATATTTCCACTGCTATCATTAGAGGCAGAGAAGTAGAGCCTCTGTTTATGATGGTGGGCAGTGTTTGTAAGTGGTCGACCATTCCTCCTGCCATTCCACCTGTCCCCACCTCCTCCACCTACTTACACACAAAGGTGGTGACAGAATATATTAAAAAAATGGAGGCTATGTTTCTCCAAATCCAGTTTACAGAATAGCAATTCTTGTGATTACTTTTCCATTATTGGTTTACAGTTATTACTTGGTCAGATGGGTCAGGCAATGGCGGGAGCACTGTGGATGGTGGCATAATATGATACAGAAGGGAGACTTCCCTGCAGAGGGATGATGGGGAGGACTTCAAAGACAAGCTCCAGAAATAGGGCATATGGAAGCCAATCTGGTCGTCAGAAAAGTCTATTAATCTTCCATTCTGACTGGAAGGCCACCATGTGAACTTGGCAGGTTTTCTTTCTCAAAGCCTCAGTTTCTTTATCTTTAAATTGGAGATAATAATACCAATTTTATATATAATAAGTATGTCAGATTTTATGTAACTCATCAATAAATGAGGGAACCAGTGAGATGACATAACTGGCTTACAGAACAATTCAAAGAACCACACATAATATAGGCAATAAGGAATGCCGAAATGAATGTACAAATAAGTGCAAGCTGAGTCTATTAAAAGGCAACAATCGATTGCATTCCGCTGGGCAGATTCATTTGCATTTCAGTGGATGAAAGTTATTTGCATCGTTGTCAGTTTTCTGCATTTTACAGTGTTGAGGAATAGCTAAAAATGATCATAACCCAGATCATGGCTTGTTTTCCATTTATAATACTCAGTAATCTTTTTGGTCCATTTTAGTCTTTTTTACAATTTTCCCTCACTTAATTAAGTAGAGATAATGCATACAGAGTGCTCGACAAAGAGTAAGTGCTCAATCAATGCTAGCTATTATAAAAATCATTTAAATAATAGTAATAATAAAAATTTTCTGCACTGCTGGCAGAGTTATCTCTCCAAAGTACAGCTTTAGCCATGATAGCTTCTTCTCACATTCAGTGACTCATCATTGTCTCTGAAATAAATTCCACACTTCTTAGCTAGATATTTAAAGTTCTTTGATCTGTCTCCATCTAAACTTGCCAGTCTATTTTCTACACATAACTCCTTGCAAGATCTGTCATGATGACTAGAGTTTTACCATTTGGGATCAATCTTTTTTGATAATGAAGAGTTTGGGGTCTCTAAGTGCTCCCTCTGAAGATGCAAATGTCACTAAGAAAGGATTTTGCCCAGAAATGATCTGGCAGCAACACAGTTGCCCAAATTAGCAAGTGTATTAGTATGCTTGGGCTGCCATAACAAAATGTTTAAGCTTGGGTGGCTTAAACAACAGACATTATTTTTTCTCACAGTTCTAGAGGCTGGGAAGTCCATGATCAAGGTGCTAGCTGATTCGGTTTCTCATACTGGCTCTCTCCCTAGTGCAGATAGCCATCTTGTTGCTGTGTCCTCACATGGCCTTTCCTCTGTGCATGTGGAGGGAGAGAGAGATTTCTGATGTTTCTTCCCCTTTTGATAAGGACCCCAGTCCTATCATATTTAGGTGCCCACCCTTATGACCTCATTCAACCTTAATTACCCTCCTCAAGGTCTTATCTCCGAATACAGTTACATCAAGGGGTTGGGATTTCAACATGTGAATTTTGAGGGGACACAATTCAATCTATACAGCAACATACTAGAAGATAGGGTGTAGTCAAGAATGGAGACTGGGGGCTGAGTGCAGTGGCTCACATCTGTAACCCCAGCACTGGGAGGCCAAGGTGGAAGGATCACTTGAGCCCAGGAGTTCAAGACCAGCCTGGGCAACATGGCAAAATTGTATCTTTACAAAAAATACAAAAATTAGCTGGGCATTGTGGCGCATGCCTGTGGTCCCAGCTACTTGGAGGCTGAGGTGGGAGGATCACTTGAGCCCAGGAAGATGAGGCTGCAGTGAGCTGTGATTGTGACACTGCACTCAAGACTGGGTGACAAAGTGAGACCCTGTCTCAGAAAAAAAAAAAAAAAAAAAGGGAGAGAAACTGGGAAGGCCGGCTTCACCGTTGTTCCACAAAATTATTCTGCTGAGTTTTCTTTGAGATGAGATCAACACAACTCTTACTTGAAGGACTCTGAACGTGACTCCCATATTCCAGAACAGGAGTCTTAGCTGGGGAAGATGAAGTGTGGGACTGGGTTCTCTTCTGCCACTCTCTCAGCCTCCAGTGGGTGTCTCACTTAAGCTGAAAACTGGGGACAGCTGCCTAGGACTGGCTGAGATTTTCACTGAAAGACAAATGCCGAGAAATGCTTCTCTTAAAAGATTCCTAAGAATCTTTCCTAAGAATCCTTTTCCTAAGAAACCTTCTCTTAAAAGATTCCTAAGGTTCTGTAGTTTGCTCTTTTGAGTGTCTAAAACATATGATTTTCTTTGTTCATATATTTGATTTTTGTCCAGACATGTTTATTTTAAAGTTTTCCATTCATACCACTCTTTAGGGACATTATAGGGCATCATTTGGCTTAATTGAGACATCTAATCCATCACAACGCTAATAGGTTAAAAAAACTACAAAATAGATGCATGATTTAGGGGTAGCAAAACACTTGGAATTAACTAAATTAATTAATTATAAATTATTATAAATAAATTAAAGTTTTCGATTTGGGAAAAGTATTATTTCTTTTTCAAAGTGTGTTATATGCCAAACTCAATTACTAAGGTTTACAGGAAGACATTTGGGTAATTTCAGAAGCAATTGCAGTAGGTACTATCATATGAAATTGTCTGTTGAGTGGGTAGATAACACTTTCTATTATTATGGTTTGTTTATTGGGAGCCAAGAGGGATGAGAGTGTTAAGTGGTGTGCACATTAAGTTGAGGCAGTGAAACATAGTGAAAAAGAAAAAATAACTGGATTTGGAGGCTAATAGACAACTAGCTCTGTGACATTGGTTAAGTCCCTTAATTTTTAGGCCACAGTTGACTTATCTGTAAAATGATTGTTGATGACCTCTAAAGTTCTGTAGTAGTTAGGATAGTTTTAGCTGCTGCAATAAACTCCACAATTCCAGTGGCTCAATCCGATAGAAATAAACTTAAAATACTTTTGGCTGTTGAAGTTTTTTTTCTTTTTTAAATGAAATTTAAAATTGAAGTATGGGATGCATGCTGAAAAATGCACAAATCAAAAGCGTGTAGCTCAATTAAGTTATGAAAAAGTGAATGCCCTTGTAACAGCATCCCAGGAACATTTTCTATAGCTCTCCAATCACTCTCCCTCCAAATTCTTCAAAGCAACCACCATTCCGACTTTGAAAATCATAACTTAGTTTTGCTAGTGCTCATATACCATATAAATGAAATCATATATGGCCATTGATGTGCATAAAGTATGTATACTTTTGTGTTTAACTTCTCTGAAAGAGCTATAATCATGAGATGCATACATACTGTTATATGTAGCAGCAATACGCTAATTTTGATTGTTTTGCAGTATTCTATTATATGAATACACCAAAATTTATCCATCCTCTGTTACTGGATATTAGGGTTGTTATGAATAATGCTGCTGTGAAGATTCTCAGACATTCATTTGGGGTTGTGTGTGTCCGTGTGTTTGTGTGTGTCCATTTCTATTGGTACAGATTTAGGCATTGCATTGTTAGAAAAAAAAAGCACTAACAGTTTTCAAAGTGGTTGTACAAGTTTCTTCTTGTAACAGCAGGATATGAATGTTCCTGTTCCTCCTCATTCTCACCAATGCTTGATATTGTTGATCTTTCTAATTTTAGTTATATTCGTGGGAATAAAGTGACATCTCATTGTATTTTTAACTTACATTTCCATAAGGAACTCATAAGGCTAGGTAACTTTTCATATGTTTATAAGCCATTTGAATATTCTTTTTGTTAAGTGACTGTGTAAGCTCCTTACCTATTTTTATATTGGGTTATTATTTAGCAATCCAATATAAAAATAGGCATTCCTTATTTATTTTGCATATGAGCTCTTTGTCAGGTCTATGACACTATATTTTTTAAAATTAACGTTTTACTAAAAATGGCAGTGAATGCTAAATGTCCAGCTTTACAATAAGTACAGTAATAGCAACTCAAACTAAAACAAAACATACTTCTGATAGCCATTATTTTTCTGTTTAGGACAATTTTAAAATCTTGTTTGTCACAAAAACAGGAAGGTACCTATACAAAGGCTCAAAACAGGCCATCCTTTTAAACAAAAAGGCAATGATTCACAAAAGACTATGAATAGAACATGTAACTAGTTGACACAAATCTAATAGGATTTGTTAAAATCAGTCACATCTAACACATCTGAAGTGTTCTTGTATGAAGTATCACATGAAGAAAAGAAGACTTTATCAACATCTAAAAAAGTGGGTTTGCTCATGGGCAATCTGACAAGTTACCATAAAAAGTGTTTCCTGAGACATAAGGAAATGCAACATTATCTTCTTAAACCTTTTAGTTCAAGTCTTTCCACTCAATAAAATAGCAGAGGATCTGAAACTGAGAAAATATATTTGAGTACAAACAGCTTGTGAAACTTAACACTTTTTTCATCATTAGAGGGTTTTACCAAACAACCAACTTGTCTGCTCAGTAGGCATTTCAGATGTGAGAGACACTTCTCTGTACAGGAGCCTGTACTGTCTTCAATCCTATGTGTCAAGTGTCTACCACAGGCAAACAGTTTGCTTCCCCATTTTGTAGTAATGCAATCTTCCTATTAGCAAAAAGAGGCAACCAGCCCCTGTAGACTGAGGGGACCAGAGTCACAGGATAAGGATTTCCTCTTAATATTTTTTATTTTGATGTTTGAACTCCTGATGCAATATTCTAGAACAGGGTGTCAGGACCTGCTATGCTCAAGGGACTGACAAAGGAAAAAGCTCTGTTTATTTTGTGTGATTTCATGCACGGATGAAAAACTCAACACACAATAACAGAAGTTGGTTGTTAATAAATCACATCCTAGTCTTTCAGCACTTCCACAAGCAGATGACATTTTCAGTTTTCTAGCTCTTGTAGTTTTAACACTGCAACATCAATGATGGATATGTCCAGAATCAGTTAAAAAGACCGTCAAATTATTTTATTCCATCTATTTGTTCACTCTCTTGGTCCCAAGTGTATTGGAATGATTACCTTTTGGCATTCTCTGCTATTGTGCGTTGGGGTGCTCTCGATTGTCTCCGTGTTTTGTGGGCTGGTTGGGAGAGGGAGCTTGGGAAGGATGTACCACTGTCGGGAGATTGTGAATCACTGGGATGCCTCCAAGGATGATCCCTTCCGTGGCTGCAGGGAGTGCTCCTGGAGCCACACCCACGATGCCTGGCAGATACCTGTATGTGGCACCACTGAGCTCGAGATGAATTGCTTGCTGGTCTATTACTGACCAAGGCGCTGATGTGACAAAGAATTCTTGTTCACACAGTTTCTTAAGCTTTCTGAATGTAACCTGTGGTGGCTCAACAGATCTCGGTGGCAGCTGCCTCTCATCTCCAGTGACGCCTGCTCACTGTACCAGGCAGTGTGGGGAATACAGATAAAATTCCTTGCATCTTTAAACGGACCCTGAGCAAAGCCAAAGGGCTCTGATTCCTGCATGTCGAGGGCTGCGCCTCTATCCTGCTCTTCTTGAGGGCCTGTCCTAAGGCTTTCTTGTCCACCAAGCCACCACGGGCTGCGTTCACAAGGAATTCTCCCTGCCCCATCTGCTTTACAGTAAAGTCATTGGTGAGGTTGTGGTTATGTTCCTTGAAACTGCAGTGCATGGAGAGGTGGTCACTCTGATACAGCAAATCCTGCAGGGCATAGACCCTCTGCAGGCCCAGGGACTGCTCTGTCCCACCCTGCAAGTAGGGATTATAAAGTAAGACACTGAATCCGAAGGCCTTGGCTCGAACTGCAACTGCCTGCTCCGTGCCACTGAAGCCGAAGAGGCCCAGCGTCTTCGCAGGGATGCAGGCTGCTCCGGATCCACCTCTGCTCCAGGCTCCGTACCCACGTGCCTTCCCGCAGCGCCTCGTACAGCCACGGTTCCTCCGGTACAGATTGAGGATGTGGCAGATGGTGGAGTCGGCTGTTTCTTCCTCGGCTCGGAAGGGATGTTGCACACAGCAATCCCGAGCTCACAGCCAGCCTTGATGTCCATCCACATTGTCGTGGCCAGTGCCTATCTGCAACAGTCACTCTTAGGGCCTTGAACTTCTCCAGGTCCTCCCTGGAGAAGGTGATTTTGTGGTACGTCATGGCGCCCACGGCTTCATTTAAAACATTCTGGTGGATTTCCTGCGTGGACTGTGCATCACAGAAGGCCACGGTGGTCAGGTCTTTCAGGATGGGCATATCCACGGTGCAGTTGCAGTGGTCCAGCAACGCCACAGGGGGTGGGGTGCTCGGGGCCGTTCAGGACGTGGGGGCGTATACCTTCACAGACTGTGTCCAATCGCTGCCTCTTGACCTTGTGCTTATCCACAAGGGCCATTCTTATGGAACTGTGCAAATCTCAGATCAAATGGCAAAGCAATCCTCTAAGAACTTAGGGAAACTTGCAGGAGTCTGCGTGCATGACGCCACCATGAACCCAATATAAATCTGTCCACTAACTGTATAGCCTGATGTGATTTTTTTCTCTACTTCACTTTGAATGTCCTAAAGATTTTGCTTTATATTACTCTAGAGCTCATATATATTCACACTGTTTTATCCTCATTGAAATTTGTACCCTTTGGTATTAAAAAAATACCCCTCCCTGACTTGTTAAATACTTTTTAGCCTGAATTTAACTTTGTATAATATTCAGATGGTGATTTTCTTCTTTTTGTATGAGTTAGCCTAATATATTTTTGTCCATTCTATTATTTTCAGCTTTTCTGAGACTCTATATTCAGCACAGAATTCAATTTTATGTTGTGATATAATCTGAATATGTCTTTTTAAAGAGGTGAGTTCAACTCTTTCACATTTATTAGTATAACAAATATAATATCCCAATCCTCTATTTCTTTATATAGTACCTATTGATTTTCTCCTACGGCCAATGGACAGAGTGAGGGCATACCTTTTCCTCTCTGTTTCCTGCTCTGCTTCCTGGTAATACAATTATATTATCTTCTTACCATTTACCTTTGTATTGTTCTATATAATTAGGTCTTGGATTTGATTTTTTAAAAGCATATCCTTTATCCTCAGCAGAATCATTGTATCTACCATGCCTCTCATTTTTTTTTCTTCCTCTGTTGATATTTGTTGGTTATAATAATTCTACATAGTCAGGGCATATCACATTTGCATTTTGTTCTGTCACTCTTCACTTGGCATTTGTTTTAAGCTTGGTAATCCATTTAAGCACAGGGGACTTTGTTTTACTTGTCTTTTTGTTATAACTTTACTAGTAATCTTTGGTTGGATAGAGTTGGGCTTCTAGTAGATTCCTGTTGCAAATAAGAGGGCTTATGCAAATAATCCAATTTGTCCATTTTATTTAAACCACATAAAAATCCTTGAATCTCATCTTCTTTTCAGAAGGTTTCAAAGGTGTTGTGCTACTCTCTTCTACCACTGAACATTGCTATGAACATTTTCCCTCTTGACTTTGTGACTCTATTTTGTTGTTGTTGTTGTTGTTGAGACTAGATGGTAGCCTAACTAGAAGTGGTGTTTTTTTTTTTATTATACTTTAAGTTTTAGGGTACATGTGCACAACGTGCAGGTTTGTTACATATGTATACATGTGCCATGTTGGTGTGCTGCACCCAGTAACTCATCATTTAACATTAGGTATATCTCCTAATGCTATCCCTCGCCCCTCCCCCCACCGCACAACAGGCCCCAGTGTGTGATGTTCCCCTTCCTGTGTCCACGTGTTCTCATTGTTCAATTCCCACCTATGAGTGGGAACATGTAGTGTTTGGTTTTTTGTCCTTGGGATAGTTTGCTGAGAATGATGGTTTCCAGCTTCATCCATGTCCCTACAAAGGACATGAACTCATCATTTTTATGGCTGCATAGTATTCCATGGTATATATGTGCCACATTTTCTTAATCCAGTCTATCATTGTTGGACATTTGGCTTCGTTCCAAGTCTTTGCTATTGTGAATAGTGCCACAATAAACATACGTGTGCATGTGTCTTTACAGCAGCATGATTTATAATCCTTTGGGTATATACCCAGTATGGGATGGCTGGGTCAAATGGTGTTTCTAGTTCTAGATCCCTGAGGAATCGCCACACTGACTTCCACAATGGTTGAACTAGTTTACAGTCCCACCAACAGTATAAAAGTGTTCCTATTTCTCCACATCCTCTCCAGCACCTGTTGTTTCCTGACTTTTTAATGATTGCCATTCTAACTGGTGTGAGATGGTATGTCACTGTGGTTTTGATTTGCATTTCTCTGATGGCCAGTGATGATGAGCATTTTTTCATGTGTCTGTTTGCTGCACAAATGTCTTCTTTTGAGAAGTGTCTGTTCATATCCTTTGCCCACTTTTTGATGGGGTTGTTTTTTTCTTGTCAATTTGTTTGAGTTCATTGTAGATTCTGGATATTAGCCCTTTGTCAGATGAGTAGATTGCAAAAATTTTCTCCCATTCTGTAGGTTGCCTGTTCACTCCAGTGGTAGTTTCTTTTGCTGTGCAGAAGCTCTTTAGTTTAATTAGATCCCATTTGTCAATTTTGGCTTTTGTTGCCATTGCTTTTGGTGTTTTAGACATGAAGTCCTTGCTCATGCCTATGTCCTGAATGGTAATGCCTAGGTTTTCTTCTAGGGTTTTTATGGTTTTAGATCTAAAATTTAAGTCTTTAATCCATCTTGAATTAATTGTTGTGTAAGGTGTAAGGAAGGGATCCAGTTTCAGCTTTCTACATATGGCTAGCCAGTTTTCCCATCACCATTTATAGATGCAATGCCATCCCCATCAAGCTCCCAATGACTTTCTTCACAGAATTAGAAAAAAACTACTTTGAAGTTCATGTGGAACCATAAAAGAGCCCGCATTGCCAAGTCAATCCTAAGCCAAAAGAGCAAAGCTGGAGGCATCACACTACCTGACTTCAAACTATACTACAAGGCTACAGTAACCAAAACAGCATGGTACTGGTACCAAAACAGATATAGACCAATGGAACAGAGCCCTCAGAAATAATGCTGCATATCTACACCCATCTGATCTTTGACAAACCTGATAAAAAGAAGAAATGGGGAAGTGCTGTGTTTTATGATTGGTTTGAGGAGTGTATTTGGCTTTCTCAGGCTGTTCCTAATTGGAAGCGGGTGGGAAGGGTTGCAGGGGTGGATGAGAACATGGAATTAAGCTGATAGTTCTTGACCAAGTCCTAGCTGTTTTGGGCCAGTTGCTACAGGGGTTGTTATTTGGTTTTCTGGTCACTGCAGAGTGTAGGTCATAGTTGTGTTTGTATATATGGTCTTGATATTGTCCATTTGTATAGTTCAGTCTCTCAATTTTGCTTTTTTTTTTCTTTTTTTGGACATTCTGATTATTTTTATTCTGGCTAACTTTAACTGTCTTCCATATCAATTACCTTCTCTGAAGTTTCTTAAACTTTATTTCCACTTAATTTTTTTCTTTCCTTCATGTCTCTTTATGTCTCATACTGTGTTAACTGGTGGTTGTTTTCCATTTTGCTCCTTCTAATTTTGCTTTTATTTCTGTGAGGGCCCTATTTTTTTCTTTTCTGAATGCTTCCAGCCCATATTTAGCTCTTCTGGTTTTGCTCTTTCTTCCTTGAGTTTTCGCATATGAGCTTTGTGTGCATGTCTAACAGAGGACATTGTTTTTTAGTTCTTTTAAATTTCTATTGCAGTTTTCCTTTTCTCCATGGGACTGTTCTGTATTCTTCTTCGCCTTTCTTTAAAAAGCATTTGCTTTTCTTTATTCTTTTCTTTTTTCCATCTTATCTTTGTATGAATTCTACGCTTTTTAAAAAAATGACTCAACTTTAAAAGAGGCAAACATTTCTTGACCCACTAAACTGTAAGGGAGGAGAAAGGCTATTCAGATTAGTATTTTTTTCTATGATCCAGAGTTTTGTGTGTAATTTCATTTAGTCTTCACTCAACAAAGATAGTCAGCTCTACTGCTTTTAATTTACTATTATTTTAAATACGTTTCTCTATTCTCTTCTGACGCCATAGACACAGATTGAAAACACATGTTTCTTCATTTATCCCAGCTTTCCCTGTTTCTTGGATCTCACAGATACACCCTCAGTTTGCATATCCCCGTCTTTCTATTACAAACTAAAATTGGCATCACAGTGTGTGCCCCTCACTTTCAAGGAGTAAATGTTGTCTCACGCTTTTTGGAAGCCGCAGTTTAGTCTTTCTCTCTAGAATCTGTTTTCTGGCTCCTTGCTGCATGGCCCCTTCTAAATTACAATTGTTGTTTGCAGCTCTTGAATTTTTGTAGGCAGAGTTGGTGTGTGCATGGGTGTCTGTCTGTGCTGCTATCACAGAATACCTGAGACTGGGTAACTTATATATAACGGAAATTTGTATCTCATAGTCTGGAGTCTGGGAAGTCTAAGATCAAGGCACTGGCAGATTCAGTGTCTGGTGAAAGCTTGGTCTTTCTGGTCTCTGCTTCCATGATAGCTCCTTGTTGCTATGCCCTCTGGAGGGGACTAATGCTGTGTCCTCACATAGCCAAAGAAACAAAAGGGCAAAAAGGGTCAAACACTGTATAAAGCCCCTTTAAAGGCCTTAATTTCATTCACAAAAGAGGAGCCCTCATGACCTAATCACCTCCTAAAGCCTTTACCACTTAATACTGCTGCATTGGAGATTAAGTTTGAACGTGATATTTGGAGGCAGGCAAACATTCAAACCATAGCATTTCACCCCCGGCCCCCCAAAGTTCAAGTCTTTCACATATACAAAATACATTCTTTCTATCTCAATAGCACCTAAAGTCTTAACTCAATGCTGATTGAATTCAAAAGTCTGAAGTTCAGAGTTTTATCTAAATATCATCTAAATCAGATATCACTGAGACACAAGGTATGATTCATTCTGAGGCAAATTCCCCTCCAGCTGTGAGCCTATGAAATCAAACGAGCTATATGCTTCCAAGATACAATGGTGGAACAGGCATAGGATAGACATTCTCATTCTAACGAGGAGAAATAGGAAGGACAAAAGGGGTAACAAGTCCCACGTAAGTCTAAAACCTAACAAGGCAAACAGCATTAAATCTTGGGGCTTGAGAATAATCTCTGACTCCATGTCTTACTTTTTAGTCACTTGGTTGGGGTTTGGTTCCCAAGGCTTCAGGGGACTCTGCTCCATGGCATTGCTGGGTACAGCCCATGCTACAGCTCTCATGGGTTGAGGCCTAGAGCCTGTAGCTCTCCTGGGCTAGACTTGGACATTGGTGGATCTACAGTTGTTCAGTCTTGGGGTAAGCCACACCACTAAGGCTTCATAGCGCATCCTCTTAGTGGAGGCTGTCTGCAGTGGCCCTGACCCCATAGCTGTAATGGGCATTGCCTTAATGGGGATGCTCTGTGGTGGCCCATCTCTGTGGAAGTTCTCTGCCTGGGCCCCAGGTCTCTCCAAGGTGCTGTTTGGAATCTAGGTGGCGGTAGCCATGCCTCCTCAGCTTGTGCACCCTGCACCTGCAGAATCAGTACCATATGGACACCACCAAGGCTTATAGCTTGTGCCCTCTGGAATGGCAGCCCAAGCCACACCAGGGTGGCTAAGGATTGCTGCATTAGCATGTGTGGAGCAGAAGCTTGAGGTGGCCCTGGGCAGCAAGGCCCAAGTCCCATGCTACCCTGGGCTCGCCCCTGGAAACCATTCTGCTTTCAAAGCCTTGGTACTCTGACCTATGGTGAGAGTGGTAGCCTCAAAGTTCTCCAAAATACCTTTCAGGTCATTCTTCCATCATCTTGATCAAGGCACCCAACTTTCTTCTATTTATACTAATCTCTCCATCAAAATGTTTGCTTAGCTACATCCTTGGTGTTCTCTCCAGAATGTGTTTTCTCATTTTTACAGGCTGAGAATTTTCCAATTAAGTTCTGCATCCCTTTTAGTTAAAAATTGTGCCTTTAGTTTATCTCTTTCTGCATTTTACTATAAGCAGTGAAGTAATTGCCATGCAGCCCGTTCAATACTTTGTTTAGAGATTTCTTCTGCCGAGGATCCTAGTTCTTCACTCTTAAGTTTCAACTTCCACAAAACACTAGGACAAGGACACAATTCAGTCAAGGACACAATTTGGCCTTTGCCACTTTATAACAAGGATGGCCTTTCCTCCAGTTTCCAATATCATATATTGATACCTATTTCCATTTAAGACCTCATTAGAATGGTCTTTAGTGTCTTTATTTCTACCAACATTCTGTTCACAACCACTTAGATAATCTGAGAGAAATGAGGCTCTTTCTACAACTCTTCTCTTCTGAGCCCTCACCAGGATCTCCCTGAGTGCTCCGTTCACAGCAATTCAGGCTTTTTCTTGCCTGTTCCTCCAAACTCTTTCAGCCTCCACCCATTATGTGGTGCCAAAGCCACATCCACAATTTTAATTATTTATTATAACAACATCCTACACTCAGTATCAATTTTTGTCTTAGTCTGTTGTGTTACTATAACAAAATGCCTGAGACCTAGTAATTTATAAATAATAGAAATTTATTTCTCACAGTGTCGAGGCTGGGAAGTCTAAGATTAAGGCACAAGTAGGTCTGATGTTTGGTGAAGGCCCAGTCTTTGCTTCTAAGATGATGCTTTGTTGCTGTGTTCTCACATGGCAGAAGCTGGAAGGGCAAACTAGACCAAGCTAGTTTCCTCCATCGAAAAACTTTCCTAATCCTATTCACAAGGGAGGAGCCCTCATGACCTAATCAACTCCTAAAGACCCCACCACTTAATACTGTTGCATTGGAGATTAAGTTTCAACGTGAATTTTGGAGGGATACGAACATTCAAGGCAGGGATCTGAGGTTTTAACTATCTTCCAGTTTTGCTGAAAGTGGACTTTCTTTTTGTTTCTTTTTGTTCTTGCCACTTTTGCATGATTTTTATCTTTTTTTTGCAAGATGATAAGTAGGAAATGTTGCAACCTCCTCTGAGATCAAGATAGGACCACTACACTCCAGCCACTCTTTGCCATCATGTGCAAATGATCATTTCAAAGTTCCCGTAGGAGGACCAGGGAATGATGGCATCTGGCAGTGGCTAGGAATGTCCCTCAGCATGGCTCACTCAAAAGAAGAAATTCCACCACTCCTGTGACTAGATCAATTTATTTCTCTCTCTGTGTTTTCTCCACTTCAGGTGGCATTTAAGTCGTCATATCCATAGTCTTCATTTTTAAAAATCTGGAGGAGCTGGTACCATTCCTTCGGAAACTATTCCAATCAATAGGAAAACAGGGAATCCTCCCTAACTCATTTTATGAGGCCAGCATCATCCTGATACCAAAGCCTGGCAGAGACACAACAAAAAAAGAGAATTTTAGACCAATATCCCTGATGAACATCGATGCAAAAATCCTCAATAAAATACTGGGAAACTGAATCCAGCAGCACATCAAAAAGCTTATCTACCATGATCAACTGGGCTTCATCCCTGGGATGCAAGGCTGGTTCAACACATGCAAATCAATAAACGTAATCCAGTATATAAACAGAACCAAAGACAAAAACCACATGATTATCTCAGTAGATGCAGAAAAGGCCTTTGACAAAATTCAACAGCCCTTCATGCTAAAAACTCTCAATAAATTAGGTATTGATGGGATGTATCTCAAAATAATAAGAGCTATTTATGATAAACCCACAGCCAATATCATACTGAATGGGCAAAAACTAGAAGCATACCCTTTGAAAACTGGCACAAGACAGGGATGCCCTCTCTCACCACTCCTGTTCAACATAGTGTTGGAGGTTCTGGCCAGGGCAATCAGGCTGGAGAAAGAAATAAAGCGTATTCAATTAGGAAAAGAGGAAGTCAAATTGTCCCTGTTTGCAGATGACATGATTGTATATCTAGAAAACCCCATCGTCTCAGCCCAAAACCTCCTTAAGCTGATAAGCAACTTCAGCAAAGTCTCAGGATACAAAATCAATGTGCAAAAATCACAAGCATTCTTATACACCAATAACAGACAAACAGCCAAATCATGAGTGAACTCCCATTCACAATTGCTTCAAAGAGAATAAAATACCTGGGGATCCAACTTACAAGGGATGTGAAGGACCTCTTCAAGGAGAACTACAAACCACTGCTCAACGAAATAAAAGAGGATACAAACAAACGGAAGAACATTCCATGCTCATGGGTAGGAAGAATCAATATCGTGAAAATGGCCATACTGCCCAAGGTAATTTATAGATTCAATACCATCCCCATCAAGCTACCAGTGACTTTCTTCACAGAATTGGAAAAAGCTACTTTAAAGTTCATATGGAACCAAAAAAGAGCCCGCATCACCAAGTCAATCCTAAGCCAAAAGAACAAAGCTGGAGGCATCACACTACCTGACTTCAAACTATACTACAAGGCTACAGTAATCAAAACAGCATGGTACTGGCACTCAAACAGAGATATAGACCAATGGAACAGAGCAGAACCCTCAGAAATAATACAACACATCTACAATTATCTGATCTTTGACAAACTTGACAAAAACAAGAAATGGGGAAAGGATTCCCTATTTAATAAATGGTGTTAGGAAAACTGGCTAGCCATATGTAGAAAGCTGAAACTGGATCCCTTCCTTGCACCTTATACAAACATTAATTCAAGATGGATTAAAGACTTAAATGTTAGACCTAAAGCCATAGAAACCCTAGAAGAAAACCCAGGCAATACCATTCAGGACATAGGCATGGGCAAGGACTTCATGTCTAAAACACCAAAAACAATGGCAACAGAAGCCAAAATTGACAAATGGGATCTAATTAAAGAGCTTCTGCACAGCAAAAGAAACTACCATCAAAGTGAACAGGCAACCTACAGAATGGGAGAAAATTTTTGCAATCTACTCATCCGACAAAGGGCTAATATCCAGAATCTACAAAGAACTTAAACAAATTTACAAGAAAAAACCAACCCCATTGACAAGTGGGTGAAGGATATGAACAGACAGTTCTCGAAAGAAGACATTTATGCAGCAAACAGACACGTGAAAAAATGCTCATCATCACTGGCCATCAGAGAAATGCAAATGAAAACCACAATGAGATACCATCTCACACCAGTTAGAATGGCAATCATTAAAAAGTCAGGAAACAACAGGTGCTGGAGAGGATGTGGAGAAATAGGAACACTCTTATACTGTTGGTGGGACTGTAAACTAGTTCAACCATTGTGTAAGTCAGTGTGGCAATTCCTCAGGGATCTAGAACTAGAAATACCATTTGACCCAGCCATCCCATTACTGGGTATATACCCAAAGGATTATAAATCATGCTACTATAAAGAGACATGCACACGTATGTTTATTGTGGCACTATTCACAATAGCAAAGACTTGGCACCAACCCAAATGTCCAACAATGATAGACTGGATTAAGAAAATGTGGCACATATATACCATGGAATACTATGCAGCCATAAAAAATAATGAGTTCATGTCCTTTTTAGGGACATGGATGAAGCTGGAAACCATCATTCTCAGCCAACTATCGCAAGGACAAAAAGCCAAACACCGCATGTTCTCGCTCATAGGTGGGAATTGAACAATGAGAACACTTGGACACAGGATGGGGAACATCACACACCGGGGTCTGTCGTGGGATTGGGGGAGGGGGAGGGATAGCATTAGGAGATATACCTAATATAAATGACAAGTTAATGGGTGCAGCACACCAACATGGCACATGTGTACATATGTAATTAACCTGCACGTTGTGCACATGTACTCTAGAACTTAAAGTATAATAAAATATATATATATATATATAAAGATTTAAGCAATAGCAATCCACTCATATATTTCCTAATATGTCTCATTTTCTGAACTAAAGATTAAAAATTTGAATTTGAAAAAAAATCTGATTTATAAGGTGTAACAATCAAGTATCTATTGTTTTCCTCTAGAAAAAAAAGGAATATTCTCTTTAACTTTTTACTGTTAAATAGTAGAAAGCAGACTGCAAATCAGTGTTTGAGATAGTATTTTGGGGAAAACCTGGGAATAAAGTTTGAACTTTGATCATGCTTAATTGGTGGCATGATAGTTAAAATATTTTATGATTTTTTTTTCCTTGAATCAGCTTTTCTTATAAAATTATCTCAGATCTAGCCTGATAAGAACAATGAAGAGATGAAGAGAAAGATGAAAGTAATCTCTGGTATGTGATTTTTGAGAGACTCTTGAAAACCCCCGTGGTCAAAAATGTGTCCTACATGGGCTTTTCTTCCTGCTTGACTTTGCAAGGATAGTAATGAATTCTTTTGAGGCTTCTCCTGCAGTCCTTTTTCAAAATGCAGATTTTCACAGGTGAGGCAATGCACCAAGGACATGTTTTTAACCAGCAGTGAGCTGATTATGAGCCTGTCTTCTCATTTGATTCACACAACTGTTCTTTGAGCAAGATTTCCCCGAGAATTTTTTGGTTCTTCCCTCAAGGGTGACAGTCACATTTTGTGACTGATATGAATTTTTTGGTTCTTCCCTCAAGGGTGACAGCCACATTTTGTGACTGATATTGGATTAGCCCGTCAATCCAATGGATTAAGCTATAATGTCAAGTTTGGCAACAAAGATGGGGTTGAATAATTTTACCTATCTCTGGTTGTGGGGTTTGAGGTTTCATCTCCCTTCTGCTCAGGTTGATTGGTCAAAGCCTGAGACTTTGATTAGCTTCAAAGGGAGGGATAGAGTGGGGTTAATTATGTCTAAAAAAGATCAGAACCCAATCTTTTTACCTTTTTTAATGGTCTCAGCTGTTTCTCTAATTCGCAGTTGATACTTATGAGTATCTTTGTTGTAATATTTAGAAAAGGGAGAGAGTAAATAGGGGTCCTTTCTTTGACCTTGAACATTGATCCAACTCAGCCTTTAATTAGAGCTATGCACAGGCATAGAGCATTCTTATGCAGCTGGGAATAAAATGGTACCCTGATTTCCATTCTGCATTTGTTTTCTGTGAATACCTTCCTAGAACTTTGTTGGGAGGGATAGGGGTAATTAACTGGGCAAGATGAGGTCATTCTCTGGTTCCTGACCAAAATATTGTTATAATAGCACCTGATACTCTCATCTTAACTTGTAAAGTAACCTCATTGAGAAATAAAAACAAAGGGCAGGAAATACTCTGTACAAAGAGGGGAAAGCCCACCACCTGAGAGAGAAAGGAGTCCTGGAACATGGGACAGTGAACTAGGAGAAACTTTGGGGCAGATGAATGTGTGTGAGGATGTGGGTGTGGGGTTGATGGCAGCAGAGGATGAACTTTTGAAATCAGTGAATCATCTTGTGAAAACATATGGCTGTTAATATATAACTATCTTGTTTACAACTCTATAGTGCCTCCCCCTTGCTTGCTCTGAGGATGAGGTCCAAACTTTTTAGCAAGAAACCTCAGGCTGGGTCCATGGCTCATGCCTGTAGTCCCAACACTTTGGGACGCCACGGTGGGTGGATCATCTGAGGTCAGGAGTTAAAGACCAGCTTGGTGAAACCCCATCTGTACTTAAAAAAAAAAAATTAGCTGGGCATGGTGGCATGTGCCTGTAATCCCAGCTTCTTGGGAGACTGAGGAAGGAGAATCTCTTGAACCCGGGAGAAGGAGATTGCAGTGAGCTGAGATTGCACCACTGCACTCTAGCCTGGGCAACAGAACAAGACCCCATCTCAAAAAAACAAAAAAAAAACACCTCTGCCTGATGTGGACCTTCTCTCGCCTGTCACACCTCACACTGTTCCAGACACACTGACCATTAATTCTTAGGCTAAGCAAATCCTGCATTGGTTAAGGGCCTCAACATCATTTGTGCTGTTCCTACTCAGAATTCGATTCACCTGCAAATACCTACTTTTCTAGTATGTCCCTGTTTAATGTCCTCCTTCAGAAAAGTGTAGTAGGTGTCCTCTGTTTAACCCACATAACTCAGGTATGCAACAGATATGGACTATTCTATATTCTGTTTCTCAGCTACCTTACTTTTAAGCCTTGTTTTGTCTAATGGTGGGGAAAACCCCCACAATCTTGCTAATCCATTAAACCCAATCACTTCCAGGATTTTCTCTGTAACTCCAGAGTTAAGTTTAGTCATCTGCGATGTTTTTTCTCACCTTTGGGTCTCCATGGGAATATGTCTAATTTGTGGGGGTGCTTGCAAATTGTCAAGGCATTTGGGAAGATATCAAGTCCTTGGTCTCTAGCCACATAGCGTTTATTTCTGTGACTGCTTTTAGGTTTATCTCTAGTCATGGTGTCTGTCCTTCTGGCTTCTATCAAGGTGTTCCATCTTGTCTGACCATGGAGGGGTAATCATTGTCAAGAGAGACTTACGAACATTCTCATATCCTCCGTAGCAGGGCAGTCCACCACCCAACCTCTGTTAACATGCTTCTTTTCTTGGTCATAAGACATCCACAAAATGTGCTGACTTTCCCTCTTACAGCTAACCCCTGGGACCATGTAAATATGTACATTCACTCTTCAATTATTCTCCTTTTGAAGCATTATCATGGAGTAATCTGATACTCTGATTCCTTCAGTGTTTTCTGATTGATCCTCAAGTGTAGGCTTTGAGAACTCAGAAAGCTCTTATTTCTCCAGAAACCCAGCTCTTGCCAATGAAAGCTTTGGTTTCCAAGTCAGTTTGCTCTTATAACAGATTTAAAAGTGTATTTTGGAACTCAAAATCTGTGAATGGACTGTTTCTTTGTCTTTGTATTCTTATTATAAAAATTCTGTTCGTCTTTCAGAGTACAGAATTTCTCTGACTGTATAGGGGAGAGTCACTCTAAGAAACTGTGGGATATGGGGAGAAAAACATTTTTCAGGAAATTAATCCACCATGGAAGGCTGCTTCAATGTCACGACTGGATCAGGCTTCACTGTTTTAGTCTGAAATTATGTATTGAAGTGACTTGGGTCTCTATCCGTGTAACATTTGTGCGTCCCAACAAATTCTGAGCTTCATGAGAGATCTAAGACTGTGTCTGTGCCTGTCTTGCTTACCACCAAAGCCTGAGCTCTAGGTTCAGGACTTGGCAGAGAATAGGTGTTCCACAAATTCCCAGTAAATAGTTGAATAATCTGGGGAGAGAGAAGAGATCAGTGTGGTAGCAGGAGGGTTCTGGTACCCAGGGGCAGAGTTGGGAGCTGAATGAACACAAGTGGGAAATTGCTGCAAGCTAGTTTCTCTTGATGAGTGTGGTGGTGCTTGTACTGCAGTGAGGGCTTAAATATTGCTGTGGAGCCCATTGGTTCAGAATCTTTGTGCCCTACATAGATTTCAAATAGGCACTGGAGTTGAACTTGGAACAAATTCTGGGATAGTACCCATGTTCGTGTAATAAAGGACAATAGTGGAAAATACCTCATCTTCATGTAGGTAGCACTATTTGCATCCAAATGTGGAAGCTTCCTTACAGGATCCTCCCCACCCCATCCCTCCCCGTAAACATGGACCTAGTACAGTTGTGGCTCACTACAGAGGGGGCTGTAGGTTGCCATGGTGAGGAGAGGGCTTTGTAAAGTTCTGTGCTTTTCTGTGTAGCCCTGAGGTCAGAGATTCCCTGCAGAACAAGCAGGCTTACTTGAAGAAAACAAATAAGTTAAAAATAAGTGGGCAATTCACTTTCTCCTTATACCGTGTTGTCAGGAAATTTGTTGAGTGTTGTGTGTGTTTTCATAATTTGAAAAGCATATCTGACTTTTTCTTGTCAGAATTGATTATTTTGGGATTTAAAAGGCAATACACTCCATCAGGGAGCAAAACTGTGGAAACTCCTGACGTGAAAGCAGATGGTGCAATTTCTTACTCATGCGGTTCTCAGGGAATCCTGGCACATTGCTGGTACTCCAGACAGAGGGGTAATGTCATTAGAGTCACTGTGTCAATTTATTTTTCCCAGAGAAGGACACAGAGGAAAATGTAAGCACAGCTCAGCTAAATCTCTGCGTTACTCAAGCTCCAGAGGTAGGTGGCATGACATTGGTCTTGGAGCTTGACATCAGAGAGAGATCTTCAGAAAATGGATTCAGAGACCAGGAGGGGATCTTCAAGGCCAGGGATCCAGCCTTCTTATTTTACAGTGAGGAAACTGAGGCCCATAAAGTGAATTGACTTGATGAAGATGGCACAGTTACTTGATAAGTGGGAGTGCTGTGATATTTTAATTAAACCACGGCTTCTCAAACACTTATTTTCATCCAAATCGCATGGAAATCATGTGAAAAATGCAGATTCTAATTCAGGACATTAGAGCCATGGCCTAGAATCTGCATTTTTAACATTCTCCCAGGTGATATTGATGTTTCTCTTCCCTGGGCAACACTATGATTTTTAAAATATTATGTTACAGGGACCTAATCGCAAGCCATTCCTCAGTACCTCCTTCAGAAAGGATTGTTTTAAGACATGGAAGAAGGCTCAGGAGCCCAAGACTACTGACCTGGTGTGGATTCTCACCACAGCATGCCCACTAAAGTGAGGATGTCCTGTAAAATCAGAGAAGCCAGTTTGGCTTATAAGGCTCTGACTGTTCAGCTCAACTTCTTCTCTTTCATTGTTGACTTTGTCACTGTTTTCCTGCTTCTCCCATGGAATACAATCTGAGACAGATAGGATATGTGTTAATTGTATAAAAGACTTTGCAATACGCACCCCCTGCCCACCAAAAGAAACAGAATAAAAGAGATTATTGGGTATTCTTTGGGATTCTAGGTATTGTCTAGCATACCCATCTGGATTATCTGATGCTATAGTCGTCTATTCCTCTCATTGTTTATGAGCTGTTTTTAAAACTCTTTAAGTTGTATAATAGAACCTAAGCATAAAGCCAATGATTCTTGTCCCATTAAATGCAATGCATTATTGCCGTATGGATATAGACCACATCTATTTTTAAATTTATTTTAGCATTCCTGATTGTCTATATGTTCTTT
Source organism: Homo sapiens (assembly GCF_000001405.40). Lineage (NCBI taxonomy): Eukaryota > Metazoa > Chordata > Mammalia > Primates > Hominidae > Homo > Homo sapiens. Next base: position 48,931,206 of record NC_000002.12, read on the forward strand.
GAATTATTTTCATTGAGTGTAACATTTTACTGTTCTATCATCAATTAATAGGTTATATAAAATATTTGACACATGTTCCTTTTATGTTTTATATTTGTGCAAGAGTTACAGTTTTACCCTTAAAAATTGTCCTTTAAAATGAACTTTGATTATTTGGCTGAATCCCTTCTCCAAAAGAGGCAAAATTGAATTTGCTCTTTAATGTGAAAATCTAGGGTCTTAATTTTCAACACTTATGTAGCACTTAGAGTCACACCAGCTTTTGGAGTCTCAAAGGATCTTAAGTTACTGATCAGACAGCTGAATCTCAGAAAAATGAAGAGATTTACCCAGGGACACATGGCTGGGATGGGGTAGAGAAAGGAGTCTCCTTTTTCTCATACTACCCTTTAGTTATTGTGTATTTGAATGACCCAAGTCTTTTTTTTTTTTTTTTTTTTTTTTTTTTGAGACGGAGTCTCGCTGTCGCCCAGGCTGGAGTGCAGTGGCGCGATCTCGGCTCACTGCAGGCTCCGCCCCCTGTGGTTCACGCCATTCTCCTGCCTCAGCCTCCCGAGTAGCTGGGACTACAGGCGCCCGCCACCTCGCCCGGCTAATTTTTTGTATTTTTAGTAGAGACGGGGTTTCACCATTTTAGCCGGGATGGTCTCGATCTCCTGACCTCGTGATCCGCCCGCCTCGGCCTCCCAAAGTGCTGGGATTACAGGCGTGAGCCACCGCGCCCGGCCATGACCCAAGTCTTTATTCACCATTGTCCTAATCGGTGAGTTGACCAAAGGTAGGAGGAGCATAGACATGTGGGAAGGGGCCCAAAGAACTGGTGCTCTTTGCCTCTTTTATTGACCCTTCTGGAGAAGAGGTCAAGGAAAATGTGAAGGCTTGTGCCTTGCCGTGGATAGATTTATGTCTGCAGTTGTTTACCTGAGGCCTGTGGCCTGCAAAGACACAGAGAGTGGCCATGAAAAGTCTCTCTACAGCTAAATGGCTCAGCACTATTGCAGGTGACCATGATGACAGTGACGGCAATCATAAAAATTCTTGGAATGAGCATATGCTCTGGAGTCAGATTGACTTGAGTTTAAATTGTGCTCTGTTTATTACAAATTGTATACCCTTGGCAGAGTTGCTTAACCTCCTCAGAACTTTGTGCTACCCCATTTTACAGATTAACAAATAATCTCATAGAATTATCGTGAAGAATTTTTGAGACAACATGAAAAGCACAGTGTAGTTCCTTGTCAGTATTCATCGAATGTTCTTTTCTCTTTTTTATCTTCACTTTTGCCAAGAAATATATTCATTTACATTCAACTCTCTTTACCCAGAAAAAAGTTAACTGCTCAATGGCATTTATTGAACACTTGTTATGAATCCAGCCTGTGGCAGGGACTACGGGGTATACAGAAATGTAAACGTTCCTTCCCCTGCTTTCAATGAACAAACAGTCTAATTAAGGAAGGGTAGTAACTGACCTGGAACAAATAAAGACATCATTGCATTGAGAATTTGGAGACATGAGGCATCGGTGAAGGTTGGAAAAGGTAGTTGTGGACACAGCATGGACAAAGCGGAGGTGGTGGGAGGGAGCATGATGTCGGGAAGGAATTGGCTTAGTCCTCAGAGAGGGTATTGGTGGGGAGCAGTGGGAGCCTAGGTGGGGAAAGCAGGCCTGTGCAGGTTTAGAGAGAACCTTGGACGCCAAGCTGAGTAGCTAGGCCTTGCTACAATAGATGGCAGCAACCCCTGGCAGTTTCTGAGCAGAGGAATAAGTAACATGCTTTGCAAGCCCAGATGTTGCCCTCTGCAGTTTCTTTTATGGGACTCTGTTTGTTGTTGTTGAGCTCCCTGAATTTCTCCTGGAGGTCAGAGATGTCACTTGTTGCTCTGACACTGATTCAAAGGTTGATTCTGAGGAGTGCTGAGGAGGCTGATTTTTGTGGGAAGAGATGACAATTTAAATGCCCCATAGAGGCAGCTCCCCCAGATTCCTCTACATCAGTTTTTTTCTCTGAGTGTCTATACTTCTGGTTACTCTGAACAGGAATATGTTATCTGTAATTTTTCATTATAAGTCTGATTAATGATCTTTTTTTTTTTGCTTTGCAGCCTCAATTTAATGAAAAAATATAATCTTGACTGCTAAAAAATTGAGCTTTGATACTTTAGTCCATATTTTTCATTACCATTGTCATTTCCAGAGAAGCCTCTTGATAATAGAATTTCATATGAGCACTTTATGAAGATTTTGACAAACCTCCATTCAAAACCAAGGCAATTTCAATGACTTAGGGAGCAGATGCTCTGGGCCTTGGGGGGAAAAGGGATAAGGGCGACCTCCTTTTTTTTTTTTTTTTTTGAGGCAGAGTCTTGCTTTGTCACCCAGGCTGGAGTGCAGTGGCACATTCTTGGCTCACTGCAACCTCTGCCTCCCGGGTTCAAGCAGTTCTCCTGCCTCAGCCTCCTGAGTAGCTGTGATTACAGGCACCCACCACCATGCCCGGCTAATTTTTGTATTTTTATAGAGACGGGATTTCACTATGTTGGCCAGGCTGGTCTTGAACTCCTGACCTCAGGTGATCCGCCCACCTCAGCCTCCCAAAGTGTTGGGATTACAGGCGTGAGCCACCCTGCCCGGCCCTATGACTTCCTTCTTATGGACATATAACTGCCGAGGGTTAGTGTCAGTGCAGGTATAGCAGGCAGATCATCATGACCATGCACACATGTTTATCAGTGATTGAAGTGGGAGACACTGAGCCCTGGAGCAAAGGGAGATAGAAAACATATACATGAGCCACTTGGGAGGGGAGATGAGGGGCCGTTTATGGAGATGAGATGCAGAATGCAACTGATAAATGATACTGATGGGAGCAAAGCCAGTGTAGCTGCCAGCCTCTAGAATGACCAAGATGATAATGAAAAATAAAAATAACAGATATCCTTGCTGAGTATTTTACATCCAGTATTTCATTTTTATCCTCACAACAACTCTGAAAGGTCGATATTGTTAATCTGATTTTATAGAAAATGACAGATCTGCATTAAAACCCTGGTCTTTGTGAGGCTGACAGCTGACCTCTTCATGGCATTGCCCTACCTCCCTAGGGAGACATCTTCTAAGTAGAAGGGATCTTGGCTTGAGATTAAACTTTTACTCTAGAGTGCAGATGAGTCCTAAGGAAAGGTGGGTTGTGCTTGCCAATAATCTATTTGCATGGGAGACTGGAGAGTGTCTGGGAATGAACAACTTCTCAGTGAAAGAGAGAGCGAGCTAAGTCCTGTTAGCTAGACCAGAGTTTCCAGCTGAAATGGGGGACTGCTTTTGAGTATAGAGACAGACCTCAGGCCATCTCTGGTTCAGTCTCTGTGGAATGATACCTGGATATTAGGAATTGCAGGATGATTGGACACGATGATATCAAGATGTTAGGACTGAAAAATAGAGACTGGGTTAAATGAATCATCAAGGCCACCATAAAGTGATGGGGGAAATAAGATTCTTGTGGCAGAGGTGGGAAAAGAGTTTTTTGAAAGGTTTGGATTAGAGAGGAACTCTGTGAACTGCCCATGAAAGGAAAGTGGATGGGGAGGGAAAGGGAATTTTATGAACCATGTCTCCATTCAGTGTTTGATAAACGCAAGCAAAATTATTTTGAAAATACATTTTGGTTTCCTAGGCTGTATCTCTTTAACTGTGACTTATCTCTGAGGTGTCTGCTAGGTTGGTCATGGTTTTGTAGTTTTTATGCCAACAAACTTGGTATTAGCCATGGTAACTCATGTCCCCAGGGCACTTTTGTATGAGTAGGCATTTTTAACCAGGAAAATGGGCCTGGTTCTTAGTTCAAAGAGTTATTAAATGTGAAGTATCAGCAAAATCAAGAAAACAGAACGCTGTTATTTTTCCTTTTAGTTTTCTATTTTTTTATTTACCATTTTAATCTCTCGGCTGGGCACGGTGGCTCACGTCTGTAATCCCAGCATTTTGGGAGGCCGAGGCGAGTGGATCACGAGGTCAAGAGATCGAGACCATCCTGGCCAACATGGTGAAACCCCATCTCTACTAAAAATACAAAAAATTAGCCGGGCGTGGTGGTGGGTGCCTGTAGTCCCAGCTACTCGGGAGGCTGAGGCAGGAGAATGGTGTGAACCCGGGAGGCGGAGCTTGCAGTGAGCTGAGGTTGCGCCACTGCACTCTAGCCTGGGCGACAGAGCGAGACTCCGTCTCAAAAGCAAGCAAACAAACAAACAAATAATCTCTCTCTTTTTTTATTTTTCTGAGATAGGATCTTGCACTGTCACAGAGGCTGGAGTGCAGTGGCGTGATCATGGCTCACTATAGCCTCGAACTCTTGGGGCCAAGTGATCATTCCACCTCAGCCTCCTGACTAGCTGGGACCACAGGCCTGTGCCACCATGCCGAGCTGTTTTTAATTTTATTTTTTTGTTGTTGCTATGGGGTCTCCCTATGTTGCCCAGTCTGATCTCAAACTCCCAGGCTGAAGTGATTCTTCTGTCTCAGCTTCTCAAAGTGCTGGGATTACAGGCATGAGCCACTGTGCTGGCTTTCCTCTCATTTCTCATAGTGATGTTAGTTCATGTTGCAGTGTAGCAGCAAATTACAAAAGTTTGCCATTGCTTGAATTTCATCGAATTATAATTTTACTGGCCATACCTTACCTGCCATGGATACAAGAAACAATTCTGTCTTTTTCTTGGACTCACCAAGAGGTGACCAGGGCCAGTTTCATGTCCCACCACCAATCTTCCATCCCTGTAGAAAATATAACCTTGACCCAAATAGAAAAAGTTCTAAGAGATTCTTGGATGTGTGACCTAATATTCATTAAGTCCCTTCTCTATTTGAATACCAGTCTCTGTGCCTCCCTTCTTGCCCGAATATTGGGGACCACATGTTAGTCCTTTGATAAATAACTACATCAAAAGAGAGAAGAGACCTTAACAGTCATCAGAAGCATCAGAAGGTGGGACCCATCTCTGTCTTTTATATATGCCATTCCCCTTGTAACAAATATCCTTTTGCTATAATAAGATACACCATTTGGGTAACTCAATATCCCTAGACTCAGTATATCTGTAAAATGAATGGGCTGAACTAGATGACTTCCAAACTATATTTTAAAGCTTTAATGTTCTAAGAGTCCATGGTTTCAGGCATAAACAATAGGCAGTGAAGGTCTCCCCCCTCATCTTCCATTATGCCATAGCCTATTGTAATTCTGGCACTGGTTTTGAATCTTCTGTTTAACAGAGAGTCCAACTTGATTCTTGATTCAGAGAGAACTGGATTCCATAGAGAACTGGAGTGAACAATTCTCTCTCCTTGAATATTTTGGCTAATTCAGATTTTGCTGTAAGGACACCCAGCTATCCAAATCTCTCCTGGGTCCTAATGGAAATTTGAGAGCTCACATAGGCAGAACAGGTCAAAATTAGTAGAATTTAGTTGAATAATGGCAACTGGTGGGACCAGCCATTGATGTTGGTTGACACTGGTCACTTTCTCAGTGATTGTGGCAGTAACTTGGGAACTCCACAGAACCAAGCTCATAGAACATATGGGCGCTAGGAACCTGGGATGGGAGAGGTGATGCCACAGAATGTTCAGCGGGAAAGCAAACAAAAGTGCTAAAGGTAAGAGTCTCTGGCTTCCTGTCTTGCTGAGGGATGGAGTTAGGACCTGGTGACCCAGAACAATCCTGGGTAGCTCAAGTGTCCTATCTCAGTCTCTTGAGGTCAGCTCTACCCACATCAAACCAGGGACAAGACCAGCTGTGAGTCACCTTGAGCAGTCTGACATAACTTCTCTTTTTCTAAGCCCTATGGTGGTCACTGAAAAATATCACCCAGGCATCGAGAAGTGTAAATGTTATTTGAAAACTAGCACTTATTTTCTGGTGATAAAAGAATTGTCTTTCTTTCATTATTGTTCCATCGACTCCAACTCACAGAGGGGCTCAAAGAGCACTCAAATAATTGCCTGCTGTAGTAATAAAGAGGTTATAGTCTCTTTCGTTGTGATGGCAACAGAACATTTTAGGAATTTCAGCTCCCCTCTGGATCTGACTCTCGTTGTCTATTTTCTACAATTAAATTCCCCTGTAACTTTGTTCTAAATAATTTAGATGAAGGATCAAAATCATGTGCTAACTGGTCGATAACACTCAAGTTTCTCTCTGGTTTTGCCTGGAGGCACTTTTAAACCACTTTCTGGGAGAATCAGGGGGTTAGCTGTTGTACTTGGTTCTGGCTTTTTGAAATACTTGCCTCTCCCCAGTCTTTTTTTCCTGTTTGTTTCTCCATACTGGCAGGACCTATCCTTAATTCAGCTCACCACACTTCACGCTGGCCCATCTACCCTTCCAGCACACACACCGCACCATCACGGGGCCCTGGGGCCTCAGCATGGGTTCCTTTTGCTGCAGAAAACAGGTGGTCGGGGGAGGTGGTCACTCTTTGTCCCATTAGGTTCCCTTCCAAATTCTGCCAGAGACCACATAGGGGATACTTTTTGAGACTGTCTGTTGATAGTTAGGCATTGATAATTACATCTGGACTATAAGAACAAACCAGGACCATCCCAGGCAAACAGGGATGTATGGTCCCCACACCAATGGACTAGGCATTCTTTGGCCCTAGGCCTTTAAATATGCCTTTCTGGCTATCTGGAATGATCTTCCCATATCTTATCCTGGTTAGTTCCTGTTCACTCATTCTTCAGGTTTCGCTACAGATGATATTTCTTCAGGAAGACTTCCCTGATCCTCCCTTGGGCTGATTAGAGATCCTGCTTCCAAAATTTCCCCTTTCTCCCCCCTCCCCAAAAATAATTAGAATCAATAAGACTTAATATTTGCTAGCACAACAGGGTGACAATAGTCAATAATAATTTGATTGTACATTTACAAATAACTAAAAGAGTATAATTGTATTGCTTGAAACACAAAGGATAAATGCTTGAGGGGATGGATACCCCATTTTCCACGATGTGATTATTACACATTGCATACCTGTATCAACATCTGAGGAAACTTGTGAATATATACACCTACTATGTACCCACAAAAATCAAAATTAGAAATGAAAAAATCAACAAAATTTCCCCTTCCCTATCACGCCATCACACTCTCACACACGGGCACATGTTCTTTCTCTCATGAGTATGCACACAGGGCTCTGGGGCTGGGCACTATTTACCTTGTCTCTGCAGCACAGCAGCTAGCTTGTTGACTGCAGCTTAGTAAATATTTATTGAATGCTACACTGATTTCCCTCCTTCCTTCCCTCCCTCCCTCTCTCCTTCCTCTCTTCTGGTGCCTTGAGTTTTTAGTATCCTCTACAATATTTGCCAGCATTTAGTTTTGTTTTGGCTTACTTCTGGTTCCGCCGTTCCTCAGTTTTCCTCCTCATCCTTTTTCCTTCCACCAAGCTCATCCTTTTCTCTTCCCTGCTTTCGCTGTGTCCTGTGCTATGTAGCTTAAATTCTCTTTTCGCTGTTTTCCCATCTTAAAATAGTGCCTAAGCTGAGTGGCTGGCTCCTTTTGTGAAAGTGCACTCCAAGAATACAAGTGTCTAGGTTATATGACTTTGGAATAAGAAAAATAGGATCCCAGAATTTGCTAGCCTATAAGATCTCTGCTTCTATTTTGAGTCAGTGATGAATTCCCTTTAGCAGGTGTGCTTGTTTGTAAGCCTTTACCTCTGCTATCTCCCTTTACAGTTTGGTCTTTTTCATAACTGTAGGTTTGAAGCAGGATGGCTGCTGGGATGACTTCTATTCCTAATGATAAATTTCATGTGAATCTTCAAGCATTCAAGATTTGAGAAGTGGGTAACATTGTTTGTTCTTGGTCCTCTCGGGCACTGAAAATCTGAGATGTATGGAAAGATATCCTGCTTGGCATAGATATTCCTCAAAAAGATGAGGCTTATTTGGAAGGAGGCTATTCTGTAGAAATTGAGCTTTCTTCCCTGTGCTGCCCCTTTGGATTCCACTTTCTTCCTTAGTAGAACTACCTTTTTGAGTAGTTTTGCTCTTTGTATTTGTTTTCTTTTCCTGCCTTTATTCAGAGCCACAAATGAATCTGATATCTCTGCTCACTTCTGGCTTATCTGAGCTTCTTTGCCACCTTGTATGCTTTATCATGTGTGGCTAAGAAGCCTGTATCCCCAGAAGGCTAGACATTGGTATGCTGCAGCCAGCTGGCACTGGCTCGTGAGCACCAATCCTGTGTATCTCTCAACTCAGCATTTGGTGACATCACATCAGTGGTTTGAAATCTGCCGTAGTGGGAGTATTTACAGCACGGAAATCAGCAAACTTGGCAAACACTACAAATCGAGGAGGGTGTGTGTATGCATGTGCCCACCTTGTTATTTAACATTTACCAGTATACCACTCACTGGCTAAAGCATCAAAATTCCAGCTCTGTGGTGTCCAATATGGTAGTCACTAGCTATATGTGGATATTTACGTTTAAATTAATTAAAATGGAATAAAATTTAAAATTCAGTTTCTCAGTCTCCATAGCCACATTCAAAATGCTTAATATTATAATCACATGTGGCCAAGTGGCTACTGTATAGGTACAGATAAGGAATGTTTCCATCATGACAAAGTATTGGACCCCCGAGACTAGCTGTTTTGTCTATGTTGGATGTTTGGTATCGTGGTCCAGTCTGAGGTATTAGGATTAGAATTAGGTATGTGTTGTCTCCACAATTCACATATGCCAAAGGCAGTTTATACTACAATCTATAGATTAGGGGGTCAGCAATTTTTTTCTGTAAAGGCATATAAGTACATTTTTGGCTACATGGGCTATATGGTCTTTATTGAATGGTCTGTAACTATTCAACTTTGGTATCATGGTATAAAAGCACCTGCAGATAATACAAAAAAATATAAGCCTATCTGTGTTTCAATAAAACTTTGTTTACAAAAACAGGTAGTAGACCAGATTTGGCCTATGGGCCATAATTTGCTAATCCCTGACCTATGCAGATATCTGGTTTTTCAATGGAACTTAGAAATATATTTGAAAAATCCAATTTGGGTACATTTTAAATTGACCAAATTTATTCTATTTTAGAAATTAAGTATGCAAAATTTCAAACAGATACAAAAGTAAAGACAATGGTATAGTGAATGCATATGTACCCAGTCACCTAGTTTTGACAATTATCAATACAAGACAAATCTTATTTTGGCTACCCACCCTGTTATACTTTTTTATGTATGAGAACATTTTATATTAAAATACAATAAAAATTCAAAGATCATTTGATAAACTAGGAGCCCTTTTAATCTACACAAATCAAACTTTGCATATTTTCAAAAGCAAGCTTATCTTATGCTATTTGATTATAATCAGTGACTCCTGGGAACCAGACATTCTGAACTCATGCTCTAAAAGCATCTTTGCCTCCCAAGACAGGAGGCTCTCTCCACCTTGGTAGTGTGAGGCAGAGTTGCGCGTCATGGGTTTGCTTGCAGTATTAAAAATGAAATGGGCTGTGTGGAGCATGCAGCAAAATGCTTCCGCTTCTTTGTATTATCTCAGCCCCTGGGCTATTCTTTAAGCCCAGACCTTGTCTCTAGGGAGCAACACAGGCATATTACAACACTGTTGTGAGCTTGGCAGCTGTTCAAATGTAGAACCCTCCTCCTCTTCTTTCCCTTGCACACCCTCCCCCTACTTTTGCTATGAAGAGTTCTCAAGGATGGGCTTTCTTTCAGTAGAGAGAATCATAGAATAACAGCAAGTGAGAATGGAAAAGCACGTTCATGAGCATATAGTTCAACTCTCACAATTTACATGTGCTTCAGAAGGGGCTCAGAGAAGTGAATGATTTCCCCAAGGCCACACAGCCAGGTTGCAGCAGAGCAAGGTCTAGGATTGAGTCTCCTGATTCCTAGTTCAGCATTGGGAAGGAAAAGAATGTGGAAGAGGGAGTCTTGTACCACATCACCAGCTACTTCTTTACTCTGAGTTCCACTCACTTGGGCCCTGCTAACCTATCTTGTTTTCAGCTGACTGTTAACTACCTAATCCCTGGCTAAAGCATGTCACCAACTCAAATAGCAGCTGGCGATGTTACATCTCTCAAAGAAGATTTTGTTATAATAGCAGAGGCTGGGGCATAAGATCGATGCACTGATGCTAAGGAACAAGGGAGGCCTTTTAGTTTGTCCTTCCTGTTTGCAGTATCTTTCTCTCCTCCCGGCTCAAATCAAGATCTTTGAATGAGAAGACCTACCTCTTCTCCATCACATACACACACAGATATCACCCCCACTGATAGCTTAGGAAGCTTCTTGTAACTCTAGGATAGGCTCTGTTTCCCAGTGAATGATCCACCCCCTCCCCGAATAGCTAGAGTCAGTTTTAACTGACTCATGTCACGTTTAAACTTCAACCCACGTGACTTTTTCCTTCTCTGGACTTCCATTTCATTAGAGAATGGATCAGTGACTGAATCAGCAAATTTGGGTGATTCCCAGTGTCCTATGCTGTTAAAACATTAAGCTGATGATGACACTCCTCTGCTTAAAATGCTCCAAAAGCTTTCCATTTTCACCAGAATAAAAGGCAAATTCCTTCCCTTGGCCTCAAGGCCCTGCATGCTGGGCCTTGCTCACCTCTCCATTTTCCCCTTATGCCCACTCCCCTTTGCAATGCATCTTTTCAGGAACTGAAAGCAGTTTCTCATCTCAGACTTTGCACATGCTCTTCCTTTGCCTAGAACACCACTCCCTGGCTTTTCAATGGACTAATGTCACATCGTGAGAGAAGCCTACTCCAGATCCAAAATTAGCTTCATTAGGCTACATGACACATGCTCTTTTTGTGCCACTTATCACATATGCTTGTTTGTGTTTTTGCTGATTTAACATTTTTCTCCCTACATAGACTTCTGCTCCATGAGGAGAAGGGCCACATCTTATTACTAAATACCTAGGCCTACTATTATGCCTGGCCAATCAATCTTAGATATATTTTTCTAATTGTCTCATCTCTGCCCCTTGCAATTTTTAATTTTCCCCAATCAGTTTGCAAACTCTTTGTGTTTAAGGGACCAAGATTTCTACTTCTTGTCTTTTTACCACAGTACCTAGTACAGGGCTTATTCAATAATTGTGCCTACAGCTTGAGGAGAAATAGAGAAATACGCACCCCCCCAACCCCCAACAAAAAAAGTAGACATTTCCTGACAATTAGGTACAGAGACACGTGGGGCAAGTAAATTCATTCTCAGTAGAAATGAGTTCATAAGACCTATATAATGTACTCCCAAAGCCAAGATTTGGTAATAATGTAGTCCCCAAATACCTGAAAGTTGTGTTTAAAAATGCAGGTAAGGCTGTAACTGAAAAAACAAAACAAAATCCAAATACTGTTTTTACTATATAGAAAAGGGACCTTGAGGATCACAGCTCAGTGAGAAGATGTTCCTCTAATTTTGTAGTTATTCCATGTAGAATGTAATATAATTTTTTTTGAAAAACTTTAATTTTTAGAGCCCTTTTAGATTCACAGCAAAATTAAGCAGAAAACTTAGGGCAGTATCATATACTCTCTGCCCCACACACCCACAGCCTCCCCACTGCACCCACAGCTTCCCCCACCAGAGTGGCACATGTGTCACAGTCAGTGGAGCTACATTGACATGTCATTATCACCCAAGCCCATAGTTTACATTAGGGTTCCCTCTTGACGTACATTCTATGGGTCTGGACAAATGGACGTGTCCACCATTATGGTATCATGTGGAGTAGTTTCGCCGTCCCTAGAATCCTCTGTGCTCTTCCCTCCATCTCTCCATCCCTAACCCCTGGCAACTGTTGATCTTTTTACTGTCTCCATAGATTTGCCTTTTCCAGAATGTCATATAGTTAAAATCATGTGATATGTAGTCTTTTAAGATAAGCGTCTTTTGCTTAGTAATATGCATTTAAGTATCTTCTGTTGATATAATTTTTTGAAGCTATAAGATTATCTAACCCAGCATTTCTTAAATGTGTGTTTCATTGGAAGGTCACTGAGCCTCTAGGTGAAAAAGTGATTGACGGCCAATTAGGTTGGAAAACCTGACTACCCTTTCCTCCTTTGGGAGGGCCAAGTTCACGTTGGCATTATTAGCATCATTTAACCCACGGTTTGCCTCAGAGACTGTTCCAGAAAGAACTATTGATCACTTGCTACAGGACATGGTCCACGAAGCCCTTATCTAACCCAGTGCCTTATTTTTTATCCCCTTTTCTGTTTTGATTCCTGCCCAGACAGTGGCTCCCTTACATTATCTTTGACTATCCTGGTGGAAATAGTACCAGAAAGTACTTCATAAAGCGGTATTTTAGCAGTACCACATGTTCTGTGCCAAATTTATCTGTCCAAATGTTGCTGTGGTAACAACACAAACAGCCAAATACTAGATAACACAAACTGGCAGGGAGAACAAAAATTCCTTTTAATAAATTCATGGTTGCCTTAGACAAACCAAGCACATTCACGGTATGTTAATTTAAGGTTGTGTAGGAATTGTGAAGTGGTTAAAGACAGACTCACAAGTCTGAAAGTTTACCACTGACTGATGCTACTGGAATAGATTCATGCATATGTCTATTCATATTGCATGGTTGTTGGTCATTTGAGTACGTGTCAAACAAGCTAACACCGGAAACTGGCCAATATCTGCTAATTTTGTGCAAGTCTGATACCATATTGATATTTCTGCTCAAGTTTGGTAGCTGGTCCATTCCTCCTCTGTCGTCTGAAGTAGGAGCTCTTATCATGTCATCTATTAGCAGTTGCCCCAGTGGAAAATGTTCTGCTGTTCCATGCTCTGAGTACATCCTCTTCCTTCTGTCTGTGACATTCTTCTTCCTCTTGACTGAAAAACATTCATCCTTCAAGGCCCAACCTAGGTGTCTCTTTTTGGTGAACATTTGTGGGACTCCACCCTACCGTCTTCCACAGAACCTTCTGTGTAGAACCTTGTCTGATTTGTAATTATAGCTTTCATCTTTCTCATTGTTTCACAATTTCTTGTCATGCTAGAATGCAAATTTCTTAAGGATAATTACAACATCATATTTCTCTACCCCAGAAATCAGCCCCATCCCTGGCGCATAGTAGACATTTTATAAACATTTGTTCAGTGAATGAATGAAAGAATGGATAAATCAATCACTCAAGTATATAAGTCCTTAAAATCAGCAATTAATGTTGGGACTATGAAAAAACACAAGTCTTGTTGATTGCTTTTTAGGCTCAATAAGCATCAATTTGATGAGCTAATCCTTTCAAGTATAATACCCATAATTTAGATTTTTAGGTTTCCAACGAAATGATCGAAACAGGCACACACAACTAATTCTCCTCCTAGTAACAAAAGCTTGTTGTTTCACAGTCTTAGCTACAGCAAGGCATAAGTACACTTTTTTTTTTTTTTTTGGCTAATTAACTCCGTCTTCCCTCAAATGTTTAGGAGTTGTTTCTTAACATATAAAAATGACTTTATAAAGTTAAGCAAGAGTTGAGGTTTAGGGAAACAATATAGGCATTTGCTTTTCCTCTTTTTTACCATTAGCTATGTAAAATGTCTCTCAAATTTTCTGGGTTTCATTACAGTTCACTTTAGTGCAGAATACGGCATGAGATGGTAATAGAGCATCTTGTTCTGTTGAATAAAAGAGTTGAGGGAGAGAATGTTGAAGTTTTCCTGTATGCCTTTCTTTGCTCCTCCTTTGTTTTTTCTTTCCCTACAATAACACATAAGGCCCATCAGAGGAAGGCTGTTGTCTTGTTTGGTTCCTGCTATATTCCCAATACCTAGTCAGTGTCTGGTATATGGTCATTTCTTCAAAAATATGCTTAGAACAAATATGTGCTGACAGATGTGGTCAGAGTAGGAGAGAATAAGAACATGAATCACAGTAGTGACCCTGGAGAGAAATGGAAAACTGGGATGATGAGCAATCAGTGCAGATGTAGTGCTGACTGCCCTGGGAACTGATTAGATAGAGGGCACTGGGAAAGGAAGGAGTTAAAGTAACAGCGAAGTGTGGAGCCTGATGGATTGAAATGATGAGCAAAGAGAAATGAAGTTGGGAGCAAAGCTGTGATCTCTGATTTGGGTACGTTGAGTTTGAAGTTCCGGTGGGAGATAGCCACAAGACAATTAAAAAAGTGAAACTAGGTCCGGCGCGGTGGCTCACGCCTGTAATCCCAGCATTTTGGGAGGCCGAGGCGGGCAGATCATGAGTTCAAGAGATAGAGACCATCCTGGCCAACATGGTGAAACCTTGTCTCTACTAAAAATACAAAAATTAGCTGGGCGTAGTGGTGCACCTGTAGTCTCAGCTACTTGGGAGACTGAGGCAGGAGAATCGCTTGAACCCGAGAGGTGGAGGTTGCAGTGAGCCTAGATCCCGCCATTGTACTCCAGCCTGGTGACAGAGCGAGATTCCGTCTCAAAAAAAAAAAAAAAAGTTAAACTAGAGCTTAGAGTAGACGTCAGGAATGGATATACGGATACTATAGTCAAAATCATAAATGTGATAGATTGTGAAAATAAAGACAAAAAAAGACAGGGAGCCCCAGGTTATATCCTTGGAGGATACATACATTGTTGGGAGGCATGGGGAGACTAAAAACTAGAAGCATTATCAGAGGTGTGCAGGTCTAAGAATTAAAAATGGGAGAGGCTTTTAGGATGAGTACTTTGTCAACGGTGTTAAGGGCGGCAGAGAAGCTCATGGTGATTGTGTTAAAAAATGATTATAGAGTTTTGTGTTTAAAATATGTATATTTGTTTACTATGATGGTAGCAGGTTCCATAAAATAATGAGTAGTGGGCAGAATCTAGATTGCTAAAGGACCGTTCAATGCTTATCTAAGATACTTCATATTATTTTTTGTAGCTTATAATAGATGTTCAAGAAATACTTGTTTGGGAGTGAAATCAACATTCACATTCTTTTTAGAAGCAGCTATTTTTGTTTGGAGAGTACTTTCTGATACTGCCTCTGGAACAACTTTAATGAAAGTAGAGTCCAGCACTTACCTGAAGTTGTGATTATCTACAACCATCTGCAATGTGGTTCATCTCTAGTTTTCACTTGGAGCCTCACTGGATGTCAAGCTGCAGGCTGCTAAGAGCAATCAGCTGGGCAGGTAGAAAATTATGTGTATGTGAGTCTAAGTATATTTATATTGACCTGGTAGATGCCTAAATCTCAAAAGAATTTTAAAATTATGTCATGTTTTATGTAATGGAAAATTATCAATTTTATTTGTAAATTATTTCTGGAAGTTTGCTGAAAATAACATAAGCAGTGGCTTAGCCCATAGGCTTGGGGTTAGATGTGGGGGGTGCAGAGAAGAATCTGATTTACTGTGTAGCCTGTAGTTACTTGATTTCACCACTAGATGGTGATCTTGTATTAGCCTGGCAAGCTGCCCACTAACAAAGGGTGGCATACAGTCGACTGCAGGTGGTTGAAACCTATTACATTGACATAGAGAAGCTTTTTTGGTGTTGTGAAATGGTTGATACTTGAAGTAATAAAAATTAGGGAATGTTAGTGTCCTTCTGACTATACAGACTATGATGAACTGAGAACACTTGAGTACCTGGTTAGAAACCTACAGTGGGGGAAATGGGGAGAATACTGTCTTAGGAAGCACAAAATCTGCATTCTAGTTCACCTGTTGCTGCTTGTAGCATATTTGGGAAGTCATTTTCCTTCCAAGGGCTTCAGCTACTTCACCTGTAAAATGGGAGATGATGATATCTACCTTGTCAGCGGCTGTGCCAGTTTTCCCCAAGACCTTTTCCTGTTCTTTTAGTGGTGGGGAAAAAGAGGTGGAGGTGTAGTGTGTCTACAGTAGGAGAAGAAAGAAGGCACTGAGGAATCTTGGTTGGTCTTGGTCTACTTTTTTTCTAATTTTAACTTTCTTCCTTGGTCACGTGGATGGAGTCTTAGTAAAAGATCTTTCTCTCACTGGGAGAACCGGGAGTGAGAGTCTTTGCTACAGACTGAGAGTAGAGAAAGGAATAGAGGAAAAAACTGAAAGGGAAAATGTTCTATAAAGGCATTGTGGGGTGTGTGTGTGTCTGCATGTGTGTCTAGAGCCACAGAAAGGTGAAGTAGAAGATGTTCATTGTTGGGAATTCCATTATTATTATTGATTAGTTGAACCCCCTTAGTTGTCACTGAAGCCTCATAAAAAGCCATGATGATGGTCTTGTGTTCCAATTTTACAGTTGAGGGACATAAGGAGGGCTTATGATACATCTTTATTCAATGTTAAGGCCTTATTTTCAATCTGAGAGTCAATATAATAAATAATGGCAGTGGGTTTTATTTCATGCTTAATCAAAGGGCCTTGTATGAGGGACATCTTAGCCAGTTATGCAGAAATAAATTATTTGGCTTATAAATTGATACTATTTTACTAGGAGAAAATAATGTCCTTAGTGGGGTAAATTTCTTGGAGGCTCAAGTTATAACTGTTTTTCTCAGTTTTTCACAGGATGCTTTTCAAATGATAAATAGCCTTTGGCAGAGAAAAGGAATTTGATTCTGTCCTCTCTAATCCAGAAATTCCATAATGGAGCCACAGAAAGCGTCTTGCTCGGTTTCAGAGTAATTAGTGATTACCCAGAATTACTTGAAGGAACTGGATTGTATCCTTTCTGATAGGAGAAGCCATGAAAGACTTTATCCTAACCATTCTATATCTTCTTATTAGAATAGAATAGAATCAAAATAGATGAAGATTTGATCTTTCCTGGAAGGAAAGGAACAGCTAAAGAGAGACGGGAGTTTGAAAGCATATGCTGAGAGAAAAAAATGAATTAAATTATGGCAGGAACTGTACCCTATAGAGGATATGGTTTTGTGACTGTCTATTCACTCCTCTCATGAGTTTCTGCCTTTGAGAAATTTTCGTTGTTTTGTTTGTTTTGAGATAGGGTCTCACTTTGTTACTCGGGCTAGAAATAGACTACAGTGGCATGATCATAGCCCACTGTAACCTTGAACTCCTGAGCTCAGGTGATACTCCTCCTGCCTCAGTCTCCCAAGTAGCTGGGAATACAGACATGTACCACAACAACCAGCTAATTAAACATTTTTTTAAAAAAGACAGGGTCTTCCTATGTTGCCCAGGCTGGTCTTGAATTCCTGGCCTCAAGCAATCCTCTCTCCTCGGCCTCCCAAAGTGCTGGGATTATAGGCATGAACCACTGTGCCTGCCCTGAGAAATGGCTAAAAGTAGTCAAATATTCTCTCTAAAGTACTCCTGGTGAACTTTGATCAAACTCAATTGATTCTGAAACTCTCTCTTTGGTTTGACGATGGTCAGGAAAGCTGTGTAGGCTGAGTTCAGCTAGAACATACTTAGCTCTGTACTTAGCCAAGATAAACTTTTTAAAATAAATTGTAAGAGATAGGGTATTAATGACAAAGTTTTTGTTATGTAGCCTTACTATTTTTGGAGTCCCACATGGCTCAAGTCTTTGCAAATTGTTGGTTTTCTTTTCTGAACCCAACAATGGAGAACAGCAGCAGGGAAAACGCTGGCAGATCTCAACCATTTTTATTAGCTAACATGAAAATGTGAGAACTCTTAGGAAGATGAATGTGTTTGGCTGCCAGGCTGGGAGAAACGACAGCCTGGAGAGGAGGAAAGCCAGAGACATCCGGGTGGCAGAAAGCTTTCTAGTGTTTCCTTTCTTTTCCCCACAGTACTCTGGGTGACCGGTTGCCTAGATCTATGGGCAGGAAAGCAACAGAATCAGGCAGAAGTGGCAGGGTAACATCAGGGCAGCTCTGGAGTCAAAATGTGAAGCTAGTAGTGACAACACCTGGATGTCCCCTGAGCATTCTTGCCTTCTCCTTCCACCAAGTGGAGTAGGAAATTACACAGGCTTTTTGTTCTTAAGAACACGCCTGGTGATGAGAGGCCAGAGAGTGTTTGGTGGAGTGGTGGTGGGGTTTGGAGGATGGCTGAATTCATGTTGCAACCTTTGAGACTTTCTGCCTTGAAGACCATCCTCCTCCAACTCACATAGAGAAAAGGGCAAGGCCTAAGTGTTTACCCCTCTCCCACATAGACATCATTTGCAAAAGCAGTCAATAGTCTAAAGAAATAAAAGATGAGCTTACGAGGAAAAATGGTAAGATGTGAATAGTAAGAGTTCCGTGAAAGTAATTTAACAAAATAAATAAGCTAAACCAGAGGAAACAGAATGGACAATAATTTAAAAAAAAGAAGGTGTAGTAATTATCCTTAGAAACATAAAGGAGACTCTTGAAACAAACAGGGAGAAGAAAATATGAAGAACAAATTGGAGATATTGAGGGTCTAAACATAATTGCTGAGATTGCTCAATAGATGGGCCACATATCAGAATGCATACAGCAAAATAATATATCAGTAGACTGAAATATTGAGGCCGGGAACTTCCTCAGAAGACATTGGAAAAGGATAAAGAGATAGAAAGAATGCAAGTCAACAAATATGGAGGACTGAAGTTGAAGTGTAAGTATCCTTCCAAGAGCATCGTGTAGGAAGAAAAATAGACCTCAAATGGAAAGGACACAGAGTGCTGAACAGGAGAGGTGACCTCCTCACATAGAAATGTTCTACAGTAACATTAAAGAATATTAAAAATAGAACATTCTAAAAGGCTTCAAGATAAAAAGCATATTACCCAAAAGGAACATGAAAATTAGATTACAATCATAGTTTTCAGCAGCTACATTAGATGTGGGAAAGCAATGAGTTAATATCTTCAAAGTGTTGAAGAAGAAAAGAAGACAGTAAAACTAAAATTTCATGATGGGCCAAATTATTACTATAATGTGAAATTGAAATACACATAATTACTATCATTTTGAAAGAACTCCTGGAGTTAAGTGAATTAAGTGAATTTTGGATGAAGCAATTAAATCCAATTAAATCCAAAAGGATGCAATGACTCCAGGAGGAAAGGTGAATAAATAATGAACAAACACAGAATGCACATTATTTTGAGTACACAAAGATTTATTTTTAAAAATTAACCATGAAATTATCCCACAAAAGATTTATCATTGAATCCAAAAAGTCAGCCTCAGACCCGTTTTTCAACTATAAGGAAACAGTTCAACAATCAGAAATAATTAAAAGCAACTTATATATTTATTGGCATTTCTTAAAGAATGGTGCAATGGTCATTCTCATATGTGTCTTCTTGTGCATAAGACTAAGTCTTCCTTGGGGCATATTCCCAGAAGTGAATATTCTAAGTCTTCCTTGGGGCATATTTGGCCAGAGTGCAGTGGTGCGATCTCGGCTCACTGCAACCTTGCAACCTCCACCTCTTGGGTTCAAGCAATTCTTCTGCCTCAGCCTCCCGAGTAGCTGGGATTACAGGCACACACCACCACACCCAGGTAATTTTTGTATTTTTAGTAGAGATGGGGTTTCACCATGTTGGCCAGGATGGTCTTGACCTCTTGACCTTTTGATCTGCCCACCTTGGCCTCCCAAAGTGCTGGGATTACAGGCATGAGCCGCCACCGTGCCCAGCCGATAAGCGCATTTTTACTATAGCCAAATTGATCTCTAAAGTTCTATAAATCCCTACCCATGAAGTAAAGTTTGGAATTTCATTGAATTGTATTGAATTTATACATTCATTTGGGAATGAATTGATACATTTGTAGTATTGAAAATTCACATTGATGAACGTAATTTATCTCCTCGTTTACTTAGGCCTTCTCTCAATAAGTTTTACGTTTTCTTGTGAAAGTCTTGTCCTTATTGTATGTACTCTTGGGTACCTTACAGTTATTGCTATTGTGAGGATTTTTTTCCCTTTTTCTACTATATTTTCTAATTGTTACTAAAGGAACACAGTTAGATTTCTTTTGTGGACTTAAAATAAGTTGAGGTATAATTTACATACAACAAAATGCATAGATATTAAGTGTTCATTTGATCGGTTTGATAATTCTTTACATCTGTGTAACTGCCACACAAAACATAGACTATTTCCGTTATTATAGACAGTGCTCCTTTTCAGTCAACCCTCTATCCCTGAGATGACTGCTTTTGGACTTATATCATTGTGCATCAGTTTTTCCTGTTCTTGAACTTTATATATATGGAAAAATACAGTATTTACTCTTTGGCTCTGCCTTCATTCACTTAATATAGTGTTTTTGAGATTGAGTCATCATTATGTGCTGTATATCAGTAATTTATTCATTTTTTATGGCCGAGCAGTATTCCATGGTACAAATATACCACAATTTATTTATCTATTCACCTTTTGATGGACATTTGGGTGCTTTTCCAGTTTTTGGTTTTTATGAATAAGGCTGCTGTATACCTTTTTGTTATGTACATTCAAAATTTCTCTTGTGTAAGTAACTAGAAGAGGAGCTGCTGGGTCCTAAAGTAGATGTGTTTGCCCTCCCTTATTTGTTGGGTTATCTTTCTATTGTTTATTTGCAGGAGTTCTTTATGTATTCTGGATATGAGTCCTGGGTTAGAGGTGTCTTAAGTGTTTTTTCACAGGTTTGCCCTGCCTTTTCATTTTCTTAATGTGTCTTTTGATGAACAGAAATGTTTAAACTTGATCAAGCCCAATTTATCAATTTTTTATATATTAATGCTTTTTGAGTTCTGACTAGGAAATCTTGGCTTGCTATAAACTTGTAAAGACAGTTTTACAGAAAAGTTTTATAGTTTTAGCTTTCAGAAGCTAAAAGATCTATTTCTATCTTTATTGTGTTTTCATTCAGTCATTGCCATTTCATTTTTAGCATATATTCCTAACTAAAATATTTTGTCTACATCTAAAGTTATTATATCTCTTTCCTTATCCAAAGCATCACAAGGCCTTATATCCTTATCTCTTATAGTCCCCATTTCCCTATGGCTTTACTTTTCTTCGCAGGTCTGGGGTGGACAGCTCTTGCAGTCATTGCCTTCTGGAAAACCATCTCTGTCCTTGCATTTGAACAATGTTGGCAGAAAGGGTCACAGTTGTGCCCTCTGGGGTTACAGCTGCATTTTGCTAAGCTGATTTCTGTTGATAATCATGCCTTGCTGCTGGGTCCTCTGTGACTGACTGTCAGACAGGGGCTCACACTGGGCTCTGGCGCAGGAGGAGTGTGAGTCACGTGACATGGCTGGGTTGCTGTTTAATGCTCCTTCATTTCCTTTTGGCTGTTTCTTCTCCTTAAGCACCCACGTCCCCAAAGCTTTAATGCTGCCCGTCTGGCTGCCTAGTAAGCACTGATTCCACATGGATTCACTCTGGCTCCCCAGTGCCCTGACTCTTCCAGCTGCATCACACAAGCGCTGTGTGCACCCATTCCCTAAGGGTAAAGTGATGTGGTGGAAGGAGCTCAGCTAATTAAATCCCATTAGTTAGAGACTGTTCCCAACAACATTTGTATTCCAGCTGGACCCATATTCATGATGTTTGGGCAGTTTCTGACATTCTTTCACATACTCCAACTCACACATTCTTTCCAAAACAGGGTGAAGGGTAGAGTTCAAACTTCAAGCTAGTTCAAACTAGGACTTTGGACATGTTTCACGCTCTTTCCACCATCATGCATCTGATTGATAGGATGGGGATTTCAGGTGTTGTGAGGTACTGATATGAAGGTGATATGAAGGAGATTGTTTTTTGTTCTTTTTTTTTTTTTTTCATTTTATGGAGTCTTTCTGTCGTTGCCCAGGCTGGAGTGCAACGGTATGATCTCAACTCACTACAACCTCTGCCTCCTGGGTTCCAGCAATTCCCCTGCCTCAGCCTCCTGAGCAGCTGAGATTATAGGCACCCACCACCACACCTGGCTAATTTTTGTATTTTTAGTAGAGATAGGGTTTCACCATGTTGGCCAGGCTGGTCTCGAACTCCTGACCTTAGGTGACCCACCTGGCTCGGCCTCCCAAAGTGCTGGGATTACAGGTGTGAGCCACCGTGCCCGGGCCATGGGGGAGATTTTGAATCAGTGTGAGGAAGCAGGTAAGGGAAAGAAGAGAACGGAGGGGGGTGCGAGGGGTGGCGAGTAGTGAGCTTCAACCTCCTTGGAATCTCAAGTAGAGGACACTGCTGAACAGACATCTAACCTGTAGATCACAGTGACCTAACTAATTCATCCACAGTTGGCAAAGTACACTTTAATTGTAAATTTCCTTCCTCTTTGGTCATTAAGTGATATAAGCACAGACCTGCTTTTCATTCTATTGAGGCTGAGAAACATTATAAGGATTCTGCAGCATCTTGGGGAAATAATCTGAGAGTCGTAGGCAATGGTAAGCTTTGCAGATATTTACTAGAGTTGGAGTAAGTGGTAGAATACATGAAACCAGAATTGGTTGCCATATATACTGCAGAGGCCCACTGGAGGGTAGAAGGGGTTGTGGAAAGTCTAGTGCTTTGCAACTAGGCAGATCCTTGACCATCCTGTCTCAGGTAGCATCCACTCCTTCCCAGATTCTCCTGATGATATCCCTCCTTCATTTACTTATATTAATAGCACTGTCCCAATCTGTTATATTGCTTCTTTCTTGTTGTTTATTATCTGTCTTCCCCACCAGAATGCAAGCTCCATTTGGGCAGTGGCCACCTTGTTTACTGTGTACCTGTCTGTATCCATGAAGTCTGACATAATGCCTGGCATATATTATGAGCTCAATAACTATTGAGTGAATGAAATAATGAGAAAATCCTGTTTGATCACTTGCCAGCCATATAATGCTAGTCAATTTTTTCCACTTCAGTTTCTGCATCTGTGAAACTGGATAACACAAATGCTCACCTTGTGGCATTGTTGGAATAATTACCTGAAATCATGATGTAAATTCATAGCATAATATTGGAAGTGTTAGGGCTCAGAATGTGATACCCCACAGTATGGTGTCTTGGTGTGATGAGTGCTTTGAACTGAAGGAAACTGAAAGAGCTTCAGAAACAAAGTCTTTCTGGCCTTCTCCCACCTTTCTTTCTCCTGCTCTCCTTTCTTCCCCAAGGCAGACCAGAGAAACTAGAATTCCTTTTCCCCAAGGTGGGTCATAGAAACCAGAGCTCTTCCCTAAAGACAGCCATAAAACCTAGACATATTACTCTAACGTTCCCCTGCCTTTCTGTGTAGGGGCTGGCCATAAAGAAATTCTCTGACCTAACTTGTCTGATACATGATCATGAGACCCTCATTCCAGAATGAGTCCTGCCCTAAACCCAGGAGAAAGAGCTGCCACACAGAGAGGCAAAGAAGAATGTGAACAGACAGGTCTTGCGGGGTTTCCTCCCTCTGCCTGCTACCATTAGACCATACCCTTTTTGTCCAATCAAATTTGACACAGCTGTCTGTTCTTCACTGAATCTGAGCATACAAATGGACAATTTTCCTTGATATTTGGGTCTTCATTTCTTAAAGCTCCTGTGACGTGTACAACTTTGATCAAATAAATTCGTACGTTTTCTCCTATTAATCTTTCTCTGCCAACCCTAGGCAGGTTGAGGAAACTTTCTCTTTGACAGGCACATCATAAGAGCTGAACTAATATTAGCTCCTTTATTTCCTAAGATGAACCTCTGTCTGAGTGCATGCCAGTCAGTAGAAGAAATCAGATGGGCTATTCCCATTTTGCCTCCAATGAATATATTGTTTTGAAGAAGGTAAATGAATGTGTAAAACTCCAGGCAGGGCATCCTTCTCTCTCATTGGGCACAGTGCCCTGCCTGGTAAAACTGAATTTGGTAAAACCTTCTGTGCTCTCATAGTAACTTGTTCAAATGACCACACAGATGGAATTATGTTTACTTGTCTATTTCCTGAGTTGGTCTGTGTGGGGGAAGGAAGATACTTTACTAATTTTGTAATCCTGCTGCCTAGCATGGTGCCTGCTTCCTAGTGCTTAGTCATGGACATTCAGTGAAAAGTGATATTTGAGCTGAGTTTTATAGATAAAGAAGGCATATCCAGCAGACAAATGCAGGGAGGGCCTAGGCAGGGCACATGGCATAAGCAAAGGCATGGCAGCCTAAAAGGCAAGGCATGCTCCAGGAGGAAAGTTGAGGAGGTTGGTAGAATAGCAAGGGAGGAGGGAGTCGGCTTCTGAAGGTGAAGATTTCCGAGGTGAGGGGACGATTTCTGGATATTTCAGGATTGGGATTGTCGCTACAAGTTACCCAGGTCTATTAAAGTGTAAAGCACTGGGAACGGGTAAGTCAAAGCATTGTGAGGCTGAGGTCCAGACTGGGTGATCTATGAGGATGCTGAAGTCATCAGGAAGGTGCAGAAGTGGGGAAGGAGATGGCAACTGAGTTAAGTGCCAAGGGTTCTAATAAATATGGAATGATCTGAATGGCAGAGCCATAGCCAAAGTGCATGTGTCCCAAGTGAAGGTGACAACACTGGCCTGCAAGCTGTGCTTTGAATGGTTTTCTCAGCAGTCGGCGAGGGAGAACACTGACTCATCTCTACTTCTTCATGAAGACCACCACTCACATCTTCAGGACTCAAGCAAGGGTACAAATGGAAGCCCTGCCCTGCAGAGCTCCTTTTCTGTGTGTGCCCTGGTTGCACTGAGCATGCATTATGCCACTCAGCCTGCACCTCTGAGTTCCATTTACACACTGCAAACAGCCATCCTTAGGCCTGTAGTGTGCACACTGTGGGTGTAATCCACCCTCGGGTGGAGAGGGTCAAGGCAAACCTTGAGTACTCAGGCAGGAGATTTTGGGGCCTCAAGTATCAGAACATGTTCAGTGCAAATTTGGGTGCTCATGTGCCGTTGGCCTCATGGGCTCCCAGATTCCTTGCCTATGGGTAAGGCATGGCCAGAGGAGGGCAAGAGAGAGCAGGGTCCTCTAAAGCATGGTGTCCAGGAAGGGGACCACATATCTGCCCTTAACTTGCTTCATTACAAACCAGCACCTAAATGTAAAATGCCTGATTGCAGCAGAGAAAATAGCCACGGCCAGGCAATGGTCTTATTCTCTTCCAGCAAATGGTCTCTTTTAGGGATGAACAAAGACATGCTTAAATTAAAGGTTATTCTCCTCTGGAGGAAACACCTTAGAGCTGTCAAATTCTTTCTTAACTACACTGGCTCACAGTCAAGTTTGGCCCATGAGTTAGGGCTCTCCTGAGCCACAGTACATTTCATTGACTTTTATTTTTCTCTCTTCCTGGCTTCTGCTGAGCTCAACTGCGTGCCAGTCAGGGGGTGCCCTGTGCTTGGGATCAGGAGGAGAAAAGGTATTACAGGGAATTAGAAAAAGCTCTGCTCACTGGATCACTGGGCTTTGCTTTGTGACTCTATTTTCCTTGTTCATCTGATTAAATTCACATCATCAAGGCTTCAGCATGGACAGTGAGCATCAGCTGTGTGAGAATACAGTCCCTGGTCAGCTGCTGGCCTGGTCTTGCTGCCAGAAGTGTCTGAACTAGGTTGCTGCCCTTATTCATGTTAAGGCTGGTGTTTCCAATACCTCTACTTTTATGTGACCCTGGGAAGTGGACACATTCAGTTGTGACAGTCATTAAAGAGACAGTCCAGACTGGAACCAAGGGATTTGAATTCTGCGCTTATTCTGTCATTGTATAGGTGCACAACCTAGAGAGGTCACTTAACCTTTGAATGCTAATTTCTTCTTTTATAACAAGGAAACCCTGTCCTCCTTTCTACCTCACAGGAATGTTTTGAGGATCTAATGAGCCAATGCAAGCCAAAGTCTTCTGGAATTTGTAAAAAAAACCCATTGAAATATAGGAGATTATTATCACCGTGGTGTGAACCATGTATCATATTCTTTAGAAAGTGACAGCCCCACAGGAGAGCAGCTTTGCTGTGGGGTGGTTGGAGAGATGATGGCAGGAGAGAATTAGAGTGAGGGCTGGGAAACCAGGAGAGAGTGGAAAAGGGGGAGGATTAGGTGCAGCAAGCTGTTAAAAGAAATGAAAAGTGACTGAAATTCAAAATTTCCTAGTGTTAAATACTAGGCTAGGCAATCTACACACACAAGCTCAATTAATACTTATTACAACCTTTCAGGTGTCTTTTTTTTTTATTCTTAATCACCCTGCTTCCACCCTTTTAGAAATAGAGAAATTGAAATGATATAGCTTCCTGTACTTTTTTGTCTTCATTTCTTGCTACTCTCCCTCACCCCTTTTTCTCTGCTCCAGCCACACCGATCTTGTTTTTCTGGAGCAAAGCAGGTTTACTGTCCCTGGGCTTTTGCACTTGCTGTTCCCTTTGCCTGGAGCACTCTTCCCTCAGTATCCACACGTCTCACTTTCCATTCCCTCCAGGTCTACTCAAGTCACGTTCTCAGGGAGGCCCCCAATGTCGCACATCATATCCCTCTTCCCTGATTTATTTTTTGTCACCAGCACTTGTCACTGCCTAGCACCAATGCATTTTACTGAGTTTGTATGTCATTGGTCACCTCTACTAGAATATAGAGTCTCCAAGGACAGAAATTTTTTATTTACTACTTTATATCCAGTGACTGGAATAGTGCTTGGTTTAAAGTAGGCACTCAATAAATATTTGTTGAATGAGGGAATGCATAAGTGGAAAATAGAATTGTGTGGGCTTGTTCAGAGTTAGTTTTTGATTTCTCTAGGTGGCTCCCAGTGATATAATTTACCCCAACACCAAATATTTTTATAGTTCCAAATACTGACCCTTATCTCTTTGGTTAGACTCCGTCTCACTTTTTGAACTAGATCTGGGGGCCCCACACCATGGTATGTAGAGCCCTGGGAAACCTAGA
The DNA here is from genome assembly GCF_000001405.40 of Homo sapiens. Lineage (NCBI taxonomy): Eukaryota > Metazoa > Chordata > Mammalia > Primates > Hominidae > Homo > Homo sapiens. Next base: position 48,958,035 of record NC_000002.12, read on the forward strand.
CCATCATGATATGTCCATTGGGCTTTTCTACTGGGATCTAAAACTGAGCTCATTCAGTGTTTTGAATTGAACTCTTTGCAACAAGTTGGAAAGGTTTTCTTAAGACAAAGATAAACAAGTATCTGCACAAAGGGACATGATCAGGGCATGGCTTTCTTTCACATTGCCCCTTTCCTTGATATTTGTCTTGCCATTCTCTCTTTTCCTCATGTCTCCTCCTTCCTATCCTAGTGCATTTCTTTTCTTACTTCTTTTTCCTCTTGTCTCTTTTCTTTCTTTTTTTCCTTTTCCATTCCTATTCCCAAACAGGATTTCATGGACAATGTGTGACTCCAATGGTTGCCTTTAGATCTGAGTAGTCTCTAAGGTTTGTTTCAGGGAGGGATGGAACAGACTACATGGAGAGGAGGAGCTGCACTGCAGGTTATAATGGAGGGAGGGTGACAGAGGAATGAAGACAGGAGATGTGAGGTGTAAAGGTGCCATATGTATTCTGACCTTGAATCCCACTGGCTTCATCCCATGAGAGAGGATTTGGGTTGGCTCACGTTGGAGGATGAGGTTGCCTACCCATTCATTCCCCCTCTTCTAGTACCTGCTTCCACATTCCTGACTGACAGAACTTGCCTTTCACTATAGAGGCTGAATGTGGCAGAGGCTCATTTTGTGACCTCTCTTGCAACCAGGGCAGCAGTCCTGGATAGTGAATAGAAAGGAGGCTTTCTCATGGCCTTTAATGAGACATTCTATTCCCTTTGAAAAGAGAGATGCACAGAAGAAAAGACATCTCTTCTTTGTTTCTGGATTTGGTCATGTCTGCTTGGGGCATCTGGAACTGCTATAGCAACCTACTATCATGAGGGAAGACATGGCTGAAGACTCCAAAGATGACAGAGCAAAAAGATGGAAAGGTCCTGGGTCTTTGAGATCATTGAGCTGCCAATCCAAGCCTGGAACATTTTATATAACTGGCCTTACTGTTTAAGGCTTTTTTAAAATAAGAGTTCTGCTTCTTGCCACTGAAAGCACTTTGATGAGGGTCAGCAAATACCACCTTATAGTTGAGCTTTATTTTGTGTGGACGTTTATTTAGTCTCTTTAATGGGTTCAGTTATATTTTAAACAAACAACACATCCTATATATTTGTCTTCTTTCTTCAATGTCCCTTAGTATGTAGTAGCTGAAAGTTTATTCCCTGCTTGTGCCTTTACAAACTTTCCTAATAAAATACTTTATGAACCTGAAGGTTGTGGCCATCAGTTTCAATGATCTTTTTCTGATTTTTCTAATGCCATGTGATACTGACCTAAATAAGGTGTAGTGCTGCCTGTGGTAAGAGTTGCAGTATCTTAGTGATGCAAGTGCAGGGGGCTTTTTCTCTTATTCTCTTCCTCCCTCCATTTGCTCTTGCAGAAACAAGGTATGAAGGGTTCCCCATGATCAGCACATGGAGACTTTTAGTGAAATAGTACTCTCCAGTGCCCCCCATTCCATCCCCTTCACCAAAACTAATGCATCTGTATGTGACAAGATAAAAATTTTTGATCAACTTGTGTACCTAGTTCATCTCTTCACTCTGACCCATTCACTCTGGATTTATCCATTCAGTCACCTTGCTCCAACCCCACCAAGGAGGATCCTACCTTGTCAGATTTTCTTGGGATTTAGTCAAAGGAGTATATGGAGGAAAGTTGGTGGAGAAGGGAAGACAAAATGAGAGGCTTTCCAGGATGGGGCTGAATAAATTTATGATGAGTGAAAATCTGAGGAAATAGACATGGGAGCAGGTCCAGTGTGTGGTCAGGGATAGGAGGCAAAGATTTCATTTTGCACCAGGATGGCCAAAGCCAATATCCATCATGAGAGATCAGTATTTGTATTGATATTTTCAGTATTACCCATGGAGATATGGGTACTTTAAGTAATCTCTGGGAGCTATTGTCCTCTTCATGGTTTTTGAGATTTGCAATACAAACTTAAAAAATAGAAAAAACAAACTTGTATTAATCTGAAACTTCGTGCACGCGCGTGCGCGTGTGTGTGTGTGTGTGTTCCCTCTGGGTCACCACTATGGGACTGAACTGCCACTCCAGGAGGTACAACTTTAGGGGTGTTACCTGTATAATCACCTTTAGGGGGAAGAGTGATTTCAATGGTTTTTATTATAATACAGGAAGTGTAGGATGTTTTTCTTTCCCTTTAGATTTGTCTAAAGGGTTTAGAAGCACTGAGTTTAGCTACCCATAAATATGTTTGCTTATTTGAGAAAAGTCTCATCTCTTACCAGGAAGTATTATAGTGATGGAAAAAATGTCTTCTGAGTGTCTCTTGCTGTATATTTGTCTCTGAGCACATTCTTGCCTCTCAGAGCCATGATTTCTTAAACCGATGTGTCATCAGCAGCTATGTTGTGGAATAATTAATACTCTATCGTATTTTTAATTTAGCTGCAACTTGCTTTTGAGTCCAAATTCAGAAATACATTGCCTCTGGTCAAAAATAAGGAAGATGAATGACTGCAGATGGAGCTGGGACAGCCCAGCAGTGCAGCAAACGAGTGTGTGGGGGCTGGGGAGAAAATGCTAGCTGAAAGCCCTGCATTTTTGTATAGTTCTAGATCAGTGCCCTCCAATTGAAATAAACTGCAAGCCATAAATGCAAGCCACATAAGTAATTTAAAATTTTCTTGTAGCTACATTAAAAAATGTAAAAATAAATAAGTGAAACTAATTTTTAAATGTATTTGTCCTGATACCTCCAAAACAATATTGTCCTAGTATGTAATCAATAAAATAATTATTGAGCTATTTTATGATTTTTTATATGAAGTATTTGGAATCCCATGTGTATTTTACACTTACAGCACATCTAAATTCAGGCTAGCCACGGTTCAAGTGCCCAGTAGCCACATGTGGCTAGCAGCCACTGTGCTAGACAGTAAAGCTCTAGACTCTTTACAAGGACAATTATTTTATTTTGCACTTGATGCTCACAGTATATCAAAATGGTGCCAGGTCAGATGGGAAGAGACGATTGCTTTTTCTTCTGGCTCTCTAAGGACTTCCTCCAAAATGCTTTTGGGATCAAGTTTTTAAATGTTTGCCAAAGGGTAAGAGGAGGAAGGGCTGGCTTCTGACATAGAAAGAGAAGACGCAGAGCTTTGTCTGCTAGCCAAGGCACAGAGCTTGGTGGAATTTATAGTTGATATTTATGACCGAAATTATCCAGATGGGGTCATTTATAAAATAGATGTGGGTAGTATGGTTATTTATTGAGAGCAATATGCTATAATGGAATGAGTTCTAGACTGAGGGTCAGGAGAGGGCACTAGACCAGGCACAGGTCTGGGAGGAGAGAAGTGAACTAACGTTTACCATGCCAGTTACAGCACTAGGCTCTTCACAACCATTTTCTTATCTACTTCTTACAATAAGCTCAAAAGTTAGCTATATAACCGTCTCTAGTTTACAGAAATGGCAGCTGAGCCTAGTGAGGTCAGGTCCTGGCTTATTATGGAGTCCTAATAAAATCGCAGTGCTGTCTGATTCCAAACTGCTGTGTTCTTAACATTACGATCCATATGCATGTCATATAATAGGTGTTAGGGTTCAAGTAGAGAAGCAGAACCAGTGATATATTTGCATGCATGTAAATATATATAGGTGGTAAATATTTGTTACAGGCTCACACAGTTGTGGGGAGCTGGTTAACCTGTCTTTGTAAGGATGTCTCCACAGCTGATGCCAGAACTAGAAGTCCTCAGGGTGGGCGATCATAAAGGGAAGATCACAGCATGCTGGAAGCAGCAGCACAGGTAGAACTCCACAAGCACACCCTGAGCCCTGCTTACATTCTTGTTGCCTCTGACCTTGGTGATGAAAGTGCCGTACAGAAGTTGGAGCCTTTATCATGGAGCTTAACAAATATACCTGGCCCAGGACGAGTCTGAGAACCTGAAGGAGGATCCAGGGAAAGGTGGAGCAATTGGAGACCCAGCCGTTGCTTCACAGCAGTGAGCTGAGTCAGCATCAGCAACAGAGTGTGCTGAGCTACAAAATGGCTGCCATTTTCCTCTGCCCTCCTGTTTTCCTAGAGTCCTCACTATGGCCCACACTAACTGGAAACACATGAGGAAGGGAAATCTGGGAAATGTATTTCAGCCTATCCACACTGACGCATTACAAAGGCTTCAGATGGGTGTTCAATTAATATTTGTTGAATGAATGAATGAATGAATACCATGGTGCTTCTCTGGGAAATTCTCTGGGAGTCGGAATACCTAATCCTGGCTCTGCCTCTTACAAACTAAACAATTTTGAACAAGTCACTTAACTCTTTGAGTCGTGGTTTCCTCATTTGTAAAACTCCAAGAATAATCCCTGTCCTGCTTATTTAACAGGGATCACTTGAGATATCTGAACAAAAGCACTTTGAACATAACGTGCAAAAATAACATATATAAGGATAAAATATGTAATACAGTATTGCATTCTTTAATTATTATTGTTGTTACTAATAATTCAGCTTCCTAATGTATCACATGGAATTAATAGTTCCTGACCAATTTACCTTAAAGGTATGCCAGGAATATTAAATTAGATGAAATGTGTAGAAGCACTGTCAGCTCTTTGTGACATACCCTTCAAAGGCAAGACTGAATTATCATTCAATACTCAGATACATTTTCACATTGTGTTTTAGTTTTGGGCTAAATGACTTAGAGGGACAAGTATGTAAGTGGAACCACTGGTGACTCTGGGAGCTGAAGAGCAGTGGCCATTCCTTGGATGGGTGTTGTGGACAGTGGATGAAGTTTCTGTCCTATAAATTTGGGCTTGCATTTCATAGCAGCCACACTTGCTCAGCAGAATGAAGAAATCTCTGCGAAAGTTTTTGGTAAAGATGGCATAGAGGAAGGGGTTGGCACAGGAGTTGATGGGGTGAAACAGAACCAGCAGAATCTTTGCTTTGGACACAGTGATGAGGGGCACCTTGAGGGAGGCAGAAATGGCAAAGAAAGAAATGGGTGCCATGCAGAGGAAGTCAGTGAAGATGAGCATGGCCATGCGCTTGGCGATCCTGGTGTCACTAGAGGAGGACACGATGTTGGGGTTCCGCACTGTGAGGTAGATGTGGATATAGCAGCCACAGATGACCACAAAGGCCAGGACATTGAGCACAAGGAGGGACATGACATACAGCTGTGACAAAGGGCTGTCAATATCCATGGGCAGGCAGATGCTCACCTTCATGTAGCTGCTGATGCCAAAGATGGGAAAGAGGGCAGCTGCAAAAGCAAAAATCCAGCCCATCACCATGACACTGGCAGCATGGCGGAGCTGCACCTTGCAGTCCAGCTGCATGGCATGCGTGATGGTATGCCATCTTTCCAAGGTGATAGCTGTCAGAGTGTAGACTGACAGCTCACTGGCAAAGACAGTGAAAAAGCCAGCAGCATCACAGCCTGCCCCAGTTTGCCAGTCAATGGCATAGTTGTGATATTGGCTCTTGGTATGGATATCAACTGATGCAATGAGCAGCAGGTAGATTCCAATGCAGAGATCAGCAAAGGCCAGGTTGCACATAAGGAACCTGGGGACTGTGAGTTTATATTGGCTGGTAGTTAGGATCACTAGCACTATGATGTTCCCAGTGATGGCCAGGATGCTGATAAACCATATCAGGACTCTGAGGATGTTGTACCCCATGATATCTTCACATGGGTTGAATGCATCTGGCTTAGGGGAGCAGGTCACGTCAACCACTTCATTGCATAAGTCATAGTCAAACTCAGTGTACGTCATGTCAAATCCTCTGCTGTAGCTGGACTCATTGTCTTCTGCCAGAGAGGATCTCTGACCCCTAGCCTGAGTCATATAATCAACTTCTTGCCTTAAAATAGATTTGTTGCAAATTGGATGAAGCTCAGAGCTAGAAAAATACAAAAAGAAATAGAATCAACATCTCAGATCCAGTATAGCAAATACATCACTGTCTTTGTGCAGGGTAGAAATGATGAGTTTCTTCCTGAGATTTTTTTTTTTTCTTCTCACATCATACCTGCCCTTGAGGCTAACCTCAAGGGTTAATGCTGCTTACTGTAAATGAATATAACAACTTGTATATATATTACTAGAGTTGGATGGCTCACTGGGGAAACCATCTTGCCACAACCTGAATGTGGGGAGGAAGGCACCTGAGACTAAGCCTTGCTGTTAAGTGAAAATAATTTACAGAGCTGGCATCAACTCGACCCTTTTCCTTCTCCCATCTTGATCCAGCTATCTCTTAATACACCTGAGTAGGACATATTCCTATTCGTCTACACTCAAATCACTGGAAGATCCAGACTGTTCGCTGACTCAAATGAGAACTTATTTGCTTCTCTTATCTACATAAATTAGGGGATCAAAATCTGTAGTTAGTTCCCAGCCAGCCCCTATTCCCTGGCTCTTTGGTACTCAGGCTATTAGGAGGCCAGCTAATTTGCCGGAAATGTTACCAGGGTCTTTCCTGTTCTTTATTATCTCACTTTCTGGGGGCCACAATAGGCCTCAGCATGTGCTTGTCTGCAAGGTAAGCCTGGCTCTCTCATATTGAACAGTTTCCTAGTGAGTGCCCCAAAGAACAATGCAAGCTGCAAAAGGACCTAATTTATTCTAAGAATGGAACTCATCCTCTGGGCAGCCTAGCTCTCCTTGGGCTCACTTTACTGTCTTGGTTTTGCCTTTAAACCCAAATGTACAAGGGGCCTTGTCAACAGGATAGAGGTACTTACAGAGGGATTTGAATGAAATCCAGGTGATAAATATTCAATCCACGAGTATACCCATAAATATTCTACCCCAGAGTAGTATATCAATACTCTGGATGTAGAAACAAGAAAGGTAATACTTCTGTTTGGAAGCAAAGGCTTGTGGAATGGGAATAAGCCTTACGTTAGGACCTTTTTGGATGCAAAAAAAAAAAAAAAATTGTACATACACATGCATACCTTTCCCTCCTTCCCCAAGGGGCAAGTTCACAGCAATATTAAGTTGACTGTATTTTTTTTAAACCTTGACATAACCTCAGATATAAGTGGCGAAGTAAGTATCAAACCTTCTTAAGAAGGAAAAAGGTGGCTAGGGGAGTGGAGGAGGTAAAGACTCCATTTGATGCTAAAGGATGAGTCTTGCCAGGTGTTCCAACCTATTATACAGGGACTGAACCTTGCCCCATCAACCTGGATGAGAAGGGTCTGTTAGGAAGAGTGCTCTCCTCTCTTCTCTCACCCCTGGGAAGTGAATTGAATTGCCAGGAAGTCATTTTCTCTTGGCCTAAGGGATTCTTTTTGTTTGTTTGTTTTTTTAAGGCTAAATGATTAACATACACAGAATTGAAAGTGAATGGAAACGGAGCCCAGAAAATGTTCTGGTTTAGTCAATGGTCTTCCAAGAAAGGTGAGGCAAGCTCCATAATGGGTATAGAGGGGAGAAGAGGGGTATCCTGTGGTCCTTAGTCTAACTCTAGACTCTTAAACCCTGTTACTGAATTAGTTGCAGCCTGATTCCAGGAAGAGAAAGTAAGTAACCTGGTACTTGCTGACTGCAGTTTGGTTCATTGGACTGAGCTCTGACTTAACTCTCTAGAAACAGCCTTCACTTCCTATGGCTTATGGTCGCTGTCTGTGAAGGTTCTTATTGTTGATACTGCTGTCCATATATTTTAAATATTGTGCTTCTCTTTTTCTGAAACTGAAGTGACCCACTGACATGAAGTAAGGAGAAAAGTAAATAACTTATGTCTCTGAGATAAGAACAGAAACAAAAGTGGAAACCAAAGGACATCAAGTCTTGCCTCCGCAGTACTTTGGAAAATCCTAATTATCATAAGGAGTTGGGAATTCAGTTTAGGGTCAGTTGAAAAAGTGGCACTCTTGGACTCTGATCAGTCAGTGAACAGATGCTTGGGGGTGGCATAGCAGTGTCGCAGAGCCTAAGCTTTGGAGGCAGGCAGACCAGATTTGGATCTGTTTGGTCAGTGTAGGTCAAGTTATTTAGTATCTCTGAGCCTTAGTTTCTGTCTCTGTGAGAAAGGAATAATAATGATATTACCATTGTGGGAATTAAATGAAATAAAGATACAGAGTATTACAGTGCTTGGTAGTGAATACTTGGCAAATGTCAGCAGTATGAAGACAAATGATGGTGGTTACTTATGGAATTCTTGAGGTCTAGGCCCTGTGTGGGTACTTAGAAGCATATGCAACAGCATGTCAATTTAATATTGAATTGTGAAGAAATGGCCTTCACAACATTGAGTTGTGAAGAAACACAATTTTTATTGTATTTAACATTAAAAATTGAAGAATAAAATGAGAGCAAAGTAATGCAAAATGAATACAGAATTATGACAAGGAAATATCAGGTTCAATGACAAATGAAGACTGTAGTTGATACGAACTTTTGGGAAGAGCCCAGGAAGAGTCCAGGAGGACCACTGGCCAAAGTTTTAGTCACAGGGGCCTCATGTTTACACTCTGGGCATTATTTCCAAATGAGGATCAAAAGAAGAATTTCATCATACAAGTTAAAACTTGAATCCCGCTACCAAACCACATCTACTATGATATACAATGAAATGTCACTATTGAAGGAATAAATCTGAAATTATCTTCTGAATAACAATTATTTTGTGTTGTTTGTGTGTGAATTTGATAAATATGAAAATCAAATACCCATTGCTAAAAATAAAAAATGAAAACCACCTATCACAATTTTTGTTACTCCATTTTGGCATGTAGTGTAAGAACCATGTTCCTCTCCCTTGCTATACCCCAACAGGCCTGGATGGTAAGTTAGAGCAGCAACCTAGAGGGATGAGAGCCGAGTGGTCTGGAGGGATCAGAGAAGACCTCATGTCCTGTGACAATATAAGGTAGATGTGGAGATTCTGGTTGGGAGAGCCTTGAGGCTATGTCTAGAGGAGTCTGAGTAACACGATGAGACAACAAATTCTTGGGGTGTGTTGGAACTGGGCCAAATAGCACACTGCAAGCTGCTCTCACAGTGATCTTAACATTTTCTTCTTTTTTTAAAGACAGGGTCTCACTCTGCTGCCCAGGCTGAAGTACAGTGGCACAATTATAGCTCACTGCAGCCTCGACCTCCTGGGCTCAAGTAATCCTCCCACTTTAGCCTCCCGAGTAGGTGGGACTACAGGCATGCGCCACCACACATGGCTAATTTTGTTCATTTTTTTTGTAGAGACGAGGTCCCACCATGTTACCCAGGCTGGTCTCAAACTCCTGGGCTCAAGGAGTTATTCCGCCTTGGCCTCCCAAAGTGCTGGGGTTATGGGTGTCAGCCACCTTGCCTGGCCAATCTTAATGTTCTTTATTTCTCCTTTGGGGTATTCAGTCCCATGGACTTGGTGCAAAATTGGTATCTTTCTCACTCTGGATAGAATAATTCTTATCTGGAATATAAAAGAGGCAAGCCACTGCTTCAGCCCAGGACCTTAAGAATTCTGATTGTCAGGAAGAAATTTCCTGGCTCTTGAGCTGATCTATGAAGAGTGCCCATTCTGGATAATATCCCAATGATGCATGCAGATTCTGAAAAACAGCTATTTTTCTACAAATCCTCCAAAAGGGTCTGAGTAGGGACTTCCAGCTACTCTGAAAAACATTTTAGGGTGGGTACTGTTTTGTTGCTCTTTTTGTTTTGCTTTGGAGCAAGGAATATGTCCACATGGACTGGTCAATGTATGTTAAAGGTTGAATAATGGAGGAGACTGTGTTAAACAGAGAAATAATATCATAGGAAAGCTGTATTAGTTCTAGGCTAGTATATAAGAGTAATGAAAAGACATCATTTGATGAGTGCAACTACATGGTGTGGCTTATGTAGGTGAGCTCAGAGGAGCGTGAGAGCTTTGAGAACTCTGATACTCAGTAAGTTCTTACCTCCAATGGATCATTTAAATGTCTGGAACATGTGTACAATCTCCAAGGCGACTTTCTCTTTACTCTTTCCAGATCCTGTCTATGATTACCTCACTTTTTTAACCAGTTAGCTACTAAGACTTGTCTCTGTTTAGATGGCCCTCTTTAAGTCTGGGCTTCCTTGAACCCGGCTTTCTTTGAAAGCCAAAGTAATGAGATGTCTTAATCTTTATCCTCCCTGTGAGGTAGGAAGATCCCAAGGTGGATTAGAGAGGCTTAGAGTGATTGGGATGTGCGGCAGATATGTACATCAGTCTCTGGCATGGCATTTATGCATCTCCCCACCAAAGATGACACGGATGGGGCATTTATCAGGTGCACAGTTTGGGACTTGAAGGATTAAATCTATAATGGTACAAAGGAAAGAGGGAACAGATATTATGCACCAACTCTGAGGCACTATGCTTAGTATTTTTCATGTTTTCTCATTTAGTACTTGGTATATGTTCTGCCACATGGGTAGCCCTCTCCTGTGAGCCCACTTTCAAAGAAATGAAAGAGTTCAACTATTCCTCACTCTCCATGAACTGAATTTTTGACCCAGAATGTGCCAAAGGGCTTGAGACAGGGAACTCTCTGCAAGTAGATTCTCTTCATGTCACAGATAGGTAGAAATTGTGGACAAAGTTCTACATTGGGGAAATGCCTGAGCAGGGCTTAAAGGATGGACTCACATTTGCCGTCTCCAGTTTGCAAAGGCACAGCAATGGCTGGGATAGGTGAGGCTGGCTTCCATGAGGGCGACAAGCTTTTCCAGAGTAGGCAGCTTTTTTAAGTTGTAAGTCGACCTGGCCCTCAGCTTCTTAAGATTTTCTAAGCCATAGCTAGGCAGGGAATGGATCCTTGTTCTTGAAATATCTCTATAAAGAGAAAAGGTAAATATAACAGGATTACTATGGACCTAAAACTTTCTGCTCTTGGTTAGCAGGCAAAATAGCAGACACACTAGTGATATTCTTACATGGATGAGGAGAGAGACTCCGGTTCCTCCAACACACCTTGGCCAGATGGATATTTGGCTAATAGGACATTTGGTTCTGTAGGAGTCCTGGTCCTTCTGTTCCTGGTAGGAGGAGTTAGATAACAGGCCACTCTGATTCCTGGATATACTTACATCCTGGCTAATTTGGGGCCTAAGTGTTGCTGGTGAGTAGAATTAGCCACCTTCCCTTCTACAGTCTATTTGTACCTGCTAATTTGCATGGGACTAAGGGATTGAGACCATTTGTCTGTACCATAAAACTAGCTATAAAAATATTTCTGATGAGCTGGAGTAGAATCTGTGGCCAAATTTCAGAAAAAGGGACAAGAAGGAAATATACTACAAGAGGAAGAAGAGTCTGGCAGGCGGTAGGGGCAGTGTTAGCACAAAGTCCAAGTGGCAGTACAGAGTGGTGGTTACGAACTTGGCGTCTACAGCAGACCTGCCTGCATATGTACCTTGCCCCTCTCCCTATTAGATTTATGACCTTGGTCAAGTATGTCACTTCTCCATGTTTCAGTTTCCTCAGCTGTAAAATGGGAAGACAAAAATCCTATGTGTACCTCAGAGGGTTGTTGTTAAAATTAGATGAGTTAAAGTGCATAAAGAACTTCCTGACCAACAGACAACACTTAGTGTCTGGCAACTATTCTTAGTAAACATAACACTGAGTGTGAGAGAGAGAAAGTTGTTCTTGTTTGGTAGGAAAGTCTCTGCCTGTCCATTAGACCTCAGCACAAATGACCAGTTTAACCAGGTCCCTGCCCCTGATGGGCTGCAAGTTCCATCCTTTCTGGCAGCAGCACCAGTGATGTGGGCGCTTTTCTGGCAGCACCACTGGTAGTTGCAACCTTCAAAACCAAGACCGGCTGGTGAGAACAAGGAGATTTAAATGGCACCAGCTTGGACCTGGTGGGGCCAACAGCTTGGCCGTGAGTGGGTACTTCTGATGGGGATGGTAGCAAGTGATGACCAGGATGAGTTCATTTTAGCATCCTTGGGGACCCTTGGATATACTTGAGTAAGAAGAGTCTTTTAATGTTGGCATTCCCTGTAAATCAAAGCAGTAGGCACTCAGAGTAATGAAACTTGGGGGTGTGAATATATATTTGCTACCCCATATGTTCTCACAATCTGGTGAAAATTACATTTTCAAAGTCTTGCTTTCATTGTATAATTATCTTGCTCAAAAATTTATAATGGCTTCCTATTGTCCAGTGAAACCCATCCCTAACTACTGCCTTATTTGTCACTTCCATTTCCCAAGCAAATTTATACTAGTTGTTCATGCTTTTATTTCCTCATCTCACAATTCAGTTGAGTTTCTCTTCAGCCTCTCGGGAAATAGTACTCACTAAGGCCATGTCTTAGCTCTGATCTCCTTGATTTTGTAATTACATTTCACAGGTAGAATGCTCCTTCTTTTTGAGATACTCTCTTTCTTGGCGTCATATTCTCCTTGACATATTTTCCTCTGACATCTCCGTTGACTTCTTTCTGATGCTTTTGTTTTACTTCTCTTTTATCTGTTCTTTAAATATTAGTATATCTTTATACCTAGACCCCTTCTGACTATACCCAATCTTTTCAGGTGATCTCATTCATTCCCTTAGTTTCAGATACCAGGCATGTGCTGATGGCTTCCAAAATGTGTGTCCCCATTCAGATCCTACTCCTGAGCTCCAGGTCCACATAATCAGTTGTTCTTTGAACTCCACCATTTTGATGACTTGCATCAAAACTGAAGTTACCATCTTTCTTGTAAATATGTTCCTCCTTGTTTTTTCCATCTCAGCAAATGACTCTTCCAGTTTCCCCTGTTTTTCATAATGGAAACCTGGGTGCCATCCTTGACTCCCTCATGGGACATCAGTGTCTTGTTCTCTCAAGCCTAACTTTTAAATGTGTTTCAAATCAGCCTACTTCCCTCCTCTCCTGTGACTTTGGTCTAAGTCACCACAATCTCTGCCTAGACAAATGCAAAGGTCTTATAACTGCCCTCATGACCATCTATTGCAATCTTAGTACTGCAGATATAAAAAATGCCTATTAGATTGTGACTTCCTGCTTAAGACCCTTTAATGACTCCCCATTGCTCTTAGGATGAAGGACAAGTCACTGTATACAGTGTGTTGATCATTTGCCTCTTTTCTCCCACATCCATGTTATGCCCTTCTCTACGCTCTTCTCTGTGTTGCAGGAAGGATGATCCCTGCAGTTCCATTTCCCAGGTACCACCTTATCAATCAGCTTTCAATTGGGTTTAGCAAATGGCACTAGTGGGATACTGGAGAATAGGTAAAAGTGCAAATCTCATCCCTTCTCTGTCTCAGGCAGCAACTGAGTCTTCTCTGTGACTTCAGCTCTCGTTGAACAGATCCTTGGAGGATCCAGCTTCTACCAGTTGCCCCAGTTCCTGGACATCAGTAAGATGACTTCCTCATTTGTTCCTCAAGTCCTAGGGTTAGTAGTGGTTACTATTGCCAATCTCTGGACTACTGATCCCCTGTTTGATGTTCAGGAAGATTTACATTTTCAGAACAATTACCTTTGTTAGGTGTGTGTGCATTTGTATGTGTGTGTATTTTATACATAGTCCCCTCTTTGTTAGCTGTCAATTAGATCAAATCTCCTATATACTTACTGATTTTTTTGCTTCTTTGTTCTATCACTACTGAGAAAATTATAATGAAATCTCCAACAATGATTTTGGATTTGTATAGTTCTAGTTTTGTCAATTTTTGCCTTTTATATGTTTGATGACTTTTTAAGGCTCATACAAATTTATACATTTTATGCCTTCCTGGTAACTTTCTGTATCTCTAGTAATAATTGTCTCCTAGCTCGCTGAAAGTTTCTTCTTATTTGCTGGTTCCTCCATGACCTCCAACTTTAGGAGTGCCAATGAACTCAGTGCCTAGACTTCTTTTCTCAATCTTCACTTACTCTGCAGATAAGCTTATCCAGTCTTATGACATAAACACAATTTATATGCTGATGGCGCTAAAATTTGTATTTCTGGGTTGCTTCTTTTTCTTGAACCCCAGAGTCATATTCAATTGCCTCCTTATAATCTCCACTTAGTTGTCTAATATGCAGGTCAGACTTTGAATAATAAAAATGGCCTTCCTGATATTTTCTGAAAATCTGTTCCACCTTTCCAGTTGTTCATGCAAAAACTTTGATGCCTACCTGGACTCCTCTCTTTCTCTCATACCCTATATCAAAACTCTCAGAAAAACTTCTTGACTTTTTATACCACATACATCTGGAATCTAATTACTTCTCACAACACTCATTGCTATCACCACAAGGTAAACGTTCTGGTGGTCCAGGGCATCTTGTCTAGCTCCCTCCCTATTATGATTCTTCAGATTTGGGGTCCCTGGAGATCAGAGTCTGGTCCATGAACCCTTGTCTCTTTGATGAATCTTTGATCTCTGCTGCTGTCTCTGCCTTCTCTCCATTTATACTTCCCATTGTTTTAGAGATTTCCAACTTTTTTCTTTGCTACAGGAGATCTTTCTGGTTTCTCTCTTTTGGCAACGCCTCTTCTAGCCAGTTCTGTTAGTGACACTTGCCCTGTTTTCTGTGACTGAGTTCTTATCTGTCATTTGGGTTCCTCTTTTTTTCTCAAATGTGGAAAGAACAAAGGTTGAGACCCAACTCCCTGTTTTGTCTATAACAATTCAGGACTCCCTCCAAGAAATGAGATTAAAAAAAACATTTTAGAAGTCCTTTAGGAACAATTTAGACCAAGACCATCATTGCCTCTCATGAACATTTTTCACATTTTTCAAAACGAGCAATACAAAGCAGGTTATTTTTCTTGATTATGTCTCCCCCTTGAGTTTACAGTATAAAAATTGGATTAATTGAAGATTCTAAAGAGAAACAAATTTTTATACTCCATGGAATATCATCCCATTATCTCATATACTCTGTGGTAGATTAAAGATGACTGCAAATTCTTTTACACTCTTTCCCATTGCGGGTCTATTTGTTCTCCCCTTGAATCTGGGCAGAACTGTGATGTCTTCGGATAAAAGAATATGATAGAAATGTTGCTATTCATTATAGATCTAGCCTTTAAGAGCACTGACATCTTCTACATTGGTCTTAACAGAGTCTTCAGCTGCCATGAAAGATCTCTGAATACCTTAAGGCTGCCATATTGGTAAAAGCCTAAACCATGCAGACAGGTCCTGGAGAATGAGAACCCGTATGGACAGAGTTAGAGAAGACACCACACACACACACACACATGCACATGCAAATGCACATGCAAATGCACACACACACCCAATAAACACAGATGTGTGAGGCACATAAGTGATGGGGACTACTTGGAAGTGGACCCCCCGCCCCGCAGTCAGCCGCCTGAGCTGACATTGCATGGATCAGGGCCAGCCATCCAAATGTCTGACACAAAATTGTGAGCAAAATGGAATGGTTGTTTTAAGCCATTAAATTTTAATGAGGCAATAGAGAACCAAAACAAACTCCACTGAGGTCTCCATAATGTTTAACAGTTGAAGAAGTATTTTTTCCTTGAAAACCAGTAAGAGTGCGATAGCATTATAGTCTGTATACTTTCTGCCTCTTTTACCACTGACTATCTTTTGCTTTATGTACTAGCTATTTGTATTTTATCTCTCCTTGAAGGTATAAGGCTCTCGCATTCTCAGCGGTGCCTTTCATGTAGTGAGTACCCAGAAACTTATTGCTTTGTTAGAAGATATACTGGGGAGTGACATTGGAGAAGGATTAGGAAAGGAAATAGACAGATCACCCCAGCCAACTGTGATGTTCTCCGACTTCCAGAAATTGCAGAATATTGCACCTTGTGTTATGTCTTCTATTGTTTCCTATGGTTGTCTTTTCATGTATGTTTGTTTGTCTCCTCAGCCAGATTTCAAGTGCCCTGAGAGCAGGCTTTTGTGTTCTGTATCATTTCTGGCATAGATTTGGGCTCATGAAATCTATTGAGTAAGTAGTTGTCTGATAAGCAGACATGACTCAGCATTGTAATAAAAATGAGAGGCTGGAGAAAATTTTACAAAAGAGCTAATTCTAAGGGGAGATGAATGAAAGGCAGACCGAGAAATCCAGAAATCTAGACTTAAAGTGAGCTCAGGAAAATGGTGCTTCTGCAGCAGGTAAGTATATGTGGCTGAGAATATAAAAGTTACCAAGAAAGGGAGCAACCTTGTGCAATGCCAACAAGAAGACAGACATGCCTTGGGGAGTAAGCAGAATGATACACTGGGTAGATTGACTTGAATGCAATCCAGTGTTTAGGTGTTAGATTGGGAAGCCTCCTTGGTAAACTTCATTGCCTTTCCGTTGCTCAGTGTTCTGGAGCTAGCTTGTTATTTTGGATTCCTTCTTATCACGGCTACAAGACATATGTGCTGCTGCCATTTGCACATGGTGGCTTTGATGCTGTGAGACGAAGGCATCTTGTCAGTGCCCTGGGATTGAGATCTTTCATTGGTGGATGTTGAAGGAGGGAGCTCTTGGTAAGAAAGAGGCAAAGTCACTTAAAGTTCAGTAAAGCAAATTTTTAAGCAAAAGTGGTTCCTGGATGACAGGGAAATAAAAGTCTTTGTGGAGGTGTTTACTTAAAGCTTACTGTCTGAAGTGATCAAACATGGAACCTGTCAAGACTTCCAAATTTTGAACTGACAGAAAATACAACATATCTCTAGTATCTCCATGGATTAAGAAAATTCCATAGAAATTTATATTAGCCAGGGACAAAGATGAGATAAGTAGATCTTGTTCAGATCTTGGCTAGAGACTTAACTATAGTATATTCCCTTTTTTGCTCTGTTCTCCTAAAACATACACACACACTCATACACACACAGGTCTATTTGTTGGCTACAGTTCTTCTGCATGGCCTAAAAATCAGATGTTTGATTTTAATTCCTTTATGAAAACACTCTCCATTTTTATGATGCAAATATACATGGGCGTGGGTGGGGGGTAGTAACAAAAAAAGACATCAGTTATTCACATCTTCATGGGAGTACATTATTGTGACCACGATAGTTAATTTTAGGTGTCAACTTGAGGGGATTAAAGAATATTCAGATAGTTGGTAAAGCACTATTTCTGGGTGTCTGAGGGTATTTCCAGAAGAGATTGGTATGTGAATCCATGGATTGAGTAAGGAAGATATGCCCTCACCCAGAAGCTGGGTACCCCTTCTTCTCCTACTTTTAGACATCAGAACTCCAGGTTCTCAGGCTTTTGGACTCAGGGATTTGTACCAGTTTCCCTCCCCCACCCCCTTGGATTCTCAGGACTTTGACTTCAGACTCAGAGTTATACCATCAATTTCCCTGGTTCTCAGGCCTCTTCCCAATCCAACACCTGAACACTGGATGGTGTTCAAGTCAGTCCACCCAATGTATCATTCTACTTACTCCCCAGTGCATGTCTGTCTCCTTGTTGACACAGGCACGTCAGGCCTCTTGCTTGGACTGAGAATTAGATGGCCTCCCCGGTTCTGAAGCTTTCAAGTTTGGACCAAGCCATGCTATAGCTTCCCTGGTTCTCCAGCTTGCAGATAGCCTATCATGGACTCCTCAGCCTCCATAGCCATGTGAGCCAATGTCCCTAAGAAATCTCCTCTTCTCTTATTTCCTCGAGCAGTGGTTCACAGTTCTCCTTGAAGAGGTCCTTCACATCCCTTGTAAGTTGTATTCCTAGGTATTTTTATTCTCTCTGTAGCAATTGTGAATGGGAGTTTGCTCATGATTTGGCCCTCTGTTTGTCTATTATTGGTGTATAGGAATGCTTGTGATTTTTGCACATTGATTTTGTATCCTGAGACTTTGCTGAAGTTGCTTATCAGCTTAAGGAGATTTGGGGCAGAGATGATGGGGTTTTCTAAATATACAATCATGTCATCCGCAAACGGACAATCTGACTTCCTCTCTTCCTATTTGAATACCTTTTATTTCTTTCTCTTGCCTGATTGTCCTGGCCAGAACTTCCAACACTGTGTTGAATAGGAGTGGTGAGAGAGGGCATCTTTGTCTTGTGCCAGTTTTCAAAGGAAATGCTTCCAGTTTTTGCCCATTCAGTATGATATTGGCTGCGAGTTTGTCATAAATAGCTCTTATTATTTTGAGATACGGTCCATCAATACCTAGATTATTGAGACTTTTTAGCATGAAGTGGTGTTGAATTTTGTCGAAGGCATTTTCTGCATCTATTGAGATAATCATATGGTTTTTGTCATTGGTTCTGTTTATGTGATGGATTATGTTTATTGATTTGTGTATTTTGAACCAGCCTTGCATCCCAGGGATGAAGCTGACTTGATCGTGGTGGATAAGCTTTTTGATGTGCTGCTGGATTCAGTTTGTCAGTATTTCATTGAGGATTTTCGCATCGATGTTCATCAGGGATATTGGCCTGAAATTTTTCTTTTTCTTGTCTCTGCCAGGTTTTGGTATCAGGATGATGCTGCCTCACAAAATGAGTTAGAGAGGAGTCCCTCTTTTTCTGTTGTTTGGAATAGTTTCAGAAGGAATGGTACCAGCTCCTTTTTGTACCTCTGGTAGAATTTGGCTGTGAATCTGTCTGGTCCTGGGCTTTTTTTGGTTGGTAGGCTATTAGTTACTGCCTCAATTTCTGAACTTGTTATTGGTCTATTCAGGGATTCATCTTCTTCCTGGATTAGTCTTGGAATGGTGTATGTGTCCAGGAATTTATCCATTTCTTTTACATTTTTTAGTTTATTTGCATAGAGGTGTTTATAGTATTCTCTGATGGTAGTTTGTATTTCTGTGGGATCAGTGGTGATATCTCCTTTATCATTTTTTATTGTGTTTATTTGATTCTTCTCTCTTTTATTCTTCATTAGTCTGGCTAGCAGTCTGTTTATTTTGTTATTCTCTTCCAAAAGCCAGCTCCTGGATTTACTGACGTTTTTGAGGGGTTTTTCGTGTCTCTGTCTCCTTCAGTTATACCTAATGTAGATGATGGGTTGATGGGTGCAGCAAACCACCATGGCACGTGTACACCTATGTAACAAACCTGCATGTTCTGCACATGTATCCCAGAACTTAAAATATAATAATAATAATAAAATCCCCTCTCCTCTCTCTCTCTCTCTCTCGTTTCTGTCTTTGAATAACCTTGACTAATACAATGACTATTTGCTAAAGATAGGCTTAGAGAGAGGCCCAGAACATAAATCATGGCACAGTGAGGGAGGGTTATTTAGAATAGTTATTCTGGGCAATCATACTTGGAGGAGTAAAGGGAACCATGGGACGGGATTAGATCTCTGAGCCTTGATAGTCATGCAGAAGAGTTTAGGATTTATATGAGCAGAAGAATGGTTTATTCAAAGCTGGATTTTTGTAAGATTAGTCTTGAGAACCTTGATACCAGCATATGGTGGGTGTTCAATAAATAGTTGGTAAACTAATGGAAGGGGAAAGGACTGAGGGTAGGAAGGGGACAACGTGGCTTTTGCAGAAATTCAGGCCTAGGATGACAGAGGCTGTCTCCTCCCACACTATCACTTCACGTGTTAAAAGTCATTGTGTGACATGATGACAAGGGTTTATTAGGCATCTGCTGTATATTACTATAGCCATTTGTGAAAATTTCTGCAGTGCTCATTGTACTGGGGAGTAACATTCATCCCTTGGCCAGATGCATTACAGTAGGTACTGTTTTCTGTTTTCACATATATTTCTTACCCCTTGCCAGACACACAGTAGGTGTTTAATCAACATCCACTAAATGTATGTCATGTAAGACTTGATGCCCTCAATGAGTGCTTGAGAATGTTTACTTTATTCCTGCCCTTGTGCCTGGAACTGGTGGGCTGGACAAGCGGGGAGGGGTAGTTGTGGACTGGTGTTTTTAAACTTTATCTTTCAGGCTGGTCTCTTCTAATGATTTTGGTCTTTCTTTTAAAAATATCACTTTTAACGTTGCAACACATGCTATATTCAGATAGTGAGTAGTTTTGAGAATTTAAATCTTGAAAAGACCAGTGGATACCCCATGGGATTATGACTTGCACAGAAGAGACTTAGTAATTTAAAATTGTTTCCACATTGTTAGTACTCTTCATTTTGAGATACAGAGTAGCAAGAGAGACTGCATGGGTAGGAGGGTAGTAAGAGGCTGAGGCAGGAGAGGCAGGAGTTAAAAAGCACTCTGTGCCCCATTTAATAAAGTGTGTTATAGC